>NC_000003.12:45161515-45464545 GCF_000001405.40 Homo sapiens | reverse complement strand
ATTAAGGGGACGATGTGACTGGAGAGGCACTTCCTGGTGCTACCTGTGACCCAGCCTCTGTTCTGGGGCTGAGACAGGATCTGAAGTTACGAGCAGAAAGCCAGGCAAGAGGCCCAATTTCTAGAGGGCAGCCAAATGCTTTCATAAGTATCCCAGTGCCTCAGAGGTGGAACAAAGGTCCCCCTAACGGTCTTCATTCCAGAGTCCAGATGACTCTTGGAGGCTGGACCCTGCCTCACTGCTTCTCTGAGGCTGTCTCTTCGCTCTAACATCCTCCGCCACCTCCTCCAAAGAACTCCTGGCACAAACTTCCCTTCTCTCCCCTCACCTCCTCTTTCCTCCAGCCCCATGTGTGCATGCTCTGCAGGGTAAAACAAGACCAGTGTGTTCTGGTAAAGGTACCTCTGCTTTACCCACAAGCTCACAGGTGAAATCAGGAGGACAGGAACAAAGAGGGCAGGGAAATGGGCGCTTATTACCTCCAGTGCCCACTGATTTCATAATGGCTCACTGTTGCCCATCTGCTTCTCACCAGCAGAAGTTCATCCTACTTAGAAATCCTTGATGAAGAATAAGGTTTCCTGCACATCTGGAGGGCAAGAAGATGCTCCCTTGTAGACATTCTGTGCTTCCCATCTTTCACCACTTCCTCAGTGATACCTCCTTGGACCGCTGGGCAGATCTGGGGCTCCTCCTCCTCCTCGTCTCCCCTGCACTCTTTTGCAGGAGATGTGACAGCTCATGTCTACCACTGTCTGTGGCACTAAAGTCTAAGCTCCTTAAAAGCAGAGACCTCAGCTGCTCTGTCTGTATTCTTAGCACCCTGCCTAGGGTCTGGCCAGGCACTCAATAACATCTCAGGAAAAAAAAAATGAATGAATTCAGACCACAGAGAAGGAGGAGAGACTGCGGGTTAACAGCTCAGCTGCTCAGATTTGAATCCCCATGCTATTACTTATTACTAGTATGAGCCTCAGTCTGCTCATCAGTAAAATGAAGATAAGAGGAGTACCTACCCTCAAAAGATTAAAGTGAGGGTTCAGTAAGATGGTACAAAGAAAGGCCTGAGCCCTGATCTGAGATAATCAGGTAGGAAATGAGAGGCAAACACAGACTTTGTATTACAGCAGCTGCCAAGTAACTCCTGAAAACATAACCACCAATTTGGTATGGGGGTTGACTAAGCACCATGAAGGCATGCTTATGTCCATTTAACACCAAGGAGGGGCGCGTGCATGGTGCCCAGGGGCTGAAAGCCTGCAATGCAGCCGAGAGGGGCCAGCGGAGTCAGCAGGAGAAATCAAAATCACAACTCTAATAGAGAAATTCAAATGGGAGGCCTTCTCTCTATTTGCCTCTCCTTCCAGTTGTCACTCTGCTGCCAGGACTGAGGCATTCCATCAGACTCTGAATCCCTTTCGCTTGCTGTATATAAGGCTCCAATCCATCCTCCTCCCCTTGCTGTCACCTCAGCAGTGCTGCCCACAAGACACCGCCCACACAGCTCTGCCAAGACTAATTCATGTTCTTCAGATACTCCTACTGCAAGTTTTCTTTTTCACAGAATGAGTGGCTGAAATCACTTTTAATGTTTCACAAAGCAAACAATCCTAGGAGGACTGGGTTGGGGGTAAGAGGAGAAAAATCAAATATATCACAGAACAGCCTGAATAAAGCATCTTTATCTTGCTGGGTTCTCTGTAATTTTCACATCAGGCACTGTCTTTAAAATTAGGAAGTTAAGTGAATGAAAGGAGGGCTCCTTCACAGCCATGCGCCCAAGAAGACCACAGTCATACATCACAGAGGCAGCCCACAGAGCTGCAAAACGAGATGCAAATACAAAGCTCTAAAGATAACTGTGCGGGCACAGCTTACTGCCTATCCCAGCACCTACTGCCCATCCTCTTCCCCCCTCCAGCTCAACTACAGAAGCTAAAAAGCCCAAGCCTGCTTTCCTAGTCTCCCTTGAAGCTGGAGGTGGCCAAAACACACTTGGGGCTAACAGGACATCAGTGGAATTCTACTGGGGATTTTTGAGGAAGTTTTTGTTTTCTAGACAAAAGGAACAGTTTTTGGCACTGCCCCTTCTGCTTCTTTCTTTCTTTCTTTCTTTTTTTTTTTTTGGTAGAAATTGGGGTCTCGATATTGCCTAAGCTGGTCTTGAACTCCTAGGCTCAAGTGATCCTCCCACTTCATCCTCCCAAAGTGCTGAGATTACAGGCATGAGCCACGGTACCCAGCCCTTTTCTTCCTGTTCTGAATGGAGACACGATGTCTGGAGCTGCAGCAACCATCTCGCCTTAAGGTGACAGGAAGAAAGGGCCAAGAGAACTACTGAGATGACAACCCAGAACCCTATCCCAGTTCAGTCTTGGCAGCCTGTTATGTGGGTACAGTAATTTCCCATTTGTTTAAGCCACCATTTCTCAGGTTTCCAGCTGCTTGCAGCCGAAAGCATTACTAACTGATTCAACATCTCAATCTTATCTATATATAGCAGGACTTCTTCACTAACTCAAGACGATTTTTATCATACCAGGTTTTAAAATAGATGTCCTATCTCACTCAATCTTTGAAGTTTTGGACCTAATTTCCCAAATAATTTCCCAAATAATCCAAATAGTAATTTTCCTATTATTTCATATCTCTACTCAAATATCTCCTGGCCATTTCAAACTGAAAAGGGTCAGGACTATGTCTCTTCCAGGACTCCCTGTGTGCTATTCAAGCCACGGCTTCCTTGATGTTACCATCTCCTACATACTCTCTTCCAATTTATTACCAAGCTCTATGGATTTTGCCACCTGAGTATTTTTCTAACCTACTCACTTCTCTCTACTATTCTCACCCACATCTAAATTTTGCATGCCTGGACCATTGCAATAGCTTTCTAACTGGTCTCTCTGCATCCACACTTGCCCTTCCTTCCACAGTGATCTTATAAAAACATAAATCTGACCATGCCATTCCCTTCCTTAGAATCCTTTAGTGGTTTCCTATGGTCCCCATGGTTAAAGTGCAAATTCCTTAAGACCTAAAGGCCTTGCCTGATCTAGCCCCTAAACATCTCTCCAGCCCTATCTTGAGCCTTTCTGCTTGGCTCTTTTCACTTAAGCTACAGTGTCCTTTTAGTTTTTCAAACCCATCATATACTTTTCTGTTTTAAGGCCACTACACATGCTGTTCACTACATAGGTGTGTGAGGGGGGAGCTTCCCTGAAGTTTCATGTCTACCTAACCCTTACTTATCCATCTGTAGCCCCAAAGAGTGGATTTTTCATTTCAGATATTAAACTTTTATATTCTAGATTTCTAACTGGTTCATTTAAAAAAAAAAAGTTTCTACTCTCTCCTGAGATTCCTCATCTGTTCATTCATTATGACCATGTTTTCCTTTAAGTCCCAGACCATTTATATAATAGATGTCTTTGGCTTTATTTACTAATTCCAACATCTGGGTCATCTCAGGATCTATTTCTATTGGAATGCCTTTTTTTCCCCCTTGATTTTAGGCCATAATTTCCTGCTTCTTTTCAAGTCTAGTAATTTTTAATTATATGTTGGACATTGCAGATACAACGTTGGGAGTCTGGATTACATTGTCTCCCTTTAAAGATGTTGAGTTTTGTTCTGTAAGTTCCTTTTGAACCACTCAGGCTTATTTTATTTTTTATTAAAATGAGTCTATTTTGATTTTGTCATTAGTCTTAGGGTGTCATCCCTACTCTAATACATGGCCTTTTTGGGGGTCTCAACTATATACCCTTGGCTGAGTCATAATGCCAATGTTTTCCAGTACTGCACAGCCCCCTCATGTCTGTGTCTCTGTTCTGTTCTCAGACCCATAGCATTGTTCTCTGTTAGGCTTCATGGAGTCTTACTCTCCCTCTTCTCCAGATTTTCAGAGTAAACCAAGTGCTGACTTCAAAAGACAGTTTTTTCAATACATCTGCACAGGAGTTCAGCAAGAACCAGGTGAGTCACCATGGTAACTAACCATTTCCACTGAACAGTTGAAAATTCACAGCTGACAATTTAAAGAATAATGCTCCTCAGTTAGGTTATTACATTTTCAACTAGAGGCAGAGGTCAAAACAAAAGAGCTAATTAGGTGGACTTTCCAACAATGCCTATAACAGAATCATCTGACAGGTCCAAGAGGTAACCAAGCATCCTTCCCAGTAATGTAGTGGACCCCAACTGTCAGCAGACAGGGGCTCCCACTGCTTGGGGTGTTAGAGAATGCAACATCCTCAGCTTTGTTCTTCACATTCAGTCTCCAATATTGCTGTGCTTAAAAGGAGCAAGGCACCATGTTAACAAGTTCTAATGAGCACCTCTCCAAATCCATATGCTATTCTCTGCTGCATTCAGAATAAATGAAAATGGAAAAACAACCTCATTTAAGACATGTCTTTTATGTGAGGAAACTAGAGGTCATATTTCTGTATGGCATTGGTATTGTGAGTTGGCGTCCTACAATTCTAATTCACAAAGTTTTGTAGTGACCATGGGATATTGAGAACCTTGTGCTTTCTTTGTATGTAAGAACAACAGTATTGGATCTAACCCAGAGTCCATTTCAGTTGATACTCACAAATCAACTCACAGGCCACCATGGAAGGGGACAACTATACTTCTTATGGTGACTACCACAGGGGAAGAACAACATGACATGCCATAAGTAGTCCTTCATGATGCCCTTACCTTTTCAGACCCTACTTATGTCCAGTCTCATGCATGCATAAGAATACAAAGGTCACCAAATTGCCATGTGAATGTCCCTAATTTGCTTTAACCATTTCTCTCTGGAGTTTCAGGGAGTGACCCCTCAACTCCAGCACCTTGAAACTTGGTAAGCTCAAAGGGCAAATTGCACAGAGTGGTTCCAGTACCTACAGAACCGATTTTTTGTCCAGGCTCTTGGTGACTTAATAAGCAAGCCCCTGCTTTCAATGATTGGTTTTGCCTTGAATCTCTGAACACGGAAAGAGCTAGAAGGCACCTTAAAGACTGCTTGGTCCAACCTGCTCATTGTATTGATGAGAAAACTAAGGCCCAAGAACCAGTTTATCAAGCTTTAGCGCCTGGCTTAGTTCATTTTCACTTGGCCTTCTCTCATGGAGGCCGGCCATCTCTTCAATTCTTTTAGATAATCTCTTCTGGACCTCCATTGAAAAATTTAAGCATGTGAAGTCTAGAGTTGGGTGGGAAAGACATGCACCAAAGTTAATAAACCAAAAGTCCATTTACTTATCTGAGATTTCATTCTATCTTTCTGGAGGTCTCATCAGAACTACACAGTTGAAGACACTTTTCTCTCTCTTTTTTTAAAGGCCCCCCTCTCTCTTTTTTAAAGCTTTATCACTGATATAATTATGGATGATTTTTGACCTCTGTGGCAGTAAGTTGAAACGTCAGCAAACAATGGCCTACAATGACCTCTAGGTGCTATACTTGACTTACAGTTGAAGATACCAGCCCATCACCAGCTAAGTGAGTGATGAGGCTCAGCTGCTTCCTGTCTGTACATCCATGGCTCCCAGCCCTTCCTAGAGCTCAACCCCAACAGTGAGGCTCTCTCATACCCAGAAGCCTTTGGTGTTGCCTGCCAGCATGTAAGGCATTAGTGGGGAGCCTCCAGGCTGACACTCACCTTTGCATAAGCGGTTGTCTTAATAAACCATTGTCTGAGGTACTTCTGTTCCACCTTTGCTCCAGAACGCCATGAACAGCCATGTTCATCCACCTGCTCATTGGCAAGCACTGTTTGATCCACTGGGTCCCAGTTAACCAGGGCCTGTATAATTCATGAAACAAAATGGCACAATCTGGTGAGTACTCTTTTTTTTTTTTGACAGGGAGTGTCGCACTGTCGCCCGGGCTAGAGTGCAGTGGCGTGATCTCGACTCACTGCAACCTCCACCTCCTAGGTTCCTGTGATTCTCCTGCCTCAGCCCAAGTAGCTGGGATTACAGGTGCCCACCACCACACCTGACTAATTTTGTATTTTTAGTTGAGATGGGGTTTCACTATGTTGGCCAGGCTGGTCTCAAATGCCTGACCTCGTGATCCACCCGTTTTGGCCTCCCAAAGTGCTGGGATTACAGGCGTGAGCCACTGTGCCTGACCTAGGTGAGTACTCATTTTATGAGACCATCCTCAGGTTTCTTACATGGGAGAGGGCCTGCAAATGCAATGACTCTGCTCCGTGGAGTACTGCTTGGTAAAGAAACCACTTGCAAGTTGTACAAAGAACACATTAATTTCCTCTGTGCTTCCATCTTATTACAATAGGCTTGGGAAGGAAGCCTTTAAGGATGTGTCTAACTCAACTTTGGTATCTTATATGAAAGGATGAACTTATAGGATGGAAAATTTTAGCAAGCAGAATAAAAGAAGAAAAAATGGTACCTATTTAAAATTTGACAGAATAGGATTATTTTAGGGAAATAAATCTTCAGTGTACAACTCGATACATTTTTACAGTTACATACTCATGTAACCATCACTCATTTCAAGATAAAGCACATTTCCAGCACCCTAGAAAACTCTGTTGTGCCTTCTACCAATCAATACCTGCCCCCACAATGGTAGCTCTTCTGAGCTCTGTCTCCATGGATTCATTCAGCTGATAGAGCACATAAAACATGTAGTCTTAACTATTATGAAGATTCATTATCTCATAGAGTTCTAGTTAGTGTCTATCTTCATTTAAAATAAATAACTCTGCCATCTACATTCACGCCTTTATGACATTCAGGTACCACTTGGTACAAAGAAGGGAATGAGTACAGAGGGGTGTGTTGGGGACTTAAAATATCCTGACTTCATACACATTTTTTGTAATTTTTTTTTTCTTTGAGACAGAGTTTTGCTCTTATTACCCAGGCTGGATTGCAATGGTTGCAATCTTGGCTCACTGCAACCTCTGCCTCCTGGGTTCAAGCGATTCTCCTGCCTCAGCCTCCTGGGTAGCTGGGATTACAGGCATGTGCCACCAGGCCCAGCTAATTTTGTATTTTTAGTAGAGATGAGATTTCACTATATTGGTCAGGCTGGTCTCGAACTCTTGACCTCAGGTGATCCACCCGCCTTGGCCTCCCAAAGTATTGGGATTACAGGCGTGAGCCACCAGGCCTAGCCGTAAAATTTTTAATAAGCAATTCTAATAAGAGATTGTGTTCACTATTACCCATTTGCCCCTCCAGACCCTCTTCCTGCCCTGATCTGTGGCCCAAGAAGTTGACCTCTGCGACCTGCATTCCCTTGGACCCTTATCTTCCGGTTGGGTTCAACCAATGACAGGCACACTGGCTGCTTCCTGGCCATGGGCTAGCAGGGGTCATGTGCCTCTAGTGAAGGTCATCACCTCTGTTGGGCAGGTCTCCCGTGCTGCTAAAGCTACTGCTCTCCCAGGTTCTATTAACTGCCCCCTGACGTTGCCCCTGCAGCCTACAGGCAGCAAAGGCATCCTTCTGCTGCCAGGGTCAAACGCATTGCCGTCCCTTCTGAGTTTCCCTGAACTCCACACAAATAGTCCTTCATCAAATTGTCTTCAATGACTCCTTTCGGGTGTGCTCTCTCTTTCCTGCTGGGACCCTGACTGATCCAGAGACATGTCTAAAAGTTACATAAAAAGTAGGGGTGAGGGGAGGCTAACCTATCTGTGGGTTGTAATTTGTGGGCTGCGATTTTACATATAGAAGCAGTACCCCCATTGGAAAATTTAAGTATGTGAAGTCTAGAGTTGGGTGGGAAAGACATGCATTTGTTTCCCTTCTAAGATAGGGTTCCCAAAAGCCTTGACTTAATAAGCACATAGAGACAAAATATGGGACAAAAGTACCTTAGATCTAAAAACTTTAATGAACCAAAGGTCCATTTCCTTATCTATTATCCCTGCCTGTATTAGGGGGTTGGAGAGAAGGGTACCACTTAATTATTTCTTCTTTTTTTTGAGACAGGGTCTCACTCTGTCACCCAGGCAGGGGTGCAGTGGCACAATCTCAGCTCACTGCAACCTCTGCCTCCTGGGTTCAAGTGATTCTCCTGCCTCAGCCTCCCGAGTAGCGGGGACTCTAGGCGCCCACCACCACGCCCAGCTAATTTTTGTATTTTTAGTAGAGACAGGGTTTCACCGTGTTGGCCAGGCTGGTCTCGAACTCCTGACCTCAGGTGATCTGCCTGCTTCAGCCTCCCAAAGTGCTGGGATTACAGGCGTGAGTCACCACACCCAGTCTTAATTATTTCTTTTAAAACAATTATTAATTGACAAATCATAACTGTATTTATAGAATACAGTGTGATATTTTGATATATGTACACAATGTAGAATAATTAAGCAATTAAAATACCCATCACCTCACTTACTTAACATTTTTTGTGGTGATAAATTTACTCTTTCAGTTATCTCGAAATATACAAAACATTATGACTGACTAGAGTCACCCTCCTGTGCAGTAGATCTCAAAATGTATTCCTGCAGTCTAGCTGAAACTTTGTACTCCTGACAGTAACTTCCCATTCCCTTGCTCCACCCCTACCCCTCCAGCCTCTGGTAACCATCATTCTACTCTCTACTTCTATGAATTCAATGTTTTTTAGGATTCCACATGTAAGTGAGATCACATGATTTTTGCCTTTCTGTGCCTGGATTATTTCATTTAGCACACTGTCTTCTAGATTCATCCCTGTCATTCCCAAATGACAGAATTTTATTGTTTTTTGAAGCTGAATACTATTCCATTGTGTATATACTCCACATTTTCTTTATTCATTCGTCTGTTGATGGACACTTAGGTTGATTCCATATCTTGGCTACTGTGAATAGTACTGCAGTTAACATGGGTGTACAGATATCCCTCCAACACACTGATTTCAGTTCCTTTGGATATACTCCCAGAAGTGGGATTGCTGGATCATATGGTAGTTCCATTTTTCATTTTCTGAGGAACCTCCATACTGTTTTCCATAATGGCTATAGCAATTTACATTTCTACCCACAGTGTACACAGGTTCTGGAAGGGTTCCACTTAAAATAACAGGTAGAAAGAAAGGACCAAGTACTGCTTAGTAATGTAGACAGTTCATTCAAGAGGCATCTCCCCACTCCAGACAACCCATGCACAACTAAAACTGTATGAAACATAAAAGAAAGGTAGAAAAAGAGCACCGTATATCCCTCCACCTCTGTCTCTTGTCCCCGGCAAACCTCAGAGGATTTGGAAGAAGTGAATACTTGGTACTGCAGATTGCAAGAACAAATAGGACTGTATTTTCTTATCTACATTTCCCACATGGCCTGGCATCTCTCAGGCTCTAGATTACAAAATACAATGAGGAAGGTGTGCTCCTAAGAGGTTTGCACATCATAATAAAACCCAAGCATTGAATGAAAGACAAAAAAAAAAAAAAAGCAAAACACAAAGGCAATTTATCCCCCTAATGAAAGACTTGGGGGGAAGGGGGAAAACACCAAAAGAAATAGTGTCTCAAAAGATGCATCATCTGTGAGAATCCACATGATTTCTTTCCAGAACTCCAATCCACCTCAGCCACAGAGTTGCAGATTCAGGCTCAGACTTTCCAAAAGTGGTTAAATTTGGAGTCGTCAAAATCCAGGGCCCTGAGGCTCAGGGAGCACAGCACCTGCAACCCCTTGAAGCCCTGGAGTTGCTTCCTAAATCCCTTTGCTCAGGTCTCCTCTCTTACACAACTGTCTCTATCAATAGCTTCCCTCATCCAGCAATCCTGGATTTCCATATTTTGAACATTTACTTGGATGAACATGCTGATTTTTAAGCAAGCACAGTCTTATGAATAGGATATAATTTCTGGGCAACTTCACTGACTCTATTCATTTCCCTGGTTGGCATTTATGCTGTCTACCACCTACTGAAGCCAATTCCATGTTCCTTTGTAGTTAACTAGCCTTATTTGTAAAATAAAGTCAAGCCTGTATTGAAATGAACCTTAAATTAACACTGAAATCATTAAAACACCTGCAAACACACTGAGCTCTGGGTCGATTTTACCCACTGCTTCCCTCACAATAGTTATCTGGGAATATCACGGAATTGGACATTCCAAAGAAGGTAGTTAGTTTCCCCACTTATTAAAGGGTTAAACATTAGGACTAATATTTTTTTGCTTGAGTGATCTGTGGGAAGCATTTAGGAAGCATTTTAAAAATGCACCTCATAACACAACAAACACAAAGGAGCCATGTTCATAAAGGGTCAAATCTGCACAGTGATCAGTGGGAGCAGGCATTTTTGTCTCCTCTCTACTCTTCTTTGCCATTAGGCTCTTGGAGGTGTAGGTGACTTTGGGCTCCCTTGGGGATCATGTGGGCAGTATTCTCCTAATTTTGTGTTTATCAGCTTTCCTATCTGTGACACAGCAGCTGTGGTGCTTGCTGCCCCAGCCAGCCCTACTGTTCCAAACCCTCACGCCTCTCATCTCATCATTACCATTCCTCCTCTTCCCTCAGATCCTCCTTGCCTTGCCTCCCTGCCTCGCCCTTCACACAGGGTGCCTGTCCCTTCTAGATCACACCCACCATCAGCATGCTTTTGTCTCTTGGCCAGCATATCACTCCTCTGGCCCTTGGCTACTCTCCATTGTTTTCCCCGCCTCTCTCCCCTCAAGCTCTGCTTTTCTTTTCTTTCTTTTTTTTTTAAACTATCAAAGACCTTTTCTGAATATACTGTCAGCTTCAGGTTCCAGAAGGCTAGTAAAATATATATTTTAGGGTACTGATTTTTTTCAAGGTCTATTAGCTTCTTTCTTGACAAAGCATGCTTAACTAAGCAACATCACATAGGTCTTATAAAGTATCTAGCTCTCAAAATCAATCTTGCTCCATTCCATCAAGAATGGGCCTGAATTTGGACTGAGTCCAGGGGTAGCCCACAAGGCTACCGTTTGTTACTGTCACAACATTCCAAAGCCACAAGGAGGTACAGTGGAAGAGGTGCCAGTGTGTAGCAATTCTTTGAGTATGCTTCCTGAAGCCAAGGCCATGCTGCAAACTTAGCTTTACCAAGTGGGTAAATTAGCACCATCACCAGCTGCTACTAAATTCATGTAGACAGCTAAAGACAGACTCATAAATTAGGGGACTCGCCCTCATTCCCTAGAATGTCCAAGCATAATAAACCATTAATAACTATATCCACCATCCAAGGCTAAATACCAGCACAAGACTGATAATCAACAAGTACCATACAGGAAAAAGAACTTTGAAGAGAGATCAACAGGACTCCAGATAAGCAACTCCAGATAAAAAATGCACAAGGAACTAGAAAAGCAAGAACAAACCAAACCCAAAATTAGTAGAAGGAACGAAATAATAAAGATCAGAGTAGAAATAAATGAAATTGAGACTAAAAAGAAAGAAAAGAAAGAAAAAGGCCAATAAAATAAAAAACTTGGTTTTTGAAAATTCACACAAAATCAACAAACTTTTACCTAGACTAAGAAGAAAAGAGCCAAATAAATAAAATCACAGACAGAAAAAGAAACATTAAAACTTTTACCACAGAAATACAAAGGATCATTAGAGACTATTATGAACAACTATACATCAACAAATGGGAAAACCTAGAAGAAATGGATGAATTCCTGGACACACACACAACCTAGCAAGATCGAACCATGAAGTAATTGAAAACCTGAATAGAACAAGTCATGAGTTCAAAGCAGTAATATAAAGTCCTCCATCAAAGAAAAGATCAGGACCTGATGGATTCACTGCTGAATTCTACCATTTAAAGAAAACTAATACCCATTCTTCTCAAACTCTTCTAGAAAGAGGGAATTCTTCCAAATTCATTCTATAAAGCCAGCATTACCCTGATATCCAAACCAGACAAAGACATAACAAAAAAGAAAACTATAGGCCAATATCCCTAATAAACAGAGATGCAAAAATCCTCAACAAAATAGTAGTAAACAGAATTCAACAACACATTAAAAAGATCATTCACCATGATCAACAGGGATTCATCCCAGGGATGCAAGGATGGTTCAACATATAGAAATCAATAAATATCATGTCATACGACAAAATCAAGGACCAAAACACATAATTTCCATAGATGCTAAAAAAGCATTCAATAAAATTCAACATCCTTCATGATAAAAAAAAAAAATACCTCAACAAATCGGGTATAGTAGGAACACACCTCAACATGATAAAGGCCATATATGACAAGCCTATAGCTAATACCACACTGAATGGGAAAAAATTGAAAGCCTTTCCACTAAGATCTGGAACAAGACAAGGATTACCACTTTCACCACTTTTATTCAACATAGTACTGGAAGTCCTAACCAGGGCAATTAGGCAAGAGAAAGAAATAACTGGCAACTAAAATGGAAAGGAAGAAGTCAAATTATTCTTGTTTGCAGACAACATGATTTTATATTTAGAAAAACCTAAAGGTTCCAACCAAAAAACTTAGACTTGATAAATGAATTTAGTAAAGTTGCAGGATACAAAATCAACACACAGAAATCAGCAGCATTTCTATATGTTAACAATGATCAATCTGAAAAAGAAATCAAGTAATCCCATTTATAAGAGTTACAAATAAAATACCTAGGAGTAAATTTAAGCAAGGTTAAAGATCTCTAAGGAAAACTATAAAACATTGATGATAGTAATTGAAAAGGACAAACAAAAAATGCAAAAATATACTATGTTCGTGGATTGGAAGAATATTGTTAAAATGCACATACTACACAAAGTGATCTACAGATTCAAAGCAATCCCTATCAGAATATCAATGACATTATTTACAGAAATAGAAAAAAACCCCTAAAATCTGTATGGAACCACAAAAGACCCTGAATAGCCAAAGCAATCCTGAGCAAAAACAGAACAAAGCTGAAAGCATCACACTACCTGATTTCAAATTATACTAAAAAACTATTGTAACCCAAAAAGCATGGTACTGCCATAAAAGGAGACAAACAGACCAATGAAATGAAACAGAGAACCCAGATATAAATCCATGCACTTACAGTCAACTCATTTTTGACAAAGTTTCTAAAAACATACATTGGGGAAAAGACAGTCTCTTTAATAAATGTTGCTGGGAAAACTGGATATCCATATACAGAGGAATGAAACTAAATCCCCATTTTTCACCATATAAAAAAAAAACTCAAAATAGATTAAAGACTTAAATGTAAGACCGAAAACTATGAAACTAGTAGAATAAAACATTAGGGAAATGCTACAGGACATTGGCTTGGACAAATTTTTTTTTTGGGTAAGACCATAAAAGCACAAGCAATAAAAGCAAAAACAGACAAATGGGATTACATCAAGCAAAAAAGCTTCTGCACAGCAAAGGAAACAATGAACAGAGTAAAGAGATAGCCTACAGAAGGGGAAAAAATATTCGCAAATTATTCATCTGACAAGGGATTAATAACCAGAATATATAAGGAATCCAAACAACTCAATAGCAAAAAACAAACAAAAATCCAAATACTCCAATTAGAAAACAGGCAAAACACCTATATAGACATTTCTCAAAAGAAGACATACAAATGGCTAAAAGGTATATGAAAAAAAATGTTTAACATCATTAATCATCAGGGAAGTGCAAATCAAAACCACAACGAAACATAATTTCACTCAGTTAAAATGGCTTCTATTAAAAGATGGAGTAACAGATGCTGGTGAGAATATGGAGAAAGGGGAACCCTCATACACTGTGTGAAAAACAGTAAGGTGGTTCCTTGTAAAATTAAAAATAAAACTACCACATGATTCAGCAATCCCACTGCTGGGTATATATCCAAAGGAATTGAAATCAGGATTACCGAAGAGATATCTGCACTTCTATGCTTATTGTGGCACTATTCACAATAGCCAAGATATCAATCAACCCAAGTGTCCATCAGTGGATTAATGGATTTAAAAAATGTGGTATATACACACTATGGAATATTATTCAGCCATAAAAAACAATAAAATGAATGGAACTGGAGGTTACCATGTGACATAAGCCAGGCATAGAAATTACCAATACCAAATGTTCTCACTCATATGTGAGAGCTTAAAAAAGTGGATCTCATGGATGTAGAGTGTAGAATGGTGGCTGCTGGGGCTGGGAAAGGAAGGGGAGAGAGCGGGGGATAAAAAGACAATGGTTCATGGGTACAAAAACACAGTTACATAAAAGGAATACGTTCTAGCATTTGATAATACAGTAGGGAAATTATAGTTAACAATAATTTATTGTATGTTTCAAAATAGCTAGAAGAAATGTAATTATTTCCAACACAAAGAAAGATAAATGTTTGAGGTGATGGATATCCCAATTACCCTGATTTGATCATGACACACTGTATACATGTATCAAATATCACATGTAAAGTATGTACAACTATGATATATTAATTTAAAAACCCCCACAACAACAAAACCCTCTAAAACTACATCCATGGAATAAAACTTTTTAAAAAAGAGTTTTAAGAAAATGTTTTTCAAAAGGTGAAATTAATGTTCTGCCAAGTAGAGGTCTTTATGTTCATATTTGCAGCTGAAAATACTTTTGTTTTGTGAAAGCAACAGCAGATTCTTTTTGCAACAGAACTGAACATTTGGTGGACAGTGCTTGTTAAGAACAAAAGACTTAAACACTCCAGCTACGTTTAGTAATGCTCTGCTCAAATACTATTCCTAAATGTTCATTTACCTGAGTTATTTTGGTTAAATATGCTTTACAAAGTATATTTCTAAAGTCAGTTAACTTTATAAAGTTTATTCCAAAAATTTGTATTTTGAAATAAACCACAGAAATAGAATGCTAATAGCAATGTTTTCTGTTTTAAGGCCAATTTGAAAATAGCTATCCAATAAAAAGAGATTGCTATGGTCTGAATGTGTCCCCCAAAGTTCATGTGTTGGAAACTTAATCCCTAATGCAACAATGTTAAGAGGTGGGACATTTCAGAGGTGATTAGGTCATGAGGGCTCTGCTCTCATGAATAAATTGATGTTGCTATCATGGGTGTGGGTTAGTTATCAAGAGTGGGCTTGTTATAAAAGTGAGTTCAGCTGTGTTATGGTGGCTCATGCCTATAATCTCAGCACTTTGGGAGGCTGAGGCGGGCAGATCACCTGAGTTTGGGAGTTCAAGACCAGTCTGACCAACATGGTGAAACTTGTCTCTACTAAAAATACAAAAATTAGCTGGGCGTGGTGGCGCATGCCTGTAATCCCAGCTACTCAGGAGGCTGAGGTAGGAGAATTGCTTGAACCCGGGAGGCGGAGGTTGCAGTGAGCTGAGATCACACCATTGCGCTCCAACCTGGGCAACAAGAGCAAGACTCTGTCTCAAAAAAAAAAAAAAAAAAAAAAATAGTGAGTTAAGCTTCCCCTTGCTCCCTCCCTCACACTCTCCCTCTCTCTTGCCCTCTCACCTTCTACCGTAGGATGATGCAGCAAGAAGGCCCTTGCCAGAGGCCGGCACCTTGATATTGGACTTCCCAGCCTTCAGAACTATGAGGAAATACATTTCTGCTGCATAAAACTGTTAAAATACCAGTCTCAAGTATTCTATTGTGTTGGGAACAAGCCCCCAAAATCTGGCCATAAACTGGCCCCCAAACTGGCCATAAACAAAATCTCTGCAACACTGTGACATGTTCATGATGGCCATAAAGCCCACGCTGGAAGATTGTGGGTTTATCAGAATGAGGGCAAGGAACACCTGGCCTGCCCAGGGGGGAAAACCACTTAAAGGCATTCTTAAGCCACAAACAATAGCATGAGCAATCTGTGCCTTAAGAACATGCTCCTGCTGCAGTTAACTAGCCCAACCTATTCCTTTAATTTGGCCCATCCCTTCCTTTCCCATAAGGGATACTTTTAGTTAATTTAATATCTATAGAAGCAATGCTAATGACTCCCTTTCTGTTAATAAATATGTGGGTAAATCTCTGTTCGGGGCTCTCAGCTCTGAAGGCTGTGAGACCCCTGATTTCCCACTTCACACCTCTATATTTCTGTGTGTGTGTGTGTGTTTAATTCCTCTAGCGCTACTGGGTTAGGGTCTCCCCGACCGAGCTGGTCTTGGCACTACTGTAGCAGTACAAACCAACTAAGACAGAGATCCACCTGGAAAAAAACCAAGACTAAATCCTGACCAAACAGCAGTGTGGGGGTGGAGGCAACCTAGCAGGCCCTACCAGCCAGAGCTGACTGGGAGCAGCCTAGTGTGGTTTTCTCCATCTGGTCATGTGTTTTGGTCTTTTCCTCATAAACACTATCTCGTTTTAGTCAAAAAGCCAATATTTGTTATGGAATAGAACACTATTTTTTACCTCAGTTCTTTCCTCTTCCTTTTGCCTTACCCCAGTAGGTTGATGGGCTCAAGGGATCCTCTTACCTCACCGTCTTGAGTAACTGGGACTAATTTTTTCCTACTTTTTGTAGAGACAGGGTCTCACTGTGTTTCCCAGGCTAGTCTTGAACTCCTGGCATCAAGCAATCCTCCTGCATCAATCTCCCAAAGTGCTGAGATTACAGGTGTGAGCCACTGTCCCAGCTCTGACTTTTTAAATACTATTTAATTTTAATTACTTTAAATTTAAGCAACCACATGTGGCTAGTGGCTATCATCCTGGACAGTTCTAGGCCACACTATGATGCTCTTGCCTCATCTCCCACCATTCCAAGTCTTACCTATCATTATTGAGCTCCCACCATAACAAACACTTTCATTTCTCGGGAGACCACTGTGATAGCTGTTCTTTAACTATTACCTTTAATCTTTCCAAGAACCCTGTGTCTTCCTCCATTTTCTGCTACTGTAATAGAATACCACAGACTGGGTAATTTATTGATAGAAGTTTATTTGGCTGATTCTGGAGGTCAGGAAGTCCAAGAGCATGGTGCCAACATCTGCAAGGGCCTCTGTGCTGCATTATCCCATGGCAGTAAGTAGAACAGCAAGTGACCGTATGACACACACACACAGAGAATTTGGCTGAACTCATCCTTTTATTGGGAGCTCATTCCCACAATAATAACATTAATCCATTTATTAGGACAGGGCTGTCGTGACCCACTCACTTCTTAAAGGTCCCTCTTCTTAAATCCATCACAATGGCAATTAAATTTCAACATGAGTTTTGGAGGGGACATCCAAACCATAGTACCCCACAAGGAAAATGTCCCCATTCCCATTTAGCAGATACAAAACCATGTTTCCTAGAGGTTAAGTTACCCAGATGTTCACATAGCTGGGAGAGGGAGCTGAGCTAGGATTTGAGAAGCCTGTGTTCTTTCTTCTTATGCCCTCTCCTTGATCTCATTACAGGAACCAGACAATAGGTTATGGGGTAAGAATTCAAGGGTAAAAGAAGCCCAGACCCTGTCTTGATGACACTAAACTTAAGTAGGAAGTAGTTACGTTCTGGGTCTGCTGTGACTGATTTTATGAACTTGAGGTAGCGTTCATTTTCGCTGCTACTACAATGATGTATCCTAAAGAGATTCACTGAATTTTAAAAGTCCAGCTAATTTTAACTTACCTCCTTTTGATAGGCCAGCCCAGCCTCATACAGTTTAATAAAGAGATACTGAGTCCACTTGTAGTAATCTGGCAAACACGTAGTTATTTCCTGCCAACAAAGAAGAAAAATAATGTACAGGCCATTATAAACATCCCCCCAGCCATGCATGCTCAGTCTTGCAACTGAATTTTGAAAAGTAATGAAATCACAAAAATATTTACCAGCTCAAAATATTTTCACCAGTTTGTAAAGTAAGGAGAGTCACAATTTATTCTGGAAAGAGATGTTATTGAAATGCCACCTACACCTTTCTGAGAGCATGTTCAATGAGAAACTCAACTTCAAGTCTTTTGCACACCTCCTGCCCACTCATCTATGGCACTAACAAGTGAATTACATTGTACAAAATTGGGTATTAACATTTTTGTCAGCACAAACATACACTGGGGGCCTGATGCTTATTCACAAATGTAGCTCATTTTGAAAGCAATCACAAAATTCATGAGGAATATTTGCCTGCCTCAGTATGATCCTCATTTGAAAATACATCTTGTGTTTCCACATAAAACTGGGGTCTAGTGGCTCCTTTAGACTCGTATATTCCATTTATTCCATTATGTGAATCAGGCTGTTGTTTACTTAGGAAGAACAATTAAAAACATTAAACTTAGTAAGAAACCACTTGGTTTATATTTCCAAGCCTAAATCAAAGGTTCCCCAAATTTACTTTCTGTCCTAAAAACACATTTGTTATAGAATTCTTAAAAACAGAATTTACAGTTGATAAAGTCAAATAAGCATAAAACCTCTATACTGTCACGTTTCTTTTCTAGTGCTCTTTAACTTCAAAAACTAACGCAGAAATGAATGATGGGAGGGAATGTTTCAAATGACTCCGTTTGTAACAGACTTTTTTATTTTTAAGAGACAGAAGTCTTGTTCTGTCACCAAGGTTGAAGTGCAGTGGTGTGATTGTGCCTCACTGTAGTCTCGAACTCCTGGGCTCAAATGACCCTCCCTCCTCAGCCTCCCCAGTAGCTGGGACTACAGGTGTGTGCCACCACGCCTTGTAATAAACTTTTGATAGAAAGCGTACTTTTACCAAAAGTGCAAACAATTCAGTCTTCCTTAAGATGAATAAATGAGACAGCTTCAAACCCGGACTTTGGGTATGTGGTAGGAACTAAGCAAGGTGTCAGGTAAACATCTGTGCCCCCAGTGGGCTATTTTTCTTATGTAAGACTCCTGAGTCCTTTTTTGTGCTGTTTTATAAAAACAGCAGAGTAATAACTATTAGAAAACAATTCTTTTAAAAGGAAAATAACACAACTCTGACTATTGGCTCTACCTTCCCACTTCAAGGCAACTAGTGAACCACCAGCCAGTCAAAGGGCTTTGCCCACATTGTAGCTGTCCACCTAGGCCAGCTTCCACAACACAAGAGCCATAATTTCTGAGCCATGCATACGACGCAGCCTGCTCTGGCTTCCAGCTTCACAGATGTCTACAGGGGTGTCGTGCACAAAGATCTTCACCAACTCAAGAACCTAACCAGCACTCTGCCAATGGGCTTGCTCCCCAAAACCTCCAAATTCATCCTCATCCATCATCTTTTCCTCCACAGCTACCCCTCCAGCTAGCATGGCACAGAACTTGTTTTCCTCAGTTTTCTAGACAAGAAATTTAAAAACTTCCACTGTTAACAAAACCCAGGGCAGGAGCTATGTTTGGTCTATTTCATTTTGCTCATTGTAGTATGCTCAGGTCCTGGCACATTGAGGCACCCAAAATTGTTGTTGAAGGAAGAATAAACTAGATAGAGATATGAACTACTGACATTGAATCAAATTTGATTCCTTCATGTAGGTTTCACCACAAAATTCAAATTATTACACTGTTGTCCCCAAGATGAACTGGGATAGGGGATGTGGGTAAGGGGTGGAGGTAGTATGGTAAAAATATTCCTAGACTTGGTCATTGTGGATATATCTTTTTATTTTTAAAAAATCTTTACCCACTAGAGGTTTAGAAAAGTGTGTGAAATAATTTTGAGAAAATAATGAGAATTGTTAAATCTAAGGGATAGAGGTTCAATATTTTCTTTTCTCAATTTTTCTATTGAGTTGTTCATAATATCAAAATTCTTTTAGTAAATATATAACACATAATATATATTATATATGTAACACATATACAACATATTTTATATATACACACATATATAAAATATACAAATATGTGTTTTTTTCTCTAAGCCGATGAATCTGCTTCCTAGAGTGAGAGTAAAAATTACACAGCAATGAAACAGCATTGTTTTTTTTTTTTTTTTTTTTTTGAGACGGAGTCTCGCTCTGTCGCCCAGGCTGGAGTGCAGTGGCGGGATCTCGGCTCACTGCAAGCTCCGCCTCCCGGGTTCACGCCATTCTCCTGCCTCAGCCTACCAAGTAGCTGGGACTACAGGCGCCCGCCACTACGCCCGGCTAATTTTTTGTATTTTTAGTAGAGATGGGGGTTTCACCGTTTTAGCCGGGATGGTCTCGATCTCCTGACCTCGTGATCCGCCCACCTCGGCCTCCCAAAGTGCTGGGATTACAGGCGTGAGCCACCGCGCCTGGCCGAAACAGCATTTTTTTTTTTCCCCTAGGTTGATGGTTCTGAAAATCACTTTTACCTAAAGTGAAAAAAGGGCTGGGCGCAGTGGCTCATGCCTATAATCCCAGCACTTTGGGAGGCTGAGGCGGGGGGATCACAAGGTCAGGAGATTGAGACCATCCTCGCTAACACGGTGAAACCCTGTCTCTACTAAAAATACAAAAAAAAAAAAAAATTAGCCAGGAATGGTGGTGGGCACCTGTAGTCCCAGCTACTTGGGAGGCTGAGGCAGGAGAAGGGCGTGAACCCAGGAGGCGGAGCTTGCAGTGAGCTGAGATCACGCCAGTGCACTCCAGCCTGGACAACAGAGCAAGACTCTGTCTCAGAAAAAAAAAAAAAAAAGAGGATAGATCTAGTCAGGAAAAACAATGATCTTCATCCAACCAAGCGTTAGCCTACTTTCAGTCAAACCTGTAACGAAAGGGCATTCTCTTTGGAAGTGTCAGCTCTGAGGCAAAGGGAGGGGTGGGGAATTACAGGCCCCTGCTTTCACCCTGGCTTCAAATTTGGATCTGATCTATTTTATTTATATTACATTTCTGCACATGTCATTTGAAGAAAAAGCAACCTCAACTGCTAAAAGAGTACAGCTTGAAAACCACTGCTTCCGGACCATTATTCCAATCACTGGCGGGTTCATTTCCAGGCATATTCACAGCACTCATAAGTTCCGTCGTACTGAAATGCGTGACTCACCTGCCCAGAGGAGGCTGGGAGTGCCCTGAGGAAGACACTGTGCTCCTGTCCCTTTTATTCCCATCTGCTGCACACAGGGCCCAGCCACCGACCGACCTTCAGTAATGTCCACTCCATGAAGAAATGCCAGAACAGACACTCGCAAGGCTCACCAGGAGTTCAGTCTCACAAGGATCATAAACACAGTTGGGAACAGACACCACTTAGAAATACATCTCCTGAAAGTCATAGAGCCCTCTGGAACCTTCCCTGATTTTCTCATTAAAACAAAGCAAAACAAAAACAGCTATTTTGAGTCTTCTAATGCTTTATCTCAATCAAAATAATCAAAGCCATCTTTCTGAAATTAAACTGCTGAAAAGCTTTTATTTTAGTCACCTGGCTAGAAATCAAGAGTCTATTTTCATATTTTCACTGGGAAGTGCCTATTCAAAACCCAGTTCTGTAGACAAGGGTCTTCTAGGGGTTTCAGTACCCACAGAGGTGATGTTAATAGTCCTTTCTTCCCTTCTCTAAAGGAAGAGTGCTCAACCGGGAAAATTTTGTTCCCCAGAGACCATCTGGCAAATACTGGAGACATTTTTGTTTGTCACAACTGGGGTGTGTATGCTGTATGTGTGCTACTGGCATCTAGTGGATAGAGGCCAGGGATGCTGCTTTAAAAACCTATAGTGAACAAGACAGTCCCCAGAACAAAATAATCACCCAGTCCCAAATGTCAATCAATAGCGCCAAGGTGGAGAAACCCCGATCTGTGAGTTCAGATTTCTTCAGTTTGAGTCTATAATCACAGGCTGATTAAAGAAGCATCAATCAAACAACTCTCTGGGGGCCATTCTATACATACTGATAACATGTTAAACATCAATGAGCAAAAGTGGAAAGATGGAGGCGGTTAAGTGAGTTGCCCTTCTCCATCGGGGGTAGCCCTATCTCTGTTAAGCATGACTTGCAGCGCACACAGGAATGCTGCATGATGCGACCACCAAGCCTTCTACCAACTCGGAGACCAACCAGGGGAGAGACATGTCAAGTCTGGGGTTGCAGGCAGATAAAATTCTGAAACTCTATTATGTGTGCATAATGCTATTCACTGGTAATAAGTGGTTGATTTTACTACCTAAATTTTAAATCATTTAATGTGCCTCCAAGTAGTTGTCTGACTTGGAAAATCTACATAATAAATTTGTGTAGTAAATTTCCTATTTTGAAGTTGCATACAGTTTTTCTTGATACAACATGAGTCCATCCCTTCCCATAAAATAGTTGTTGAACAACTAAACGTTTAAAGATCATCTATGAGAATCTGCCCCACAGCACCCAAATTCCAGACTGAACCCTGCCTGCAACTCCAAGGGGGAACCCTGTGTCTGTGGGGTGGGGCTTCCTGTTGCTCACATCTGCCCACAAGCTGTGGGATAGCTTGTGGGTAAGACTCCTTAGGGAGACCACCACAGAAGTCAAATAAAAAGTCTTTTCCTTTGGCCTGCTTTTCAAATAAGCCAACGCCTACGTTAATGCACCATTGTTTTCAATACAAAAGTCAGGCAATTCAAAGTTATAGCTACAAAAGCATTGGCAATTCAGCCACACTCCACATAAATCTACATAAAAGTGTCAACTTTTATATCTTCCTGAGCTCTAGAAAGTGCAATCTAGCTGCCAAGAGACCAAATTTACGAATCTGGGATTCCAACTAGAATTGTTCCTCCAAGCTGCATTTCTACATTCTGTAATACCTGGTTTTTAGCATTAAAAATATTTTGCACATTCACAGGCAACCACAGAGCCCAACACACAATCTGAGCTCTCTTAGAACACAAGTGAGGCTCAAAACATCATCTTTTGCGACCTGCCACCCATACCTCAATGACTCTGCACAAATTAACAATTAAGCCAGTCTGGCCAGCAGCTCCTGAGACACAGCGATTCATCAGTGATAAAGTCTAAGAAGGCTGAGGCACGGAGGCCTACCTTACTGTTCCTGGTATAAAATAATACTTGGTCTGTGAAGGAAGAATCACAGCACTCAGCCACCTTCCATGTGCCCCACTGAAGCCTCCTTAGGCTCACACTCCTTGCTCCAGGAAAGAGCCTGGGAGAGTATGGTCTCAGGAAAGACCCTGGAGCCATCTGACTTGGGTTCAAGTCCTCGCATCCTCACTAGTTTGTGGCCACACCACATTTCCCTACTAGAAAACAGAAGCAATGAAACACATCTTAGAGGGTTGCTGTGAGGTTAAAAGGCAATTGTGTGCAAAGCATACGGCTGGGCTTGCAGGAAAAATCAACAAGTACACCCCTTGGCTTTACTCAGTGTGTGATGGGCCGGGTGCAATGGCTCATGCCTATAATCCCAGCACTTTGGGAGGCCAAGGCAGTCAGATCACCTGAGGTCAGAAGTTAGAGACCAGCCTGCCCAACATGGTGAAACCATGTCTCTACTAAAAATACAAAAAGTAGCCAGGCGTGGTGGCATATGCCTGTAATCCCAGCTACTTGGATGGCTGAGGCAGGAGAATTGCTTGAACCTGGAGGTGGAGGTTGCAGTGAGCCGAGACTGTGCCACTGAACTCCAGCCTGGGCGACAGAGCAAGACTCCGTCTCAAAAAAAAAAAAAAAAAAAAGAGTGTGTGATGGCAGGGGTGAGTGAGGCTGGCTTCATTACCGTACCACTCAGAGGTGGGCTGATGTACCCATCAGCCTACTGGGGTAAGGCACAAGGGAGAGAAAGAACTGGGGTAAAAAATAGTGTTCTGCTCCTTAACAAATATTGGCTTTTCGACTAAAAAGAGATGGTGTTTATGAGGGAAAGACCAAAACACATGACCAGATGGAGAAATCCACACTAGGCTGCTCCCAGTCAGCTCTGGCTGGGAGGGCCTGCTAGGTTGCCTCCACCCCCACACTGCTGCTTGGGCAGGATTTAGTCTTGGTTTCTCGGTCCACTTTGACAGTGATGGCCCTAGATTTCAGAACAGCTCATTCAAAGCTGTCATGTATTTTGGTGGCATCACAACCTCAGGATATTTAGGTTAGCTACCAGGAATTTAATAAAACAAAACAAAACAAAAAACCCGAGGCAACATGTTTATCAAGTCAATCATCCGGCGGCCCTGTAAGCATGTCAGAAAGGTGAGCGGCCACTGCACATCACAGTTTCTAGCAACAAAGCATCACTTCACCTCCCCAAGTCTCATTGTGAGCCTCCTGCCTTCAAAACAATGAGTCTTGGAAACAGAGGAGAGTTGTTCACATGCTTTTTGATCTTTTGTAATGTGCACTTTTGTCATTTGCAACAGATCAAAAGGAAACATGTTTAGTGATGGCTTTGTCTTTTATGCCTTCCCAGGTACTTTAATTCTAAAGTGGAGGGATTCTAAAAGCATAATACAGCTCAAAGGCAGAGAAACTAGCCTTGGCATTCCTATTGTGCAGCTTAAAAGAGAAAATAACAATCCAGGCTACATCAGATGATTCTCACTGATGATGGTTCAAGCTTCCAGTCCACAGCTCTGTACACCTGCGGCGTTGGAAGAGGGAGAGACAGGCTCATGAGAAAATCTGCCAGAACCAAGACACTGACGGCCACTCTCCGCTAAGTCCTCTACACTAAGCACTGGTTCTCAAACTTGGTTACACCTTGGAATTGAACTTTAAAAGTTACTAATGCCTAGGCCCCACCTCTAGGAATTTAATGTGGGGCCAGTGTTGAAAACCACTGCAAAGAAGTTCCTCCCGAATATATCTCTCTCCCAAATACTGTGTGAAAGACAGGGTCCTGTCCTGCCTTTATGTCTTTACAGAACTTAATGAAACAGACTTCAGTAGGAGCTAAGAACATGATTTGGTTCGCATGAAATTTCTATAAGGGTACTCCGACCACTATGCTAAGAGGGATCTCTCATAAGCCTGCTCTTGATTCAAATCCTCCCTGCATGCCTCAGCCCCACCCCAACACAGATTCTCTTTAGTCCTTACATTCAATCCTCCGTTTTCACAAAACAAACATAAAAAAAAAAAAAACAGTTAGAAATAACAACTTTAAACCCACCTTCGTGGCAACAGATATATAAACTTCATTAGGCAGCTACCTGTGCTCAATGGCCAGCTGTTTAAAAATGCCAGAGTTGGCTGGGCGCGCTGGCTCACACCTGTAATCCCAGCACTTTGGGAGGCCAAGGTGGGCGGATCACGAGGTAAGGAGTTCAAGAACAGCCTGGCCAACATTGTGAAACCCTGTATCTACTAAAAATACAAAAATTAGCCAGGCATGGTGGTGGGCGCCTGTAATCCCAGCTACTCGGGAGGCTGAGGCAGGGAATTGCTTGAATCCAGGAGGCGGAGGTTGCGGTGAGCCGAGATCATGCCACTGCACCCCAGCCTGGGCGATGGAGTGAGACACTGTCTCAAAAAAAAAAAAAAAAAAAAAAAAAAAAAGCCAGAGTTTCTGACAGCTCATTTCTCTTGCTGGAAGAGAAATGATTCTTGAAAAGGAAGCTGCAGAAAACCTAATGAGAATGGCCTTCCCCTCCCACAACCCCCAACAGGGCTTCAAGGGAGGAGGAAGTAGGGAACAGGGCTAGTTTCTCACTTAGATGCTACTAAATGGTCCTTATGCAGGAGAGGGACAGAGAGTGAAGATCAGACACTCAGTACAGCCCTGACTTTGAGTCTGAATTAGCCCTTCTTGTATCTAACAAATCCCCCAGCAATTTACAAATGATAGGACACATTGGGATCCAGCTCTAGGCTTCCCAAATTGCTCTTTCCTCCATCCTCTCATCGTTTTTTCTTTGTTTTGTTTTGTTTTTTTGAGACAGTGTCTCACTCTGTCACCCAGGCTGGAGTGCAGTGGCGCGATCTCAGCTCACTGCAACCTCCGCCTCCCACGTTCAAGCGATTCTCCTGTCTCAGCCTCCAGAGTAGCTGGGATTACAGGAGCCCACCACCATGCCTGGCTAAAATTTTTTTTTTTTTTTTTTTGGTATTTTTAGTAGAGATGGGGTTTCTCCATGTTGGCCAGGCTGGTCTCAAACTCCTGACCTCAGGTGATCTGCCTGCCTCAGCCTCCCAAAGTGCTGGGATTACAGGCATGAGCCACCACACCCAGCCCATCCTCTCATCTTTATACATTCTCACATATAAAGAAGCACTCACCATGCCTGCCTCTCAGACCATTCCCGCAGTGGTCTGAGAGGCAGGGATGGTGAGCACTGCTTTATACATGAGGAAACTCACCCAAAGCTGCCCAGCTCCTGGGTGGCAGAAGCAAAACCAGTAACCAGGTCTCTGGATTTAGAGGGGCATCAAGCAGTGACATGGCACCATGGGAAGTGCAGCCCAGCTATGACTGGACTGGCTTAAACATGTATGCTCTAAGGAGGTGCCGGTAATCAAGCAACATGAGTGAACTGGAGTACTCCTAGATAAAGGAACTGCACAGTGAATATTCTTTTAGGAATGACAACAGTAATAACAACAGTAACAGCTAATGCTTACCAGGGGCTGACAAAGTACTTGGTCCAGCATTGGCAGTTTAGGGGCCTCTCATGTCCTTCTCATCACAATCCCAGGAGGTAGTTATTACCAAATGTGGGCTTGACCTCTGAATTTAAAATTGCAATTTACCCCTGGCCCTCCTGCTCTCCCCTTAACCTACTCTACCTTTTTTTCTTTCCATACCACTTATTGCCTCCTAATACACTACATTATTTTCTTATTTATTATGTTTATTGTCTGTCTTCATCCCCTCCTGAAACTGTAAATGGTAAGGTCTCCCTATGAAAGGGTTTTGTCTTTTTCTCCCCACCGATGTATTCCAAGTACTTAGGACAGTCCCTGGTACAAAGGATGCTTAATAAATGTTGAATGAGTAAGTCACCATTTTACTGATCAGAGAATTAAGATGCAAAGTAACTTGTTTAAGGTCACACAGCCACTAGGAGGCAAAATTAGAATCCAAGCATAAGTGACCCAGTACTTGTACCACTACAAATGATTTCTTGTCATCTATAGTCCCAGCCAGCAGCTCTCTCCTAGACCACATAGCCACGTCTTCCTCCTTCCTGAACTGTGATTCCTCATGACTCCCACTGCCCAGGCTTCCTCAGCCTCACTGACTGCTTCCTCTCAGCCTCTTCTCCTAATTCCTTTTTCTTCAACCATCTGTCAAATTCCATCTTTGCCAAGGTTCTGTCTCTAACCTCCTTTATCTTTCCTGTTCTCTTTTTTGCAGAATTGAGGGAACAGGTGTTAATATCAGGGTAATTAATTAATCTTGAGCCTAACATTTGTCTAAGAACTCATTTTTATGCAATATGTTCCTTTATCTTAGGACTAACTTTAGGCTGAAAATGAGCATTTAATGAAAATTGGAAATGACAAATGCTAGACACTTTTTACAGGGCGTGCATTTTATTCTTAAAGGTCTTGTTTTTCAAATCTAGGGCTAAAAGCTAAATTCTTAAATCATTTGACAGGTTCATGTTCATGTTCTAATTAAGTGCTCTTGAAGCCAACTTAGAGAGTGAGTATTGATGGCAAGGAAATCATGGTCTTTGCAGTTTTAAAGACATCTCACACTGTCTTTTTTAACCGAAAACAGCTTGATCAATAAGCTCCCCTTTGTTTTCTATTTTCTTGGCCAATATTTTTTGAGCACTATCATTTTTATGGTAACCTGAAA
The DNA here is from genome assembly GCF_000001405.40 of Homo sapiens. Lineage (NCBI taxonomy): Eukaryota > Metazoa > Chordata > Mammalia > Primates > Hominidae > Homo > Homo sapiens. The sequence goes on along the minus strand of NC_000003.12, from coordinate 45,436,962 downwards.
ACTGTTCCCTGTTACAAACTACACAAGATTCTATAAATAATCCATAATCAGACAAGAAGCAACAATTCTCTTAATTTCTTGGAAATTGCTCTTTGCCAGCTTGCAAGAATTTCATCAAGGCATTCTAACAATACAAACGGCTTTTCTTTTTTTTTTTTTTTTTGAGACGAGTCTCGCTCTGTCGCCCAGGCCGGACTGCGGACTGCAGTGGCGCAATCTCGGCTCACTGCAAGCTCCGCTTCCCGGGTTCACGCCATTCTCTTGCCTCAGCCTCCCGAGTAGCTGGGACTACAGGCGCCCGCCACCGCGCCCGGCTAATTTTTTGTATTTTTAGTAGAGACGGGGTTTCACCTTGTTAGCCAGGATGGTCTCGATCTCCTGACCTCATGATCCACCCGCCTCGGCCTCCCAAAGTGCTGGGATTACAGGCGTGAGCCACCGCGCCCGGCCACAAACGGCTTTTCTAACTAGACAGTTGGGAAGAGAAAACCCTCCATTAAACTACAGATGAGATTAATTGGTTTGAGTTGCAATTTGTTATTAGTCTAGTTGGGCAGATGCCAGTATTTCAGCTGCCCAAACTACAAATGTTCCCTGTTTTTGTTTTTTTTTTTTTGAAAGAAAGAACATTAATTTAATCTACAACATCCTTTAAAATTTCAGGATCAACAGGACAGAATCATCTGGAAGATGTTTTTGTGATGCCAGTTCTCTAGGTTTCCTGAATAATATAAGGACTATTTGTTAGACACAGGCATGGATCCAGAGGAAGAGGAAATATCAATCATCAATTCCACGGATGCAAACAGTGACAGCAGTGCCCAAAATGAGCCGTTTTGCTGCCTGCAAATTCTATAAACAATGAGTAGTAGAAACATGCCATGACCTGAAATATTTCATACGTGACACGGACAAGAAATAAAACTCTAAACTTGGAAAAATCATAGAAAATCATTTTGAGAGTCCAGTGATTTTTAAGAGAAGGGTTAGGAAAGCACAGATCAGAATCTCACCAGAGGTGAGGGATTTTTGAAACCACACATGCTGATCTTCTACTTCTGGGAAGGTGGAGTAAATATACTTTTCCTGATTCTCTCTAAATACAACTAAAAACTCTGGAATATATATATGAATGAAACATAAGACTCTAAACAGTGAAGAAGAGAAGTCAGGTTAGGGACATGAGTACCTAAGGAATGACAATGGTAAGTCCTGTTGACTTTTTAAATGCCCGGTAAGCCCCAGAATTGCAGCTAACAAAACTGGTAACCCAGAAATGCCAATGAGTACAGAGAAAAGAAAAAGAAAGAAGAGAGAGGAGAGAAAGAAAGGAAAACAGAAAAGGTAGGAAGGAAGGGAGGGAGGGAAGAGAAGGAAAAAATAAAAAAAGAAGAAAAGAAAGACTGAACTCCTCTATCTAGATAAAGTACCAGGAAAGGTTAACCTAGCCAAGATAGAAAACTTTTAGACAATAACCATTCTACTTCAGCCAATACCACAGAAAAAACTGCAGTCCCACCAGCAAAGGCTTAGCGAAGAGCCTAGACTTATACCCTTGAGGGGCAATAATAAGGCATTGAAACCTCCTTACCAGGGTGGTGTCACAGGAAGCTGAGGAGAAAGCTGGGACTTCTAGCCCTATTGGGCGTTAGTGAACAATCCATCCCCCTCTTGGTGGTATCAGTGCAGCCCACAGGACAAGTCTGGACTCCTACCCCCAACTAGCAGGAATGAGGTACACCTCCCTCTCCTTGATAAAACAGTGTCAGAGGAGGTCGAATGGAGAGGCAGGAATTCCACACTGCTCAGTGCTCTCCATGGTGTCAGCGGAGTCCCTGTGGGGATACATGCCTGTATCTAACAAACAGCCCTTATATTATTCAGGAAACCTAGAGAACTGACATCACAAAAGCATCTTTCAGATGATTCTGTCCTGTTGATCCTAACATTTTCAAAGGATGCTGCAGATAAAATTAATGTTATTTTTCTTCTAGAAAAATAGAACAATTATAGCTTGGGCAGCTGTACCCACAGGAACAGTAACAAGGTGGCTTTTCCACTCACAGTCAGGGTGATACTGGTGGAAGGCTAGTGGGGAGCTTGTACTTCCATCCTTCCAGCAGTAACAAGGAGACCCTCTCTCCCCTCAGGTATAAGTGATGAACATGTGGAGATCCCGGACTCCATATCCACCTGGAAGTAAAGAGATAGTGGCCCCTTTCACCTGCCATAGCAATATCAGAGGAGGCCTGCTAAAATATAAGGTTTAAGTAAAATTCAGTCTTAAAAGAATCCCCAAATATCTCGGTTTCAATAGAAAATCATTAGCCATACCTAAAACCAGGAAGATTTCAAACTGAATGCGAAAAGATTATCAACATACACCAACACCATGATGACCCAAATGTCAAAACTATCTGACAAGGATTTTATGCAGACAGCATAAAAATGCTTCAACAAGTAATTATGAACACACCTGAATCAAATGAGAAAATAGAAAGTCCCAGCAAAGAAAGTTATAAAGAACCACCAAATGAACATTTCAGAACTGATAAATAAAGTAACACAAATAAAAGCTCAGTAGATGGGCTCACCAGCAGAATGGAAGGGACAAAGGAATCAGTGAACTTGAAGACCAAACAACTGAATGTGCCTAATCTGAATGAACAACAGAGAGAAAACAGACTGGAAAAAAAATGAATAGAGCTTAGGGACATGTGGAACTATAACAAAAGATCTGACATGCATGTCATCAGAGTCTCCTAAGGCAAGGGTAAAAAGAATAGAGTTGAAAAACTATTCCAAAAATTAATTGCTGAAATTCTCTCAAATTTGGCAACAACAGAAACATACAGATGCAAGAAGCTAAGTGAACACCAAACAAGATAAACCCAAAGAAATCTACTCCAAAACACATCATAATCAAACTTCTGAAAATTAAAGAAAAAAATATTGAAAGCAGCCAGAGAGAAATAATGCATTACCTACAGGAAGAAAATTCAAAGACAGCAGATTTATCAGAAACCACAGAGGCCTGAAAGAAGTGGCACATTTTTCAAGTACTAAAAGAAAAGAACTGTTAACCCAAAATTCCATATCTCTTGAAAATATCCTTCAGAAACGAAGGGGAAATCAAGCATTCTTAGATAAAGAAAAACAAAGGGAATTTGTCATTAAGCAGGTCTACTCTAAAGGAATGGCTAAAGAAAGTTCTCTATGCAGAAGAAAAATAATAAAAGAAGGAATCTTAGAACATTAATAAAAAAAGAGCAATGAGAGATGCAAAAATAGGGGTAAATACGATAGACTTTCTTTCTCTTGAGTTTTCTGAATTGTATTTGATGGTTGAAGCAAAAATTATCATTGTCTATGTGGATTTCAATGTATATAGAGGAAACATTTAAAACAATTGTTACAAATGGGAAAGAGTAAGTAAAGTCATGCAAAGGGAAGTAAGGCCTCTACACTTTATTTAAACTGGTAAAATGACCATACCAGTAGATTGTGCTACATTATAACATAACACCTAAGCAACTAATAAAAAAGCTACCCAATGGGATACTAAAACACACTATAGATAAATCAAAATGGAATTCTAAAAAAGGTTCAATTTACTCATAGAAATGTAGAAAAAGAAAACAGAAACAAAAACAGGAGATACCAGAAAACAAATAAATGCTAGACTTAAGTCTTAATAGATCAATAATTATATTACATGTAAATGGTCTACACATGCCAATTAAAAGAGATTGGAAGAATGTATTTTAAAAATGACCCAACTGTTTTCAATTTACAAAAAACCCACTTCAAATATAATAAGTGGGTTGAAAGTAAAAAGATGACAAAAGACATACTATGCAAAAATTAATCAAAAGAAAAAGTGGCTATATTAATGTAAGATGAAGTAAGTTAAAAGAAGTGGCTATATTAACATATTATAAAGTACACTTAATGTACACTTCAAAGTAAAATATATTTCATATACGCTTCATAGTAAAATATCATAAAATAGACTTCAGACCAAAGAAAATTACTAGTGACAGACATTACACAATTATATAAGGGTAAATCACCAGGAAGACACAGCAATCCTAAATCTGTCGATTTTGTTGATTTTTTCAAAGAATCAACTTTCAGTTTCATTAATTTTCTCTATTCTCTGTTGTCTATTTTGCTTATCTTTACTCTAATATTTATTTCCTTCTTCTGCTGGCTTTGCATTTACTTTGTTCTTCTCTTTGTAGTTCCATAAGTGGTAAAGTTGTTTATTTGACATCTTTGTTTTTTAATGTAAACATTTATAGCTATAAATTTCCCACTTTGCTCTTTTTTGCTATATTCCATAAGACTGTATGTTGTTTTCATTTTCATTCATCTCTAGGTATTTTTTAATTTCCCTTGTGATTTTTTAATCCATTTGTTGTTTAAGAGCGTGTTGTTTAATTACACAAATATGCAAATTTTCCAATTTTCCTCCTGTTACTGATTTCTAACTTCATACCATTGTGGTCTGAGAAGATGCTTTATATATCTTTTAAAATCTATTTAGACTTAATTTGTGGCCTAATATATGGTTTATCCTGGAGAATGTCCCATGTGCACTTGCCAAAAATGTGTACTCTGTTGTCATGTAGAGTGTTCTGTGTGTCTGTTAGACCTAGTTTGTTTATTACATTTTTCAAGTCCCCTATTTCCTTACTTATTTTCTGTCTGGTTGTTCTATCCATTGAGAGTGGGGTACAAAAGTCTCCAACTATTACTGTGGAACTGTCTATTTCTCTCTTCAATTCTGTCCATTTTTGATTCAGTTATTTTGATGGACTATTATTAGGTACATAAACATTTATAATAGTTATACCTTATTGTATTAAGCCTTTTATTTATAATGCTCTTCTTTGTCTTTTGTAATCTTTTCTCATTTAAAGTCTATTTTGTCTGATCACTACAGCCACCCTTGCTCTCTTTTCATTACTATTTGCATGAAATATCTTTTTTCAGCCTTTCACTTTCAGCTTATTTGTGTCTTTGGATCTAAAATGAGTCTGTTGGAGACAGCATATAGATGGATCATGCTTTTTAATACATTTTTCCAATATCTGTCTTTTGACTGAAGATTTTGAGCCATTTATTTTTAAAGTAATTACTGATAGGGAGAGACTTCTGTCATTTTGCTATTTGTTTTTCATATGCCTTGTAGCTTTTTTGTTCCTCATTTCCTGCATTACTGTCTTTTGTATTTAACTGATTTTTTTTTTTTGGTAGTAAAATGTGATTCCCTTCTCATTTCCTTCTGTGTATATTCTATAACTATTTTCTTTGTGGTTACCATGGGGATTATATTTAACACCCAAAAGTTATAACATTCCCATTTGAATTTATACCAGCTCAACTTCAGTAACATACATGAACTGCCTCTATACAGCTCCGTCCCTAATCTTTTCAGTTATTGATGTCATATAATTACATCTTTATACACTGTGTATCAAAAAACATAAAGTAATAGTTGTTTTTTATAACGTATTCTTCTCTTAAATTATGTAGACAACAAACAGTGGAGTTTCAAACCAAAGTTGCAAGAATAGCTTTTAGGTTAATAATTTTTTTAAATGTATTAGTCTCTTAAATTATATAGAAAACAAAAAGTAGAGGTACAAGCGATTTATCTTAGTCAGCTTGGGCTGCTATAACAAAATAGTACAGACTGGGTAGCTTAAACAACAAACATTTATTTTTCACAGTTCTGAAGGTTGGGAAACCAAGACCAAGGGGCTGGCTGATTGGGTTCTTGGTGAGGACCCTCTTCCTGACTTGCCTGTCTTGACTTCTTGACTTGTCTGTCATATTGCTGTGTCCTTACATGGCAGGGAGAGATACGGACTCGGCGGGAGGGCTATCTGGTCTCTTCATATAAGGGTACTAATTTCATCATGAGGATCCCATCCTCATGTCCTCATCTAAACCTAATTATCTCCCAAGGGCTTTACTTCCTAGTGTCATCACATTGGGGATTAGAGATTCAATATATGAATTTTAGAGGGATACATTCAGTCCATAACAACCATTAAAAAATAAAAATTGGGCCGGGCGCAGTGGCTCAAGCCTATAATCCCAGCACTTTGGGAGGCCGAGATGGGCGGATCATGAGGTCAGGGGATCGAGACCATCCTGGCTAACACGGTGAAACCCCGTCTCTACTAAAGATACAAAAAAATTAGTCCGGCGTGGTGGCGGGCGCCTGTAGTCCCAGCTACTCGGGAGGCTGAGGCAGGAGAATGACGTGAACTCGGGAGGCGAAGCTCGCAGTGAGCTGAGATCGCGCCACGGCACTCCAGCCTGGGCCACAGGGCGAGACTCTGACTCAAAAAAAAAAAAAAAAAAAGATTGGCCGGGCGCAGTGGCTCACGCCTATAATCCTAGCACTTTGGGAGGCCGAGGCGGGCAGATCACGAGGTCAGGAGATCAAAACCATCCTGGCTAACACGGTGAAACCCCGTCTCTACTAAAAATACAAAAAAATTTAGCGGGGCATGGTGGCAGGCGCCTGTAGTCCCAGCTACTCAGGAGGCTGAGGCAGGAGAATGGCGTGAACCTGGGAGGCTGAGCTTGCAGTGAGCCGTGATCACGCCACAGTACTCCAGCCTGGGCGACAGAGCCAGACTCTGTCTCAAAAAAATTAAAAAAAAAAAAAAATGGCCGGGTGCGGTGGCTCACGCCTGTAATCCTAGAACTTTGGGAGGCCAAGGCGGGCGGATCACAAAGTCAGAGATTGAAACCATCCTGGCTAACACAGTGAAACCCCATCTCTACTAAAAATACAAAAAAAATTGGCCAGGCGTGGTGGCAGGCACCTGTAGTCCCAGGAGGCCAAGCTTGCAGGGAGCCGAGATCGCGCCACTACACTCCAGCCTGGGCGACAGAGCAAGACTCTGTCTCAAAAAAAAAAAAAAAAAAAAAAAAAAGAGGCTGGGCATGGTGGCTCATGCCTGTAAGTCCAGCACTTTGGGAGCCTGAGGCAGGTGGATCACTTGACCTCACTAGTTCAAGACCAGCCTGGAAAACATGGCAAAACCCCATCTCCAAAAAAAATACAAAAATCAGCTGGGTGTGGTGGCAGGTGCCTGTAGTCCCAGCTACTTGGGAGGCTGAGGTGGGAGAATCACTTAAGCCCAGGAAGCAGCAGTTGTAGTTAGCTGAGATCGCAACACTGCACTCCAGCCTGGGCGACAGAGCAAAACCCTATCTCAAAAAAAAAAAAAAAAAAAAAGCAGAAGGATGTGGTAGGCTGAATTACCACCTCAAAGATGTCCATGCCCTAATCCCTTGAACCTGTGAATATGTTAGTTAAATGGCAAAAGGAATTTTGCAGATGTAATTAAAATAAGAAGGGTATCCTAAATTATCCAGGTGGCCCAATGTAATCAAATGGGTATGCAAAAGCAGAAATCTTCCTCTGGCTGGAATGGGAGAGATCTGAAGCATGAGAGGGAATGCATTGCTGGAGGGGGCCATGTGGAAGGCTTGAGAAGAAATGCAAGCAGCCTCTAGAAGCAAAGACCAATCCCTGGCTGATGACCAGTATGGAAACAGGGACCTGTCCTACAGTTGCCAAGGAAGTGAATTCAACCAACAACCTAAATGATCTCAGAAGTGGATTTTTCCCCAGAGGACCCAGTAAGGAACACAGCTCTACCAACACCTTGATTTTGGCCTTGTAAGACGCTCGCAGAGGACCCTATCAAGCTCACCCAAACTTCTGACCTACAGAAACTGTCAGATAATATGCTGATGTTGTTTTAAGATGCTAAGTTTGTGATAATTTGTTATGGTAGCAGCAGAAAACTAATGCAGGGGACTTATCTAGAGTAAAAACAACTATAAAAGACATTCTTGGGGCAAGTGGGAAATTCCCATATAAACTGGATTATAAATAACATTATGGAATTACTGTTAATTTTCTTAGTTTTCAAAATGGTATTATGGCTGTGTCAGAAAACCTCCTACTTACTCAGATAGGAATGCTGAAGTACTTTGGGGTCAAGAGCCATGATGTCTGCAATACATACTCAAATAATTCAGGGGGAGAAATATATATATATAATATGTATAAATAAAAAGAGATAAAGCGAATACAGCAATAATTATTGAATCTAGGTGAAAGGTATATGAATGTTTATTGTACTATTCTTTCAACCTTTCTAAGTGTTTGAAAATTTGTATTGTTATAATAAAAAATAGAGGGGAAAAAGTGTTGAGTTAAAGCTAGACACCAAAGAACACATACTATGTTATTCCATTGATACAACTTTAAAAACTGTATGTAGGTAAGGAGTTCATCTGGAGATGAAGAGTGATAATGGTTGCACCACAATATGAATGTACTTAATAGCAATGAACTGGCACTTAAAAATGGTTAAGATAGGCTGGGCGCGGTGGCTCACGCCTGTAATCCCAGCACTTTGGGAGGCTGAGGCGGGTGGATCACGAGGTCAGGAGATTGAGACCATCCTGGCTAACACGGTGAAACCCTGTCTCTACTAAAAATATAAAAAAAATTATCCGGGTGTGGTGGCAGGCATCTGTAGTCCCAGCTACTCGGGCGGCTGAGGCAGGAGAATGGCGTGAGCCTAGGAGGTGGAGCTTGCAGTGAGCCAAGATCGCGCCACTGCACTCCAGCCTGGGTGATAGAGCAAGAATCCATCTCAAAAAAAAAAAAAAAAAAAAAACAGGTTAAGATAGTACATTTTTGTTATGTGAACATTACCATAATTTAAAAATCCTAGAAAAAGAACCAAAAAACCCAAACACATATGTAGTGGTAAAAGTACATTGAAAACAAGGCAGTGGCCAGGCGTGGTGGCTCACGCCTGTAATCCCAGCAATTTGGGAGGCCGAGGCGGGTGGATCACTTGAGGTCAGGAGTTTGAGACCAGCCTGGCCAACATGGTGAAACCCCATCTGTACTAAAAATACAAAATTAGCTGGGTGTGGTGGTACACACCTGTAATCCCAGCTACTTGGGAGGCTGAGGCAGGAGAATTGCTTCAATGAGGGAGGCAGAGGTTGCAGTGAGCCAAGATCGTGCCATTGTACTCCAGCCTGAGCAAGAAGAGCAAAACTCCGCCTCAAAAAAAAAAAAAGAAAAAAAAGGAAAACAAGGCAGTAATGATCATCAATGTCAGAACAGTGGTTACCTATAGAGAGGAGAGACAGAGTTGTGACTGGAGGAGGACACATGTTGAGCCAAGCCTCTGGGTGCAGGAGATGTTTTATTTCTCAATCTAGGTAGTAGCTATACATTACTATAATGTATTAAGTTATACATACACGTTTTATGCTCTAGTCTATATATGTCTAGTATTTCACAGTAAAAGGAAGTTATTAAAAGTAAGTCTTGTATTTGCAAAACATTACCTAGTTTTTCCAAAAGTTGTTTTTATTATTCATTCATGTTCTACCTTATGTCAGAAAGAATTGATGATGGGCCTGTATTTTGATTCCTACCTAATAAGGTTTGGAAGCATGATCATTCCTAAGATTCCTTTTTCTGAATAGAAAAACAAAATCACAGACCTACACATTCAGAAACTGAGGATGGGGCCAGAGATCTGTGCTTTAACAAGCCCTCTTGGTGATTCTGATGCTTGCCAAAGTTTGAGAACCACTGCTGTAAGTATATGTAAAAATAATCCTTGTTATTTTCATGGAATAACAATCTCATCTTCAAGACCTTTTAAATACTACTCCTGATGCCCATCGTATCCGTATAACTGTAGTCTCCCATTCTATCAAATGTTGTACCTGGCTGATGTAGAAGACTGATCTGGAGGCCTGATTCAGTCAGGAAGAGAGAGATTTTGTACCCTTATTTTCTAAGGCATTTAAAGAGTAACCTAATCTTATGACAAGAAGCATTCCCTTGGCAAGAAGCTGAGGCTCCGAGGGGCGACAGACCATGCCCACCAAGTGTTAATAGCCAGATCCATCACCAAAACTGAGGTCTCCAAGACGAACCAAGATCCTGTCTCCTGAAAGCACTCAACAAGCATTACATCAGGAAATTCTATTCTATTAGCCAGAGTGTACATCCTTGATGGGGATGACCTGACTGGGCTCATGACTACCAGCTGGAACTGCGGACAAAACAAATAACTTCCTTGAAGAGCTACATTTGCTGGGCAGCCCCAGGAGACATCCCTCTTTAGTTAAGGCTGAAGACTGCGAGAATACTGTCCTGGCTGAAGCGATGAAAAACACACCTCATATGTTTTTGACCGGCAAGCACAGAGTGGGCACAGCTCCTCATGAGGTCAACTGCAAGTGTACCGTCTATTAATGAGATGTGGTCCCTGGCCTCAAGGTGACAGACTACACTACCCCTTATGTGTCAACACCAACCATCCTAAAAATAAGTAAGCTGCCAAATCATTTCAGCTAAAACAAAGGTACTGCCTTTCCCCTCCTAACTAAAGAAAAAACCTTCAGGAAAAGGTTAATTTCTGACTCTGAGGGAGAACAAGTAATCCAGAGCCGGAGATCTGCTAGACAAAGTGCCCCACCTCTGTGAGCACTTGAAAGAGGACTGGGCGGGTCAAACACTTCAGGTGCCTGTGACATGTTGTCAAGGCAACCACTGCTAGCTCTTGCAAAGGGAATCTTCCCCACTGAGTTTTCATGCATTCTCTTGCCCTTAAGTTCTTTTTGTTTTAAGCTATTCTTTAAATTCTTTTAAGATAAAAAACAATAATGTCTTTCTATTATTCCGGAGGCTTCGTTATTAGTTCAAGCCTCCTATCAGAGGTCCGGTTCTCTATGAAAATAAGGTGTCAAGGTAGTACGGGCTTTGAAGTAATATTAATTTTCACTTTGTAATCATACAAATCGTGCTGTCTTTTAAAATAAATTGAGGCAGAAATGATTCAGAGTCTATATGTTTTGGATGGAAAGAGAGCACTGCTCCTAAACTACTGTAACAACATGACAGTGGGAAGAGAAGGCTAAGAGAAGTGCAGCCAATCAAACCCACAATATTAAAAAAAAAAAGAAAAGAAAAGAAAAGAAAAAAAAAAAGGCTTATAAGAAAACCAGAGAAATTTGCAAACTGAGATTCCGTGATGCTAAGGCATTGTCATCAAGCGTTTTAGGTGTGATGATGGAATTGTGATTACACGAAAGCAAGCAAGCAAGACAGACAAGAGACTTCATCTTAAAAGCTACATACTGCTATATATTGTCTATTCAGCAATAACAGATTCTTTACAGATGAAAATTACATGATGGAGAGAAAGACAAATAGAAGCAAAGATATATGTGCTGATGGTGGGGAACACCATGAACACCTCAATGTTCACCCTACTTTATACAGGCTATGAGGCACTGATGGACAAAACTTGGAAGGGCCTGAAGTCACCAAAAGCCTGTCCCAGTAAAAATTCTGATAGAGCATGGCTCTGATGTGGCTGTGCTGCTGACCACTTCCATTCACAAACAAACTCTTCCGCAGCTCTGCAGATAACCACACTCTAAATCTCTCTTAGCCCACATGGCTTGCAGGGACGAGTGTGAGGTCACGTTCTGAGTTTGTTTCAGTGAACAACAGCCTTACAGGGCAGCTTCTACTCCACTCCCTCTGGCTGATAAAGCTCCAAATTGATACACTAGTCCCCCTCAATCAGGAAATGAGGGAGAATCTACAGGTGCCTAAGAAAAGATTCCAAAACAGACAAGAACACAGCATCCGAAAGTTGTAAAAAACATTTATTACAGGAAACAAAAATAAATCTTCAAGGGCATCTCCTAGTATTTAGAAAAATTTCTGAACATATAAGATCTATGAAGATAAATAAGATAGAAAAACAAGAAGGAAAATAGAGCATCTGGCCAAAAGGATTCAGAAAAAAAATGGGAACTGAATGAGATAAGGAAAAATAATAATAAATCTAAAAATACAAAACTAATATCTGTACTAGAAACCATACAAGACCACATTGATTGTACAGAAATAGAATCAGTGGTATAAAAAGCAAACATGAAAAAGTTCTTCCAGAAGGTAGAGAATAAAAAGGAGACCAAAATCATGAGAGAGATGGTGATGACAATGGAAGACAATGAAATGAGTATACGGACAGTGTTCTTGAGAAAGGGCTCCTATGAAACTGTCACAATGAAAGACCTACAACTGTTAATCAAAAGTGGTCACTGAGCACCAGGCAAAATTAAAGCAAACAAATTGACACTGAGATACACTCTGACGAAAAATGGAAAATGGCAAGGGCAAAGAAGAAAAGAATAAAAAAACAAGCATCAAAATACAGATGGAAGGATTACTATATGTACAGAGACAATTCTGGCTGCTCTCAGACTTCTCCATCAAAATACAACGGATCAGGTGGTGGTGGTTACACAAATCTACACATGTAATTAAATCATATAGAACTACTACTACTGATGCTGCTGCTACACTACTACTACTACTGATAGTCCGTGATGTACAATGGTTAGACCTATATTTTGACTTTACAATAGTGTGGAAGTGATACACATTCAATAGAACACCAATAAATTACATAAGATATTCAACATTCAATATTCACTATTATTACAGAATAGGTTTTGTGTTAGATGATTTTGCCCAACTGTAGGCCAATATAGGTGTTCTGAGCCTATTTAAGGTAGGCTAAAGTATTATGTTCATTAGGTTATGTGTATTAAATGTATTTTCGACTCTATGATATTTTCAACTTAACAATGCGTTTATTGTGATGTAACCTCACTGTAAGTTAAGGAGAACCTATACTACTATACACACACAAATAGACACAAATGATTACATCTAAAAACTGGTGAAATCTGAATAAGACTTGCACTCTACTTATTAATAATAGTATTGTACCGAAGGCAGCTTCCTGGTTTGATATTATATTACATTATGAAAATGTTATCATTGGGCAAAGCTGGGTAAAGACCACACAGGATCTCTCTGTACTATCCTGGCAACTTCCTGCAAGCCTATAAGTATTTTTAAAAAAGACAATAGATCAAGGTCTACTACAGAGATAAGAAAGAAAAAAGATAATGAATGAAAGATTCTATATCCCAGTAAGTTGCTGTTTGTAGGTGAAAGCAGCTGTCATTCTTAGTTATGAAAGTAACCTGTGACACCTGGGCGAAGATCACACCAAACCAAGAGTTAAAACAAAGTTTTAAAAATGTTCAGAAATGAAAAAATTTTAAATGAACGGTTGTCCTTTAAAAGGTCTTCTTATAAGCTGTGAAATTAAAGAGCATTAAAATTTAAATAATTGCTATGAATATGATTGTAAAACTGGAAGTGAATATCAAATATAATGGTTAAGAAATGATACATGATTAGAAAAATTGCAATATAACAGTAAACCGGCCAGGCACAGTGGATCACTTGAGGCCAGGAATTTGAGACCAGTCTGGACAACATGGGCAGAACCCCGTCTCTTCAACAATACAAAAAGAAGCCGGGTGTAGTGGTGCGTGCCTGTAATCCCAGCTACTGAGGAGGCCGAGGCACAAGAATCGCTTGAACCTGGGAGGCAGAGGTTACAATGAGCTGAGATCGCACCACTGCACTCCAGCCTGGGTGACAGAGTAAGACCCTGTCTAAAAAACAAAAACAAAAACAATGAAACAGTAAATTAGGACTAACATCTCAGGATATACCCCCATAAAAACCAACAACAAAAAACCCCTGGAAAATAGATTTAGAAAATGGGAAATGTTAATTACCTGCTACTTTTCTTATCATACATGAGGATCAAGAGAAATACACTATTTTTTATGTTGATACAAATTATTTTTAAAAAACACTCTTAAAGCTATCTTTTAGCAGATTGAACAATGGAATTGATACTTTTCAAGTCTCTATAGATAAAAGAAAACAGAATCCAAAGGCAAGACATCATTAAAAATAGAAGTCTAAAGCTATGTTTTAAAAAGTTTAATTAGAAAATAAGTACGAGTTATGAAAATAAATACGAGTTATGCAAATAAATACAAATAGCTTTTCACTTTCCTATTAAACACAAAGACTCCAAATTGCCCCAAAGGTTTCCCCCATATATTTGCCCACCTTTTAATTTTTTCAATTAATTGTATCTATAAATGATGTACCAATAGAAGTCAACAAATAAAGGCTAAAAGTTTATTTTTTTAATAAACAACAGAAGGTGGAGATGGCATTGCTAATATCAGACAATGAGAGAAAACTTCTGTTGCCAAGTATTAAAAGCAATTGTAATTAAAAATAGTTTAGTCATGAAATAATAAATGGATCAAATGAACACAAACAGAACTTGGTGTATAATGATAGGACGAAATAACTTGGTCTATTATAAAGTTTGCCTTTTAAATCAACAAAGAGAAGGGATTGTTTGAAAATTTTTTTTAATCAACTGGTGATTTAGAAAAAGTAGTAATTCCTTGTCTTATCTCATATACTAAAATAATTCCAGTGAAGTGTAAAACTTAAATCACAAAGAATCAAGAAGAAAATATGTTATTTATCCTATCTCAAAGGTCTAAGTACATATCTGTATGCTAATAATATTCAACTATAAACAAAATGCAAGGCAAATGACAGACTGAGGAAAATTATTTGTAACAAAAACCATTAAAAAAAGGACAAACACCTCCTATCTATATGGGAAAACACATGATTAGACCATTCACATACATACCCTGTTCAAATTCAAACATTCATTAAACACATGAAAAAACCTCACAATCACTAATAATAAAGGAAATACAAATGAAAATAACTGTATAACTTGAGAAAGGAAATTTGTATAGCCTTTATGGAGGGTAATTTGGCAATAAATACCAAAATTTGTTCTTGATTTTTTGAGAATTCATTTTAAGGAAATAATAAAATATGTGTATAGATGGTTCCCAACTTATGACGGCTTGCCTTAACAATTTTTCGACTTTACAGTGGTACAATGATGTGAAAGAGATATGCATTCAGTAGAAAGCAGTATGATACTCTTGAGATGCTGGGCAGCAAAACTGAGCCTCGGCTCCCAGTTAGCCACACAGTCATGAGGGTAAACAACCGATACTCTGCAAGAGACTGTGTTGTCAGATGATTTTGCCCAACTGTACGTTAATGTAAGTGTCCTGAGCACATTTAAGGTAGTTTAGGTGAAGCTATGATGGTTAGATGTATTATATGCCTACAATATTTTCAATTTAGGACAGTCTTATTCAATTTAGGATAACCCCCTTGTAAGTCCAGGATCATCTGCACTGAGATTTCTGCCTTAAGTTTGGGGGAGGAGCACGGCAGTCATAACTTGACCAATGGATCAGCCCAGCCTTGCCACTTGGGTGACCAGCAATAAAATGACGTCAATAAAAGTACCTGCCTTTTAGAGCTCTCTAGGGATCCAAAGAGATAATAAGGTCATACCTACTCTGTACCTGGCCCATGGTAAGTGTTCAGTAATAGACAATGGTAGTAGAAGTGGTGATATTTATCTACATCATTGAATTAGAGGTTCAAAATCCCTTATCTGAAATGCTGTCAGCCAAATGTGCCTCAGAATTAAGATTTTTTTGAAATTAAAAGAAAATAGTGCATTTATCTAACTAGGTCTGGGATATTACTTGGTAATTTTACTATTCTTACAGTAAAATATATGAATACTCATTTTTAGTGAGATAAATATCAGTTCAATTCAGGTTTTACAGTGAAATAAATTATGAAAAAACTTTCAGTTTTCAGAGCTTTCTGGACTTCGGATTTGAACAAGAAGGATTGAGAATCTGCATTTATAATAGAGAAACATTAGAATCTATCTAAATGTATAATAAGAGATAGCTTAAATACATTATAATACATTCATAAAACAAAAAACTGCTCAGCTATAAAAGTCACTTTTTCAAATAGTTAATGAGATATAAAAATATTCAAGACAAAAAATATATGCATATTGATTTGAACTTTGTAAATTATATAAATGTTTATAATTCCAAAATAAAAGACTGCAAGGAACCATACCAAAATATTAAATTAGCCACATTATGCTCTTTATACTTTTCTGTATGTTCTAATCCTCTGTGATGATTAGGAAAACAATCTAACAACTTTTAAGTCATTTATCGTTGATATTCCTGTGCAGGACTAGGCTAGTTATCACTCTAAAGGGTTATTAAGTCCATTTTTGCCCTCAAGGAGTCAACACTCTCATCCTGAAAGAGCTCTGGCCAATACTCAGTTCTCTCTGCCTGTGACCGTATTTCATTCTCTATGAGCGATTCCCTATTGGCACCTCAGGACAACTTGACTCTGGTGTGAGGAAATAATAATTCAGGGCTTATTCAAATGTGTTTGACTTTTGTTCTTTTTCACTGTACTCATCAAATTTCAATCATTTAAGAAATTGTTGGGGGGAGGGATGAGGAGCCCTCATTTGCATTTGTTCCAGTGCTTCTAGTAAAGAAAACAATATAAACTTGACAGGCCCAGCAATGAAAACCCCAATCGTTTTGTGGAGTAAATGGGATGTTAAGAGGGACTGTGGCATTGGAAGGGGCCCTTCGTGGAGGAGACAAGCAACAGTCCATCTTACCTAACAGACTATTCTTCAAAGTCTAAAGGGTGGGCCTTGGGCCACAGCTTTGAAGGGCCCAGTTCACAATTTGTTTGCAACACGAGTGTTCCAAACAGCCAGGTGGCTTTCCATGAACTCCTCGTGGGTCTGGAATTCTCCACTGATTCTCCACTGATTTAATGTACAGTTTGAAAGTGTCTAACACCAAAAGATTATATGTGACAGAATAATTATGGGCTGTTATGAGCCTCACTTCTGAACTTAAAACAAAAGGTAAATAAATGGTCAATCAATGTCTAATTACTTCAAGGACCAGATGGATTGATATTTAATCACTTTAATATAGATTCCAACAGTCTTTTAAAACTATTGCTGAGAACTAGAGAAATCCTTGTGCAAAGCTTTTGCCACACAGAAATCATAGCCAACTCCAAAGTTAAATAGGAAGTTAACTCTCAGTTTAATCCCACAGAAAATTACTTGTTTCCAAGCAAATTATCCACTCAGGATACTTTTTGAAGAGTGCTAATCCTTCCCTCCTGCTTCCTGCCTCCCACCCTTGCCTTCTCCCAACTCAAAGAGGAAGAAGAGTGCTCCCTGCCATCAAGTCCTTCCTTAAAATGACGACCTTTCAGGAAAAAGAGTTGACTTACCCTATCCCAGCTGAAACACAGGCCCAGACGATCAAGCTGTTTCCTCATGTGTTTAATATTACTGTGAAACAATGGGAAAAAGGTTTGGTTTTTAGAGAGGGGATTAAAGCCATACACAACTACACTTTGAGAATGTAAAGGGAAACTGAAAAAGTCTAAATTATTCAAATGGGTTTTAAGTGTTGCTTTGCCCTAGCAGAAAAATCAACCACTAAGAATCAGCAAAAAATACCAACAGATTAGAAGACACCCATTATTTGGACATATACAGAATCCACTAGAAACCACAATGGTCTTTGGCCTTGAGAACTGCCCCTTCCCCTGGCCATTCAAATAGGCAACCCCTTTGAGATGTGCACTGCTGGCCCGTCCAGACGTCAATATTCTGCAAGCATTTAAGCCATATTATTTAAGCCAAGCATTTATAAGCTTAAAAGTGGCTGAAAACAAAAGCCTTAATATATAAATTGTGGGAATCCAAAAGAAACCACACACTGCTTTGTTAATGAAAATGTAAATCCTAAAACCTAAAACTATCCACCATTGAGAAACAGGGAGATAAACAGGTAAACCAACTTATAATATAACATGGAATAAAGAAATAAACCTTTTTCTCTTTCATTTTTTTAAAGAAAAAGGACTAATTCATTTCTACTGCATCCTCTTTTAGATTCTAGCAGACTAAAAATATGAAAAACCATGAAAAAATCTTCTGTATAATCTCTGATTAGCTAATGGCAGCTTATTTAATGCAAGACCCTATGCTAAGCACTTTGCAGAGAAGTGCTTAGTCTTTATCCAATCACATGAGATAGGAACTATGACTATCCCTCTTTTACAGATAAATAAACTGAAGCACAAATAAGTAAAGAGAAGTTAAGTAATTTGCTCAAGGTGATCTGCTGGCAAGAAGGGAAGGCAGGATTTGCACCTAGGTAGCCTGGCTCAGGGGCCATCATCTTAACTGCTATTCACCAGTAGAGAGGCTGGCAAACCTAAAAGGGCCAGATGATGAATGCTTTCAGCTTTGTGAGCCAATCAGTCTCTATTACAACTACTCAGCTCTGCCACTGTCTCACGGAAGCAGACACGGACAATATGTAAACAAATGGATTTGACTGTGTTCCAATAAAACTTGATTTACAGAAACAGGTAGGGCCAGATTTAGCCCACAGGCCGTAGTTTGCCAACTCCTGGTCTACCTTATATCAAACATAAGCCATGTTTGATCCACTTTATTTGAATCATCATTTCCTCCTCTTTTTATCACTAGATAAAATCTAGTGATAAAATTAATTAATCTAGAATTAAACATTACTAGAAAAGTAGAAGCTAGGGGTTAGGAAGAAAAAAGAGACCTGGATGCCATAGTATGGACAGAAGCACAGTAGATGCTTTTACAATGTATCCTTGGGTAAGCTAGAACAAAGACAGGTAAGAGACACTGGGCACAGGCCCTGGAACTGCCCTTCTGTCTCTCTAAGGGGTGGCATGGGGAAGCGTCCCAGGCCTTTGTGAAATGAGCTGATGCAGTGGCCCCAGAGGATTCTGCCAAGTTCTAGGGTGAGGCCCTCAGGACTTTAGCAGGAGGGAGAGGAATGAGCACCGCTGGCCCACGTGTAGTAGAAGCCTGAGGCTTGGGTGGGATTGCGAGTGTGTTCCGCCTTGGAGAAAACCACACCCAGAATAAAGTGGCCATATATTTCTACATGGAATGCCTAAGTTCCTCTTGCTTCTGAATGGTGAAGGCAAAAAATAAACTGAATTTTCAGAGAAAATTATAATGTAGTATTCGGATATAGTAAAACTATGGTCAAGAAGACCAGAAGCATTATAGAAATTTAACAAATGCGACCCTCTTCTTTTTCCTAACCCTCTTCTTTTTCCTACCGAATGTAAATACTCGAAGGAAAAATAACTGTAAATAACAAAGCATCAAAATGAACACATGAACAAATATCCAAAACCCTCTCTGAATATTTCTTAGATAAGAATACAATATGTTAAAAGACAAACACCAATATACACAATCATATTTATCTCTTGGTACGCTGCAGTGTTTTGTTTGCTTTGCTTTCTATTTTTTAAGCACAGGTTAAAAAAATTTTTTAAAGGTTTTTGTATGCAAGTATTTGAATATGCCTGTAAACACTTACCTTTGTGTCCAACTTTGTGGATGTAGATTCCTCTCGACTGCGGCATTTTCAGCAGGCAATCCAAAAGCATCCCATCCCATGGGGTTGATGACCTAGGACCCAGAAGAGGAACATCAACCATGGCAAATCATTAATAACTCCATTGGTATTGTCTTCTGGGGCAAACTCAGCACTCTCTCCTGCTAACATGCCTTATCTTTTGCTGGATGTTTTCAGGTTATGCATCTGACAGCCAGCTGGCTACCTATGACGTAACCATAGAACACAACTTAGAAGGTTATATGCCAAAGCACCAATAAGTTACCTCTGAGGAGGTGTTTTCATGAGTACTTTTTATTTTCTTCTTTTCTATAGTCTCTATATTGAACCCAAATTGTTTTTCTGAAATTATAAAGAGTTTCTTTCAGTTTCACATATATATATACACACACACACACATAATGTATAGGCTTTCCAAATGCTCATGTCATGTCAGTTTTTTTTTTTGTTTTTTTTTTTTTGAGACAGAGTCTTGCACTTTCACCCAGGCTGGAGTGCAGTGGCGTGATCTCGGCTTACTGCAACCTCCACCTCCCAGGTTCAAGCGATTCTCCTGCATCAGCCTCCCGAGTAGCTGGGACTACAGGCACACGCCACCACACCCAGCTAATTTTTTTTATTTTTAGTAGAGACAGGGTTTCACCATGTCAGCCAGGATGGTCTCGATCTCCTGACCTCGTGATCCGCCCGCATCGGCCTCCTAAAGTGCTGGGATTACAGGCGTGAGCCACTGTGCCCGGCCAGTATTTTTCATTTATGGAGCTGTGCTGTCCAATATGGTAGCCAGTAGCCACACATAGCTATTACATTTAAACTTAATTAAAAGTAAATAAAATAAAAAATGCAGTTCTTCAGTCTCACTAGCCACCCTTCAAGTGTGCAGCAGACACACGTGACTGGTGGACACTGAACCAGACAGTGCAGATATTGGATATTCAAATCATGGCAGAAAGCCGCACTGGACAGTGCTGCAGAACACATGCATAATGACCACACTGGTGGCTCTAGGCAGTCCCAGCTCTACCCAGACCTAAGAAAGTTCATCCCAACCCTACTCAGTGGCCCGGACCTGTCCCTTTCTCACGGCTTGCCTGAATCCGGCACACAGTCCCTCTTAAATGTACATCATTCAGCACCCTGCTCCAGGTTGCTCCAGAATCAAGAGTTTCACACTTCTTTCTTCTATCTCTCTCTCTCTCCCCTGATTGAGGCAATACTCTCCTGAAAGGCCCACTCCCCATTTCTTCCTGAAGTTCATCCCTTTCTTTTTTTTTTTTTCCAAGACAATGTCTCACTCTGTTGCCCAGATTGGAGTGTCTCCTGGGTTCAAGCAATTCTCCTGCCTCAGCCTCCCGAGTAGCTGGGATTACAGGCGTGCACCACCATGCCCAACTACTGAAGTACTGAAGTACTGAAGTTCATCCCTTTCTTCCCTACCAGTAAGGGAGGGAAACCCCCACCTCTACCCAAACAGCCAGATAGATGAAAACTAAGAAAAATACACAGGAACACAGCAGAAAAGGTATTCCAGAGAGTAACTTTTGAGACTGGATAAAAGTAAGGCTTTGGACTAAGCCCTATACATCATTTACACTAATTTCTAAAATAGCCTCTCTCTCTCTCTCTCTCTCTCTCTCTCTCCCTCTCTCTCTCTCTCTATATATATATATATATTTTTTTTTTTTTTGAGATGGAGTCTTGCTCTGTTGCCCAGGCTGGAGTGCAATGGTGCAATCTCGGCTCACTGTAACCTCCACCTCCCAGGTTCAAGTGATCCTCCTGCCTGAGCCTCCCCAGTAGCTGGGATTACAGGCACATACCCCCACACCCGGCTAATTTTTGTATTTTTAGTAGAGATGGGGTTTTGCTATGTTGGCCAGGCTGGTCTTGAACTCCTGGCCTCAAGTGATCTGCCTGCCTCGGCCTCCCAAAGTGCTGGGATTACAGGAGTGAGCCACTGAGCCTGGCCTAAAATAGCCAATATTTTTAAATTAATTGCAAACCACTAGCTATGCTTTTGGTATAAGAAAGGTTCCATGTGTAGGTTCCTTTTCTCCTCAGTTTCATCGTCTGTAAAATGGGGATGATAGCATAACTACCTCATTGGATCACTGTGAAGATTAAGTGAGTTAAGAAAAGTGCTGAGAATAGTGCCTGCCACACAGTAAAGTGCTGTATATAATGTTGGCCACTAGTATTATTATTTCTAAAGAGTACTGCTCTCTAATCACCTTCTAGAAGATATTTTCATTCTCCAAAGAACAAGGAATCACAAATCTTCAAGCACAAAGAAGGTTTTGAGATATATCCTCTACCCCCCAACCCCTTATTTGACTGTTCAAGCAACTGTGGCCCAGCAGGAGTGAGGAGTCTAGAAGCAATTACCTTAAGCAAGCCCAGGCCAGTAAGGCATTCTTGTCTGCAAATGAGTGGCCAGTCACAGCTGAGCTGGCAGCTTCACTATCAAGCTCTCTCAAACTACATGCCATGAGCAGGAAAAATGGTTTGACACATCTGCTGTGGCATCAGGGGACAGTCTCAGGAAGCCAGGCTCCCTGCCCCTGTCAGGAAAGACACACTGCTTACAAAATTCAGTCCCCTACCATTCTCTGAAACTGAATCCAGCCACAAAACCACAGACGCCACTTCTTTCTGAAGCCTGCCTGTGGGGAAGGACTGACCAAGAAGACTCTGATATTTCTGTTATAGAAAACAGCCCATTCCAGTTGACCCTCTTATTTCCTATCAAGTTCATGGGCTGTCAACCTGGGGTAAGTTTTATTTTGCTGCCTTTTTTTTTTTTAAGAGACAGGGTCTTGTTTGGTTGCCGAGGCTGAAGTGCAGTGGCGCCACGATCAGTTCACCGTAATCTCGAACTCCTGGCTGCCAGCTATCCTTCTCCCTCCCAAAGTGCCAGGATTACAGGCATGAGCCACTGCCCCCAGCCCCTTACTTTGCTTTTTGATCATGCAGAGAAGCTAGGCTTATGTTCACACACATTTCCTTAAAATAATGACGAATACTGAGAGGCACTTACTGGCACCACCTCACCACACACGCATATCAGAATGGGACATTTTCAACTAAAGAAATAGGTCTTGTTTTCTTCCATAATTACATATTCACCATAATTTGGTAAGTAGAGAAAAATAGAAGAAAATAAGACTCACCTGTTATTCTACCATACAGCCATACGTACCAGTTACATGTGGTAAATTTGTATCTAATGTTTAAAAATTGAGAATATATTATTTATATATGTATTTTTTATCTCTGGTTTTTCACTGTACCTGCTGTCAATGCAGCCTGTTAGTGACTGCTTTGAATGACCAGCTATATTTGTTTTCCTAAAAGTTATTTCCATTTTTCAGCATTATAAAAAAGGCCAGGATGAACATTCTTGGGCATAAATCTTTGTATATACTCTTAACATTTCCTTTAGAAAAATTTCTAGAAGTGCAACTACAGGGTAAAAGGGTATGAAAAATTTTAAGACGTTTGACATATACAGCCAAATGGCATCCCCAGAAAGACTGCAGCGAACCACACTTCCACCTGCACATGAGCACCTGGAGTTTTCCTCCATCTTTATGTCCAGCACAAGCACACTTGTACTACCCACTGGCCACCTATGCCTCAGGTCCCATAAGCACTTACACTTCAAAGTGTCCCAACCTAGGTGCATCTTGCAATCCCAGTCGCCAGATCTGTTCTCTCCTAAGCCCCTGTCTTAGCAGGCAGCAGTAAGAGAACAGGCATACCCCTTCCAGTGGTTGGAGTCACTTACCTTAAAGGCATACTTCCACTATGCACATTAATATTTTTTAAGTTGATTTTTAGTAGTCCGATGAAACAATTCCATCTAAAGAACTGAGACCATCTCTCTAAAATAGAGCTGCTCTTACTCCTTTGGCTAGTGCACAGGAAATGCTAACCAAGGCTTGTTCTCCAGGAGCCTGTTGAGGGCAAAGGTCCTAAATCTAACTCTGCCTGTTTACTATCAGTGGAGCCTGAGGCACATTACTTACTAATTCTGAGTCTCAACTATAAATGGTAACTGAAAGCAGCTACCTTGAATTATTGAGCATGACATGTTCATGATGTCTGTGGCACATCTAGCATGGTGCCCGGCACAGCACAGGCACCCAATAAATGGCAGCACTTGCTGCTGTGGCCGCTGCAGCTGTCTGCTTTCTTGATCTTTAGCATCTCACAGCATCGCACATCACTGATTCCCTTACCACAATTTCAGCCTCCATCTCTTTGGCCACATTTAACATAGTTGCTTTCTGACAAGAGGACGGAAGATATTAATACCTGAATCTCACACAGATCCTCACACAAACATGTACGTTCCTAAGGGTGGGTTACTTCTAACAAGCCTCTGCAGAAGGTTGGTGCTAGGCATTGGAAGTTCTTACCCAAACCGAACGGACCACACAGGCTCAAAGGGCCAATCAAGTACTTGGCCCCCTTTTCAGTAAAAGAGGCCCAGCAGTGCTTCTTTCCTGAATAGTTAATGATTCACATCAGGTGCTTCGATTAAAAGCAGCCCGGCTGTTCTTGCCACAGCTGATTGGACCAGGAGCAGTCCATCAGCAGAAGGCAGCCATCTGTGCACTGGAAGGATGGGGCCTGCCTCCAATTGCCCCAGGCAAGGACTCTGCCCTACAGTAGACTTTGCCATATTGAAGGTGGTGGTGGATGTGACCCACTGAAAACTGCTTTCTGTAAGGGATATGTGCTTACTGAACAAGCAGTCCTGTGGACCTCTCAAGCTTGCTGTTGCCCCAGGGGAGGCTGGCTTGCCACATCCTATGCTGCATTTCCCAGTTTTGGGAATCTGGGACACCTTGGATTTCCAGGCTGAGATGATCCCAAGCTACTATCTTCAATTCCTGCATCCACACCCATCCTGAGGTCAATCAGAATAGGCTGCTTTTCTTTTTACATAAGTTGATGTTTTTTCAAATTACAAACGTAATACAAGCTTAATTTAACAAATGAAATGGCATAATACAATGATAAATAAAGGCAAAGTTTATTTTTAACTCCTGGTCACTACTCGTCAATGATGTAACCAATAACACCAGCCTTTGTTTCCTTCCACATCTATCTCCCCACTCAAATACATACATACAAACATATGTACACATATATAGGAGCCTGCTTATTTGTTTTCATGAAATAGAACCTTTGCAGAGAAAAGGGAATGTTTACACACTCTTGGTGGGAGCGTAAATTGGTTCAACCATTGTGGAAGCTAGTGTAGGGATTCTTCAAAAAGCTGACAACAGAATTACCATTTGACCCAGCAATCCCATTACTGGGTATATACCCAAAGGATTATAAATTGTTCTGTCATACAGACACATCCACATGTATGTTCACTGCAGCACTATTCACAATAGCAAAGACGTGGACTCAACCTAAATGACCATCAATGGTAGACTGGATAAAGAAAATGTGGTACGTTTACAGCATAGAATACTATGCAGCCGTAAAAAAAGAACAAGATCATGTCCTCTGCAGCAACATGGATGGAGCTGGAGGCCAATATCCTCAGCAAACTAATGCAGGCCAAAAAACAAATACCACATGTTCTCACTTATAAGTGGGAGCTAAATGATAAGAACACACAGACACAAAGGGGAACAACAGACACTGGGGCCTACCTGAGGGTGGTGGGTGGGAGGAGGGAGAGGAGCAGAAAAAATAACTATTGGGTACTAGGCTTAGTATCTGGGTCACAAAATAATCTAGGTAAACTCTGGCAGGAGTATAGCTATATAACCTGCACATGTACTCCTGAACCTAAAATAAATTTTTTAAAAAAGTTAAAAAGCTTATTTTAAAAAGAGAAAGAAAATAGAAATGATTATATACATTATTTTATGACCTTTTTTCATTTAACATTATATCAGGGATCTCTGCACAAAATATGTAAGTGTGCATTGTGGGAGTTCAGTCAGGCTGGTGGGAAAAACTTTAAGATGAAGTTATAGGATATAGACACAAATCTTCTTGGAAGGCTGGAAGGTTTTGCAAAAGTCTCAGGATAGGGTTATGGCTGAAAGCTGCCTAATCCTTACCTTGAGTAAATGGCTTAAAGTAGGTACAAAGGAATGCAGTTTATCTAAATAGCTTGTTTACTCATGTGATCCTAAGACCAACCTTTGATCAACCTCGGGTGCATAACTGCTCTCTACTAGGGGTGTCGGGAACCAGGTCAATTTTCCTATAGTGGTGTTTACTCAAAGCCTTTGTCATTGAATGTGTGCTGAATAAATGCCGGCAGGGCCAGTGAGTCAGGGCCTCGGCTGCAACTCTTTACAGCACTCTCCTTGGAGTCTGTAAGTGGCGCAGATGCTCAGCTGGACTGACAGGCATACTATCTGTGTCAGTGTATGTTATTCATTTGTTGCTGGGTCAGGGTCTGTGAGTTAGATCCCCGCAGTGCATACATGTCTTTTCTAAAAATTCTAACATTCCCTGAGTATATCTATTCTATGCAGTTTTAAGAAACTGACTGGACATATCCCAATCCAGTTGAGACTTGAGGTCTCTTTTCCTCTTACTAAATGTGGCAGACCCAAAGCATTTCATCCTCTCAAACAGCATCTTCCCCTTCTAGGAAACTGTTCTGTGTCCAACTTAATATAGTGTTAGTACGAACTGCCAATCTTAAAAACCCATCCCCCTGGCTAGAGAGAGAGGCAAGTCCCTGAATCTTTCCCCAGACAGCTCTAGGCTTGTACAGAGTAAGGCGGAACGCTGGAGGAGGACAGGGCTCTCTTTTCTCCTTGGTCAGAAGCCATAAGGGCTTCAGGTGGCTCTGCTCCCTAGCTTGTAGAAATGTCTGAGAAAATAAAGCTGGCATGTGGAGAGAAGCAGAAATAGGAAATGGAGAGAGACTGGGGAAATTGATGTACTTCAAGGACCTAGTACCAATACCCAGTGGGCCCAGCTCCTACATTTCCTTTGATTCTGTGAGTTTCAGGATGTGTAAAAACAAAGCCTCCCTTTTTGCTTAAGCTGGTCTAAGCTGGGTTTTTAGTCCGTGGTAGACAAGAATCATGACTAAAACAAACACTGTTTAGGCTACAATTTTCACTTGAATATTGCTTGATCCATAGATGACAAACATTCTTCTGTATTTGCTACTAAGTTCTGCAATTCTTTCTCTTTTTCTTTTTAAATTTCAAGAGCAAAAAAAAAAAAAAAAAGAATCCAATGCTGGGGATATGGGCAGTATTACTAGAAAGTTCTGCAATACTTCAAGGACAACACCTGAGCAGCTTCCAGCTGTGCTTTAAATTCTCCTTGGGCTGTGTTACTGGCAGAATAACGTAACTGTTGCGTAACTGTTCCACAAGAAAGGGGGGAAACTTAATTACCACTTGGTTTCTTTGTCAGAACTGCCAAAATGGCACCGATTCAATGTTTCTGCCTATTAACATTCTGTTAGGTGCCGTCCATATTTTTAAATAAAGGCAATACAGAGACTGTCACAAAAACCAGCCTAGATTTACATAATACACTTATTCATTTCTATTTTTGTTTTCAGATAGAATTAACATGGAAAGATATTCTTAGCTTACATGTTATCTAAGCTGTCCATGAAAATAAAGTTAGAAAAATCTCAAAGTTTCTTAATATTTCAGATTCTTACCAAAAATTAACAAAAAAACAAATGTTTGCCCTAGAGAGAATAACAGAATCAGATTGTGGGAAGGCCGTTTTGCATCTTGAAGTCAGAATTGTTCTTCCCACCATGAGCCAGAGCACTGGAATAAATGTCTCTGTGAGCCAAATTTCCACAAAATTGGAAAGGGTCTCTTTGTTTCTATACCCTGGGTTTCCTAGAGCCCAGTGACCAAGCGCAAAGCTCACTTTTGTTCTATAAGATGATTCACCACTGTCAAGGGGGAAACAAAGTGAAGACCTACAACAGGATTACAAAATACCAAAGCTTGTCCCTTCCCCCACAGAGAGCAGCTTCTATTTTTTGGTCAAGTTGTTATGGCCTATTTACGTGAAATACACTGGGTTAGGTGCTTCCCTTGCCAGCCTTGTACATGTCTCATGCACCGTTCAGATCAAATACCTCTAGATACATGGTACACTTTCTTGCCCTTGATTTCTCTATGGCCAAGATTGTCCATTCACTGGGAAGAACTCCAAACTCTCCTGTTAGGTTTTAGAATTCCAATTCCTTTCTTTCTACCACCATAACTTATTTTAATCCATCCACAGTTGAAAAAGTAACTGGACTGAAATGAACTTACAGCTCACATGTGCTAACTAGGCAATTTCCCTAAAAAAAAATAAAAATAAAAATAAATTATTGGCATCTCTATTTATATGCTTGAGCCCACCTGAACCCTCTCAACTTCCTAGAAGTTAACTTCTTGGACATGAATGCATTCTGCAGCTTCAGAACATTTTTTCCATGTATTTTATTTTTAAAAACATCTACTGAAAATACACTTTGAAATATGTATCATGTCAATTTGGAAAGATAGGAATGTGACATCACAGAGGGTGGCAGAAGACTACTAATGATAATTTTGAAATAATAAATGTAATACTACTCAGAGATGGAATCAAGAAAAAGTACCAGTAGCTATAACTTGGAAATCCACAAAATAAACTTCCAAAGTCTGAAAAACCATCATTTCCACCTGGTTCGTTTAACTAATACTCTATATGTTTAAAGTTGAGTGGGAAGCCAAGGAAATGGGTGAATCTACCTAGCAGTTTGGAAGGGCAGGACATTACCACAATCTCTAGACTGCAGAGACAAAGTGAGAAAGCAGAGTTAACAAAGCCCAAAGGCTGATCTCAGCTGCAGAAGCTCAAACAGGCTGGACTGCCCAGATGGAACTAGATTAGTGAAGACCAAACCAGGGCAGAGAGAGAGAGAGAGAAATTTTCTGGCCTCTCCCTTTCTCCTGTCCTCCAATGTTACCAGGATTTCCTACTGTTCAAAACCAGGAGGGGGCCAGCTTGGGAACCGGACCTGCAGGAGTCAGCCCTTCTGCCGTACAAAAAGCAAGGGATGGATCTAACAGCAAGCTGGTCAAGGACCAGCACAAGAACGCTAGCAGGACTGCATAACCTGCCTTACTTTGAGATCAGAGAGGAGTGGGGGCCAGCTGTTACCATGGAAGACCAGGAGTTACTGATGACAAAAACACAGGGGTCAGAGCCCTGGCCAGGGGGTGAGGCCCGGTAGCCACATGGCCATGGCACACCCAGGTGGGGCCTTCTGCCCACCCCTGCCCTGCTCCAGGGTGAGCCTTGGTGTCTCAGAGTTGGCAGGCAGGATGGATGGCAAGCAAACTAAAAGAAGTAGAAGAAAGAGATGCAGGAGAAAACACAGTTCCATATGACAGACAGAGAAGGCTCTAAAGGCATATAACCTGGAAAATGCCAGAGGTTATTGCCTGGGGACGGGGGGGCCTTATGTAGAAATGGGTGCCCAAAGGGGACTACAGACTTATCTATGTTGTATTTCTTTTTGTTATAGGTGGAATATGGGAATTCATGTACAATTTTAAAATATATTTTTTAAAAGAAGGAATTATTTTAAAGAGGCAAAGATATAGTTGTTCATCCGACACAAGAAGTAAGACTGAGTAGAGTTTGGCGATGGAAGGGAAGGAAGCCCAAGCAGCTGGTCATCTGCCTTCCCAGTAGAGAGGGAAGCAGCGTAACTGTTACTATGAAAGGGCCAACCAGTTCTCTAGGGATTACCAGCTTTCTCTCCCTTTCATCAAAACAAAATTTTATATTTGAAACCAATTCAGCTTCTAATTGAGAGCAACCATGGTTACTGCTTCTCCAAAAACTGCTATTTTCAGAGTGTCATGGTGTCTTTGGAGTATGTTCAACACTTCTTATTTCCAAGAAATGAGAAACACAATATTTAATTTTGTTTAGCAAGTGTAATAACTCACCATTATTACAGATTGGGGATAAAAATCAAGTGAATACTTCAGATTATAAAAACCAAATGACAGTACCTAGGCCCAAAGCAGCAGACCTCCTCTGGGAATGTGGAGGAATGTGACAGGCAGATAAATCTGCCAGTTTCCAGTCAAGGCACTGGACCAGCAGTTCGTTCTCTCCTTCGAAGGAGATCTGAGAGAATATGCCCTGGAAATTCACTATCTACTTTCAGATGCTACAGAGATTTGCAAATTTGAAAACTAAATGCCATGCTATGCACTCTCCGGGCACTTCATAAACACTTGTTGACTGACTGGCAAACTGAAAACTGATGGAACGTACATTATTGTTTACTTGCTAAGAACTTCCCTTGCTTCCTGATATTTGTGGATAATTATATTATGATTATGCAGCTGCCAGACACATAGCCTCAATTTTCTTCCTCCTCCGCAGTGAATAGCAAAAAGGCCCAAGCAGAAAACTCTTCTACTTGGGCAATGCCTGGTGGCTTTTTGCCTGAGACAAATTATTCCAAGCCCAACTCTGTGAGGGGGACTTGGCACCTTGATGCTTTTATCACCCGGCTTCTGGACCAGAAGGTGCTGGGGAGACCAGCCGAGGTGGGAGGTGGGGAATTTTATTTTCCAACCATCTGTGCATACAACATATGAAAACACAACAAAATCACCATATGGAGCTAAGTTTTAAATATGTCATCAGGCATTCTATGAGTTTAAGAAGAAACCGATTGGCAGTACAGCCTTTTCTGATTACTGAAAGAGAATAATTTATCTCTGGCTTCAAATGGCCCCTGCTCAAACATCCAAACCTCAGGACTCTCTTTTTATTGCTACTATTAATTGGGTTACACTTGAAAATTACATATTGTTTTTAGAGGGTTTTCTCAGTGATCATCTCACATACACAAACCTCACAACAAATCCATGATGCGGGTAGGGCAGACACCATCACCGCTTTGACTAACCCCGTTTCCTAATTGATTCATCACCCCCAAACCACCTGCCCCTCTACATACACAGTCCACATCTAATCTGTGTGTGTCTGCTCAGCTGCTTGTGACCTTTAGTTTTCTTCTCATTTCAATGGGATGTATTTTCCAACCTAGAGAACCATGTCCATTTGGCTCTGTGGAGCATCCGATCCCATTCATGTAAGTGCCAAATCTGGGAGAGCACTTACATCAGAACTACCTGAAATGCTTATTTAAATACCAATTCCTGAGCCTCACGCAGGACTATATCGCAACCTGCCTTTTTAGCAAACTCCTCAGGGGATCATTACACACCCTAAAGTTTAAGAATCATGGACACACAGAGAAATTTTTACAGAGCATAAATGGTTGGATGCCAAACTTGACGGCAACAACTTCATGTTCTGAGCAATGTTTCTCAAATTCCACAGGCTCCAATTGAGAGGTCTGCTAGTCTCCCTGATGGTTTCTAAATGTATACTTTTACATCAATAATTTTTAAAAAGATCACCCAAGATAAGAATATTCTGGGTCAACTAGATCACCTTAGGTGGGGGTCATTGGAGCTGTTCACAAACATTTTGATCCTCCTCACCATCCTGGCACATGGTGGGAATATTCTTTACCCTCTTTGAGGTTGGATGTGGCCATGTCAGTGGAAGTGACTTGAGTCCAAGTGGAAGATTTAAGAGCCAGTGGGGATTCACTATACCCCCTTCTCCCAGCCACAGAGATGGGGAGGCACTCACTGAGGTAAGAACAGCCATCATCGAGGTCCTGACTACCTTGAACTGAGCCCTCCTGCTAGGCATGTAGCAAAAGCAAGAAACAAAATTTTGTTGTTTTAAGCCACTGAGATTTGGGGATTGTTTATTATAGCAGCATGGTCTAATTTTTCCTGATTGATGAACCTGATCACCAAGAACTAGCCCATGAATTGGGTGTCTGGGGTTGCCTTTGTATTTATAATCATCTAAATGTCAAGTAATCATCTAGAATGACAGAGTTTAACTTTTAATTCAATATTTACCAAACTTGAGCCCAAGGATTTTGTCACTGAGATATGTGAGTTCTAAAGTTTGAGAAACATTATTCTGGGCTATATATGCACAATGAACACTTAGTCCAGACTTAAACAAAGGAGTTGTATGCTTTTAAAAACATCCATTGAATCAATCAACTCACAAACAGTTGAGGCTTATCAGATTATAAACTCCTTGGGAACAAAGGAGTTGTTATCTTATAGGCTGTTAGGAACAAAGGAGTTGTTAGGTCTTATAGGCTGTAGACCTAAAAACATGTTAGTTACATTTGACCATTAAAAACCTGACATGATGGTTGGGTGTGGTGGCTCATGCCTGTAATCCTAGCCCTTTGGGAGGCCAAGATGGGAGGATTGCTTGAGGCCAGGAGTTCAAGACCAGCCTGATCAACATAGTGAGACCCCATCTTGTATAAAGAAAAAGAAAAAAAAAAAACTTGACATGCTAACACAAAAGAAGTTAGAAAGACCTTCCCTGCCACTGAGAAGCTTATATTACTGGGCAGATAAAACAACATGTGGATGACATATAGACCTCCCTAGTTTGTGGTTCTGACTATAAGTGCTAAATTATTTCATAACAAATGTGAACTGGAGAATTGAGGGATGGATTTATGGTAGAAGTAAGAATTTAAATGGGCTTTGAAAAATAGCAAGGACTGGCCGGACACAGTGGCTCACACCTGTAATCCCAGCACTTTGAGAGGCCGAGGCAGGCTGATCACCTGAGATCAGGAGTTCTAGACCAGCCTGGCCAACATGGTGAAACCCTATCTCTACAAAAATTAGCCGGGTGTGGTGGCGTGTACTTGTAATCCCAGCTACTCGGGAGGCTGAGGCAGGAGAACTGCTTGAACCTGGGAGGCAGAGATAATGCTGTTCTTAGTGTGCCTTAGAACTATTTCATATATCTCCATTCAAGAATAGAGCTGGTGCTCAATGATTACTTACTGACTAAATTAATCAATACATGTGGCAGACCCTGTTTGGCAGGCCCAGATTAGATATTCCTTCCCTGCTTAGAGTGAGGATCGTTAAACTTGAGTCCAAGTTTATTCAATCTCAGGGACCAATCCTGACACTGGGCAGGAAAGATTTTAAAATGACAAGGAAGCTCAACAGACTTTCTTTCACATCACTGACAATGAAACCAAGATTTGTTTCTCTTTTCCCACATCACTTAAAAATGACCAGACAAGTTTTCACCAGATTTGGTGGTTGTATCTGAGATGCTGTGACTTAAATATGAACTATGAAAATTAATAAGAAATTAATTTCAGGAGAACCTAGAGAACACCCTGAAAAGAGGGCTTGCTATCTTAAACACAGCAACTGAAACTGTGAAACAAAAAGACAACCTTAGGTATCTGCTGATCACACAGACTAAGAAACCATCAACCAAATAACAAATAGTGGTTTCAACCATAAGCAAATCAAGCCACAGGATGGATAATATGAATTACAAGATTCATTTATTAAATGGTGACGAATCACCTTCCTAAGCAGCTCTGAGGAATAAGATCAGTATAAATAATAATTACAGCTGTCACTTATTATGGGATTATTATGTGCCAGATACAAGCACTATCTCATCTAATCCTCATAACCCTGTGAGGAATAAAGTATTGTTATCCCTATGTTAAAGATTAAGAAAGTGGGATACAGGGACATTAAATGACTCTGTAGAGTCGCTTGGCTAGAAAGTGGTAGGTTCAAATCTAGGTTGTTCAATTTCTGGGTCTAGCCTGACCTTAGGCTTCAGATATGGTAGGAGGACTCCTTGTCTTTTGGGCCTGAGCTGCCTGCAAGGGTACCAGTTCCTTTGGGCCTGGAGCTCTGCCTTGAGCCTCCTCTGTAACATCTCATCCCATCCAAGGAAATTAGAATCCCACCTACAAGCCCCTCAACCACCTGTTTTGCTAACAGGCTTCCCTGCACCCTATCATAAATGTACAGTTGCTATAAAAGCTTAACTGTCCCAAGGCGGGCGGATCATCTGAGGTCAGGAGTTCGAGACCAGCCTGACCAACATGGTGAAACCCCGTCTCTAATTAAATACAAAAATTAGCTGAGTGTGGTGGTGGGTGCCTGTAATCTCAGCTACTTGGAAGGCTGAGGCAGGAGAATTGCTTGAACCCAGGAGGCAGAGGTTGCAGTGAGCTGAGATCGCACCATTGCACTCCAGCCTGGGCAACAAGAGCGAAGATCCGCCTCAAAAAACAAACAAAAAAAAGCTTAATTGTAGGCAATTTGCCTGCACTCACTAATTGTCCGAAATAAGTTGGCCTAAGTTAAAAAAAATTTAGACAAATCTAATTAAAGAATCACAACTAGATTCTTTATCACAGTGAGATAAAGAATTGTCTTTATCTTTATCTTTAGGCAAAGAGCCAATTCATTCTGTCCCACATCTTTCTTTTTTTTTTTTTTTTTTTGTCTTTGGAGACGGAGTTTCGCTCTTGTTGCCCAGGCTGGAGTGCAATGGCATGATCTTGGCTCACTGCAACCTCTGCCTCCCGGGTTCAAGCAATTCTCCTGCCTCAGCCTCCCGAGTAGCTCAGATTACAAGCACGGGCCACCATGCCTGGCTAATTTTGTATTTTTAGTAGAGATGGGGTTTCTCCATGTTGGTCAGGCTGGTCTTGACCTCCCGACCTCAGGTGATCTGCCCACTTCGGCCTCCCAAAGTGCTGGGATTACAGGCATGAGCCACCATGCCTGGCCTGTCCCACCTCTTTCTAATA
This sequence comes from Homo sapiens, assembly GCF_000001405.40. Classification (NCBI taxonomy): domain Eukaryota; kingdom Metazoa; phylum Chordata; class Mammalia; order Primates; family Hominidae; genus Homo; species Homo sapiens. The sequence goes on along the minus strand of NC_000003.12, from coordinate 45,402,803 downwards.
AACATAGCAGAAATAATGAAAAACAGTTATCTGGGAAAAATAACATCTGACAAAAACCAGAGAGACAAACACCCTCAGCCATCTTAAAGTGGAACACAAATCTCTGAATTTGGTAGTATAAAGTTATTTAACTCTTCAAGTGACAAAGACATTACAACGTGACCCTCTTTTAGGAATACTTCTTGCAGCCAATGTCAGCTCAGCATAAAATTTCAAACCAGTTATGACAATGGATGTACTTACCTTGCTAAAATAAAATAGAAAGAACTGAGAGGCAGCAGATATCATTTGTATAGGCCCTGACAGGTTCATAGTAGCAATGGCCACTGGGGTTCCAGTAAATGTTTAATTAACAATTGGCTCTCTGGAGGAAAAGGCCATGATTTGTAGGTTTGCTGATTACCATGACGTAAATACTCCCTCAATGGCAGATTTCAAGCTGCCAAGGTGACTAATAAACACAACATTGGGCAGAGATATACATAGTTGGCTCTCAGGTGCTGGTGTGTGCAGGTTCCTGTCCACTGCTGGCAATTGCTAATACTTATTGGTTACATACTGTGTGTTAGGTATCTAAGTGCTTCATAGTCATCCTCTTTGAATCCTTTTAACAGGCCAATGGGGCAGGTACTATTTTATCCCTATTTTATAGATGAGAGAAAACAAGGTGTTGAAGAGGTTAATTAATTAACTACTCAAAGGCCACACAGCTTGTAAGTATTAAGAGCTGGAATTTGAATCCTGGCAGTTTGGTTCAATGGGCCATGCTCTCAGCCCTTCTTGAATACTGCCATATTTCGTAGGTGGATAAAGAAGATATTATGATTATCCAACACCCATCTTAAAGATGATGTGTTGCTAAAGATTGCTAGTAAAGATTAGGCTCTGGGCTAGGTGCGGTAGCTCATATCTATAATCCTAGCACCTTGGGAGGCTGAGGTGGGTGGATTGCTTGAGCCCAGGGGTTCAAGACATGCCTGAACAACATGGTGAAACCCTGTCTCTACAAAAATTACAAAAAATTAGCTGAGCGTGGTGGCACACACCTATAGTCCCAGCTACTTGGGAGACAGAGTCGGAAGTTGAGCCTGGGAGGTCGAGGCTGCAATGAACTGTGATTGCAACCACAGCACTCCAGCCGGGGTGACAAAATGAGACCCTGTCTCAAAAAAATTTTTTTAAAAAGCAGGCGGGGGGTAAAGAGGAATGGCCCACATCAGCCAAGGAAGGGCGTTTGTCCTCCTCTCTCACAATAAATTTCACCTCATTCTTCAAGGCCCATATCAGATTCTTTTTTTTTTAAGATAGTGTCTCACTCTGTTGCCCAGGCTGGAGTGTAGTGACACAATTACAACTCACTGCAGCCTTGACCTCCCAGGTTCATGTGATTCTCCCACCTCAGCCTCCTGAGTAGCTGGGACTACAGGTGTGTGCCACCACACTGAGCTAATTTTTTGTATTTTTTGTGGAGACAGGGTTTTGCTACATTGCTCAGGCTGGTCTCGAACTCCTGGGCTCAAGTAATCCTCCTGCCTGGGCCTCCCAAAGCACTGGAATTACAGGCATGAGCCAGGTGCCCAGACCAGATGTTCCTTCTTTAGTGGCACTTTCCCCAACTCCCCAGAGTTGTTACTCCCCAAATATCTTTTCTTAAAAAAATTATTTTTTTCCATTAGAAAATAAATACATGCTCTGCCGGGCATGGTGGCTCACACCTGTAATCACAGCACTTTGGGAGGCCAAGGTGGGCGGATCACGAGGCCAGGAAATCAAGACCATCCTGGCTAACACAGTGAAACCGTCTCTACTAAAAATACAAAAAATTAGCCAGGCGTGGTGGTGGGCACCTGTAGTCCCAGCTACTCGGGAGGCTGAGGCAGGAGAATGGCGTGAACCCGGGAGGGGGAGGTTGCAGTGAGCCGAGACTGCGTCACTGCACTCCAGCCTGGGCGACAGAGCAAGACTCCGCCTCAAAAAAAAAAGAAAAGAAATACATGCTCAAAGAATATGGAAAATATCAAATAGAACAGAAAGAAATATCTTGCAGTCTCACCTGCCACTCATAGCACTGATGTGTATTTGTACTGTTGACCTCAGTTCGTTATATACAATGATTCTCTACTCATGGGTGAGTATCTCCTGGGAAGATTATCAGTGTTATCCACATTTGTATCTACCTTTCACCCCATTCCCATCTGATCTCCACCCCAGCACAACACCCAACTCATGGCTGCCCCCCAATTAACCTAGATGCTTTATTATAATATCATCTAATCCATAAAAGGAAACACTGAGCTTTTCATGTCCATCTTCAAAGCTGTCCTAATCTTAACTAAAGTTGGTTTTCTTCATTTGTCTTGAACACATATTACTACATGCCAACCCTGCGTGTGGCAGACAAGGGCTGCTCCAGCAGGCACCTGTTCTTACCTGCATCCCTCTCATCTTCTGGAACCGTGCTATGGTGTCGCTGATGGTGTAGACACGCACATGGCCCATGTGCAGCTTACCAGAAGGATAAGGGAACATGGAAAGCACGTAAAATTTTGGCTTCGATTTCTAGGAAAGAACGACAATGAGTATTTATTAAGCATTTTCTGGGAACTCTGCATGTATACATAATATTTTGGCATTTTACACAAAGTAATAATTTAACATTTTAAAAGTTTCCTTTTAAAAAGAGTGTTCCCAGAATGTAAATCAATTAAAATGTCAAAAAGCAAAATTCAAAGCCCTGGTTTAAGCTAAAGAATGTCCAAAATAATGCCAAACAACCTCTAAGTGTTAAGTACCCATATATCTTTTTTTTTTCTCTTTTAAAAACTTATTTTTTGAAAGGAATGAATTAACAGTATTTGCAGTGACCTGGGTGAGATTGGAGACTATTATTCTAAATGAAGTAACTCAGGAATGGAAAACCAAACATCTTATGTTCTCACTGATATGTGGGAGCTAAGCTATGAGGCATAAGAATGATACAATGGACTTTGGGGACTTTGGGGGAAGGGTGGAAAGGGGGGTGAAGGATAAAAGACTACAAATAGAGTACAGCCTATACTGCTCGGGTGAGGGGTGCACCAAAATCTCACAAATCACCACTAAATAACTTACTCATGTAACCAAATACCACCTGTACCCCAAAAACCTATGGAAAAAAAAAAGAAAGAAAGAAAAGCGGTCCCAATGCAGACCCGAAGAGAGGGTTCTTGGATCTCACGCAAGAAAGAATTCAGCGCCAGTCTGTAGAAGAAAGCGAAAGCAAGATTATTAGGAAAGTAAAGGGATAAAAGAATGGCTACTCCATTAAAAAAACAAAACAAAACAAAACAAAACAAAAAAACACTTCTCTTTTAAGACAGCTTCTATCTAGGTCCTTAAAGAACTGTTTGTTTTTCCGAAGGAAGCTCTAACATACATATATCCATATAATTCAAAGAAGCAATAGTTGAATCACATAGATGTAACATCTCTAAAAATGGAGTCTCTTCCTAAATTCTCTATAGCTGCATTCTGACGTAGGTTTAGCAGTAATAACAGGATCCTAAAGTACCAATTTGGGTCCTGAGTTTCCCCATTGTATTGAGAGCCTATCTTTCAACAAAAATGTTGAAATGGGAAGGTAATGAGAAGATCCTTTTAAAAAGGGAGAAGGTTGTTGTTCTCCAGGGATGATAAATAAGCAGCCTCAGACCAGGGTTATATAACTCTCCAGCTTCCAAAGAAGCAGCTTCATCATGAGAAACATAGACAACTGTACATGTATCTGAACAGAAGGAACACAGGCCAATGAGTCCTTATTGGATCACTGACTTCTGGCATCTTAATTCTTCCCCTGGTAAAATGATGAATGTCGTCATGAGTGTGCACATGAATGGATAAGGCAAACAAAGATGGTAGTCCTTGAATTAACTCCTACTGGGGGGACCTACTGTTCATGGGGGGACCTACTGTTCAAGGGCAAGAACTGTGCTTTAGTCACCTCTTTCTCCACGTCTGCCCCCAGTGCCAGCAGGAGTTTCATAAAATGTTGGATAAATGTTCGTTGGCCTTTGTGCTCCAAAAGCCTGATAACTGGCCCCTATGGAGCACTTTTTACCCAGCAAACTTCACAAATCCTACCCAAGTAATAGGAGGGTTCCCCACACCCAAGTTTAAATCATCTCATGACAGGGTCAAGGGTGGAGGGGCTGGAGAGAAAGGAAGAGCAACAGGTAACTGGGTAACTGATTCTGTTTCGTCACTAAGGGTCAGAACTTCTGCTTTTATTTATTTCTGCCTTCTGTTTTTTCTTCCTGGCCTTATTCCCTTGCTAGAACTTTACTCCAGTTCTTTAAGAATTTGCTTCCCCTGAAGTAATGCAAACAAACACGAAACAGAATATTCATAACCCTTCTTTTATGTACATATGTGGGATGGGGTTTTTAAATATTGTTTGCTGAATGTTCGCATGACTGATAATACACATAAACCAAATATAATCAGTAGAGCAGAAGAAACCAGAAATCAGATTCTTGCCAAGGAGTTCGTAAACTTCTTTCAGCAAAGAAGTTAAACAAACCTTTAACGGAACCATTAGCACGTGGCAAAAAGAAACCCACAAAAACTAGAGTAGAACTTTTCTTTGTGCTGCCCATCCTCTAGAAATTACCAAGGAGTGTTAAGCTGCCTGAAGGAAGAGATGGGAAAAAGAGAACAATTAAGAAATCTGGATCATACACAAATTAGAAAATCATCTGGAACTGCTGAAATGACAACTACAATGGATTTATACAAACAGGATGGAAAGCAACACATTGGTCAGACACTTTAATTAGAAACTGCAGATTTATAACTCTTAGGAAAACCACAGAAATCTGAGAGAGGACCTGAGATTCAGGGGTTGGTGGGAACTCAGGAACTTAATAACTGTCCTTAAGAAAGTGAGTGGCAGATAACCTTCTCAGCTTATGAGCAAGTCGTCCAAGGAGGTACAAGACCCCATTCTTTTACTTAGTGCAGAATCAGAAGAAAACTATCCACTCAATTCATGCCTTACTCCTTACAATGAATTAGGCTTATGGCTTATTCTTCAGAAATTTTTAGGAATATGGGAAAATAGCTGTTAAGAGTTCTTTGGGAGCTAGGAAAACAGTAAAATCCTTGATCTAAGCTGTTTCTAGTTTTTCATTTGAAAGTTTTTACATAAAATTATTTTTATTATACTAATGTTTGTTATGTATTTAATTTACCAATCTTGCCCCAAACATTTTCCACCTGTAATTTCTTTACTAGCATCTCTTGTTTTACATTTGTTCAATAAAGATTAAATTAATAGCAAAATCAAATGAATAATTATATACTAGCTAAGCCAAAATCCAAATCTGAGTTCATAAAAGATACATAGAAAAGTATTGTTTTCTAAAGTCTTTAATATTCATGAAGATTTCTGTTTATTACAGAAAAGGTATTCAGCTTATTGCCTGTCCCTGCCTTTTGCTTTTCTGCATGAATTAAGTCATTTTCCTCTGTGACAATGAAATGAGTTCTATCATCTGGGGGTGGAAAAGAGAGAAGGAATGATGGGAGTTTCTGTTATAATTGAGCAAGAATCTGATTGAAAGGGAAATTTTCATAATTATATAAAAGTATAAGAATTTAAGCCTTTAAAAGAGATTAAGATTTAAATGATAGGGAAAGGATGGCTTTTATAAGTGGGTCCTATTATTTTTGTCAGCTTCTGACTTTAGAAGAAAGATGACTTCTGCCTCTTTATAGATCACGCTCTGAAGCTGTGGCTGAGCCTAGAGGGTGACAGAGTAAAAGGAGCACCTCAATAGGAATCCGGAGCCCCAGTTCTGGTCCTAGCTTTGTCACTAGCTGTGAGGCCTTGGGCAAATTCTTTTGCCTTCTGGGATCAGTTTGCTAACTGTAAATCAAAGGTGAGACAAAAGAAGGTTTCTGTGTGGAAAAGCATGAGCTCAGGAATCAAACACACATTTGATTTTGAATCCTGGCTCTGCCATGTCTTGGCAAATTACCTAAACCTTTTTCTGAGCCTCAGTTTTCTTACTCCAAAAATGAGGATAATAATACCTACCCGCTGGGTTGTTTCAGGATTAAATGAGATAATCAATTGAAAGACAGTGCCTGGCACATGGTTAAATGCTCATTAAATGCAAATTATTTTTTAAATGATAAATATGGTGATTTCAAGACATTCCATTTCAAAAAACTTATGTGAGTGGATTTCAAGTGAATCTGATACCAGAGTGAGATCGATTATAAATGCTTCAAAATCCATGAGCATTCCGTCATAGTCTCAGGTCCTGATAGACACACCACGTTCTGATCTTTGTGTATCTTTTATTTATGTACCACTTCAGTTTGTAAAATGCATTTTGTCACACATTTTCTCATTTGATTTTCAAAACAATTCTGTGAGATAAACAATGCAAGGAGCCCAGAATCCAAAACATTAAATGATGTGGCCTGGATCACACAGGTTTCCTGGGGCAGAGCCAGCATTGCAGCCCAGGCTCTGGCTCACTCACTGAGTGCTCACTCTGCTTTGCCATTCCTTGATTCAAACCCTGATAGGGGGCTGCCAGGGGATCACACACAATGCCCCTTATGCTATCTCCCCAATTGCTAAAACAATTTATTTTGATCCATTTGATATTTTAAAAAACTGTATGCTTAAGAAGAATGAGATGTCACAAAATCAGTAAGCTACAACATCAAAACATTTGGAAGTCAATAAATGATTATCTAAACCAAAAGGGAAAAAAAAGCTAATTTTACTGTCCTCACTCAGAATTAAACTGCTCCTTAAGAGTTTGTTTTCAAAATCTATTAAGTTACATTAGTCTGATGATGTTGACACAAGGGCTTTTCACTTCCTAACAAGGTAGAAGTCAAGCTTTCATTGTAAAATTATGTATTACATTCAAACCTTCCCTTTTTTTCATTTCATTTTACTTGTTACACACTACATCTTTTTCAATAGCAATTTTTCTTTCTAACCATTGCCCAAAATCATCTTTCAGTTTAACACAAATAGCTCTCCTCCCCTTACTCATTTTTCATAACCACCAATCTCACAGAAAGAATGAATGTGTTGACCGAATCAGGAGATGGGGAAAAGGCAAGTCTAGAGAGGTGTGGTCTTGTGCAGCTGTACTTATTCAGCTGCTTGCCTTGGGCCTAATCTCTTTATTAAACATAGAGGGTTTGTATTATTTGACTATAACTACTACAAAGAGATGATCAGAATTTAAAACTCCAATCAGATTCAAACATTTCATGTAACAATCACATCTCCCAGCTGTCATTTTGACCAGTATCAAGAGGTAAGGGTTAACACGTTCCAGACTGATTCCCAGCAAGCTGGCCTCCCAGAAAAGGAACAGAGAGCACTCTGTGGAAACTGGCTGCAGCCAAGTATTATGCTTCCACCATTAATTCAGGTAGAGTGCCGAGCTGGTGTACCTGGTGCAGAAGCCAAGGGTCCACTAACTCATGTAGCTGCTACCTCAAGGTTAGACCCTACCCCAGTTCACAACAGTGAAAGGGCTGGTGTGCCCCAAACCATGATGCTAAGGCAGCAGAACAGAGTTGGAGGCTACGATTGCCAGGGAAGGGGCAGTTACTTCTCAGAACATGTAGCCAGCGAGGAGCCCAGGTGCCTCTCCTGGAGTCTCAGATATGACCCTGCCAGATCCCTGTGTGCTGCCCCACCATGCAATGGACCACAAAGGACCCATCATCTGGTAGAGCTCCTATTTTGATGAGCTTCCCCAGTAAATGTTGCTCTAGAACACCTGGTTTGCTGCTGTCTGTCATACACCTCGTGCGCAATATTACTATGTGTGCATCCACCACATTGGAAACTCTTGTAAACACTACCTTTGTATCACCTCATTTATGCCTCCCAATCCATTTACCCCTCCCAATAGTGCAGGTGGGCACTATTATGATCACTCTCCATCTCAGATAAGAGAATTGAAGCACAGAGAAATTCAACAATTTGGTTCAAGGTCACATATTTAATATCTTATTTGAACCAGGTAGTCTAACCCCAGGGTCCAAACCTTCAACCCCTCTTCTCTACCCTCTTAGAATCTCTCAGAATACTCACATCAGCTTCTGAAATTTTGGAGGCCTGTTCTTTTATTCGTTGATGCCACCATTTCTCAACATCCTTTCTTGTCTGCAATGTATACTCTTTTGTCCACTTTCCCGTGGCACTGTAGATGCTTCTGGTACATCCGGGAATTACTCTCCTTTCCCACTTGATGACATCTGGCCCACCATTTAGCTGTCTTTTCAGAAGAGAGGCATAAAAACCCAATCTCTGCCAAACAGAAGCCATTCTTCAGAAGGTGAGAAGGCCCTGAAAAAGAGGGCAGAAAGCACACTATGAGCTGCCTCAAACCCTCCCCAGAGCTTATCTTTCCATTTGGCACAGTCCAGTGTTCTGGCCCTGTGCTTTCCTCTTACTTTTAATAATTTCTTTCCCTGAAAAGAATACTTTAGCAATTCAATTGAGCTAAACACAAACTTTTTAATAGAAAATATAAAGGGTCAGTAACCCCTAACATCAAAGATGCAAAAATCCTGTAGGAAAAAATGGAGACCATCAGCTGGCCAGCTCCTGCGCAACCTCACAAGTTGCATGGAAGGCATGGAGTGCCCTCCCTCCCCTCCCCATGGGCCAGCCCAGGGACTCTCCAGCAGGCTTCACTTCTTATGTCTTCAAGCCTCAGAAGAGCTCAAGCACATGCTGAGTTGGCGTTAGGCTCAAATATCAGAAGGGGTCTAAATACAGGCCTCCCAGGAGGGCCAGAAATTCTGAACTACTATTAGTAATTTTTATACATATTATGAGTTAAATATACCCTGTAGGCTGAACCAGAAAATAACCATTATTTAGAAGACTGTTAATTCATTTAGTTTCTCCTTCATTTACCAAATATTTATTTATTTATTTACTTACTTTTTAGAGACAGGGTCCTGCTCTTTCACTCAGGCTGGAGTGCAGTGGCATAATCATACCTCAGTGTAACCTCTGACTCCTGGGCTCAAGCGATCTACCTGCCTTAGCCTACCAAAGTGCTGGGATTACAGGCGTGAGCCACCACCAAATATTTAATGACTACCACTAGGCCCACACGTTGTTCTAAGTACTGGGAATATAGCAGTAAACACAAACAGAGTCCCTTCTTTCTTTCTCTGTTTTTTTTTCTTTTTTGAGACAGAGTCTCGCTCTATTGCCCAGGCTGAAGTGCAATGGCATGATCTTGGCTCACTGCAACCTCCACCTCCTGGGTTCAAGCAATTCTCCTGCCTCAGCCTCCTGAGTAGCTGGGATTATAGGCATGCACCAACATGCCCGGCTAATTTTCGTATTTTTAGTGGAGATGGGGTTTCACCATGTTGGCCAGGTTGGTGTCGAACTGCTGACCTCATGATCCACCCACCTTGGCCTCCCAAAGTGCTAGGATTATAGGCGTGAGCCACCACACCTGGCCCAGAGTCCCTTCTTTCGTAGCACTTATTACATACTAGCAGGGAAGCAGATAAGAAACAAACAATAAGGGAGGCAGATGAGAAACAAAAATATATAACATGTGGTCACGGTGAGTGCTATTTTTTGAAATACAACTCATAGGTTGGGGCCTACCAGGATATCCAGTTGTGATTCAAAATCCAATTTTAATGTTTCGTTGGCTTCTTCCACAGGTAAATACTGGAAATGACCTCACTGAAGAAGTTTCATGTTTTATTGCTATTCAAAGGGTTGAGGTGAGATTTTTATCAAATATTTAAGATATAAATACTAGACTAAATAGCCTAAACTTTCTCCTTCTGGCATAACAGCATTCAAGAAGTGCTACAGTGAAAAAACAGATGACAACAGATCTTTTCAAAACCAGAGAGAAATAAAGAAACCCGGCACTCTAAGCTGATGTTCTTTGATTCTCTCAAAATTCCACTTCTATCAGGATTTGGCCTGTTTCACAAAGGTACTAGAACACAAATGTTGCCAGGAAGGTCAATATAGGCTTATAACAGTGAGTTTCAAACTCACATAAGACAGCAACATAATGTGGGCATCTTACAAGTTGGTCTGCCAAAGTCATTGACATTATCAGTTCTCACTACATTAAACACCTCTTGCTTCTTCAGGGATAGAATAAAGTGCAGACTTAAAAAAAAAAATCTCTCTTAGGCCACGGGCAATGGTTCACGTCTGTAACACCAGCATTCTGGGAGGCTGAGGCAGGCGGATCACCTGAGGTCAGGAGTTCGAGACCAATCTGGCCAACATGGCAAAACCCCTTCTCTACTAAAAATACAAAAATTAGCTGGGCATGGTGACGTGCATCTGTAATCCTAGCTACTAGGGTGGCTGAGGCAGAGGAATAACTTGAACCTGGGAGGCAGAGGTTGCAGTGAGCGCCACTGCACTCCAGAGCCTGGGCGACAAAACAAGACTCCATCTCAAAAAAAAAAAAAAAAAGATAAAAAAGAAATCTCTCTATTAGTTGGGCTTGGCTATTTTAAAGTACACAGATCTGATTACAGGCATTTGAACTATATGAAATTGGTTAAATGTTAGCAATTCCATATGACTGACCTAATATACATACGCTTTGTACACTTAAGGCAATTGCATATATTTTTAGGGCTTAGGTTGCTATAATTAGAACTCCCTAATTATATAGAAGTCACAGATTTTATGGTTCTCTTGCCAAGTCAATACTTTCATACCTTTGCAAGCCAAAGAACGCCTGTTTAGCAGAGGACACATAGATGGATGCTTGCCACTTCTCTCCTAGACAGCATCCCCAAAGAACACCTAAGGAGTGTTCTGGGCTATCCTCTCAAATAGAAACAAAAGGGCACAACAAAATTATAAAATACAGTGACTTGAACTGCTCTGCCTACACTGTCTGTCTACACAACAAGAATAAGCTTTCTAAAAATGTTCACATAATACCTGGCTTACTAATGACCTCTGCTTTGCTTAAATAAACCAGTGAACTAGAGAATCCTGAAACAGATCTGGGTATTTAAAAGCATTTAAAGTTCATTTTTTTAAAAAAGCAGGAGCAGATTAGATAGTAATAGATTATTCAACAAATAAGAGAAAAACTTAAAATTAGAGCCCCACCTCAAATCATAAGCCGGAGTAAATCCCAGATAGATTAAATAATGTTTTTTATCTGTAGGTCTGGATCTGAAAAGCAGAAAAATAAAATAAAATAAATAAATTAGAATATTTTTAAAGTGTCATAAAAAAATAAAAACACAGATGGATTTTGTTTTTTTTTTTTTTGAGTCAGAGTGTCGCACTGTCGCAATGAGATCGTGCAATGGCGCAATCTCGGCTCACTGCAACCTCCGCCTCCCGGGTTCAAGAGATTCTCCTTCCTCAGCCTCTCGAGTAGCTGGGATTACAGGCGCCCGCCACCACACCCGGCTAATTTTTTGTATTTTTAGTAGAGACGGCGTTTCACTGTGTTGGCCAGGCTGGTCTCTAACTCCTGACCTCGTGATCACTCTGCCTTGGCCTCCCAAAGTGCTGGGATTACAGGCGTGAACCACCGCATCTGGACCACAGATGAATATTTAATAAATCTTAAGAGGGTGCAGGATGTTCTGTCCTGAGTATAAAAACAATGAAAAAATTCACAAAGGAAAATGTTAATAAATCTGATGCTAAAAAATCTGTATATCAAAACCATTAAGAACAGAATTGGAAAGCAAGCAATTAGCTACGAGAAAATGTTCAGCAAAACTGCAAAAACAAAAGGTTTCTACTCTTGAGCTCATGTGTGTGAAAAGAAACACTAAAAATCGAATTTTAAAAATGGGCAAAGGGCCAGGTGCGGTGGCTCACGCCTGTAATCCCAGCATTTTGGGAGGCCGAGGCGGGTGGATCACAAGGTCAGGAGATCGAGACCACGGTGAAACCACGTCTCTACTAAAAGTACAAAAAATTAGCTGGGCGTGGTGGCGGGCGCCTGTAGTCCCAGCTACTAGAGAGGCTGAGGCAGGAGAAAGGCGTGAACCCGGGAGGCGGAGCTTGCAGTGAGCTGAGATCACGCCACTGCACTCCAGCCTGGGTGACAGAGCGAGACTCCGTCTCAAAAATAAATAAATAAATAAATAAATAAATAAATAATAAAAATAAAAATGGGCAAAGAAGGCCCGGTCTGGTGGCTCACGCCTGTAATCCCAGCACTTTCGGAGGCTGAGGCGGGCAGATCACGAGGTCAGGAGATTGAGACCATCCTGGCTAACACGGTGAAACCCTGTCTCTACTAAATATACAAAAAATTAGCCAGGCGTGGTGGCGGGCGCCTGTAGTCCCAGCTACTCGGAAGGCTGAGGCAGGAGAATGGCGTGAACCCAGGAGGCGGAGCTTGCAGTGAGCAGAGGCTGCACCACTGCACTCCAGCCTGGGCGACGGGGCAAGACTCCGTCTCAAAAAAAATAAATAAATAAAAATAAAAATAAAAATGGGCAAAGGAAAACAGCAAAGATGACATATAAATGGTTAATAAAGAGGACATATAGTTAATATGAAAAAGATCAACTTTACAACTAATCAAATAAATGCAAATTAAAACAATGAAAGTTTAGTTTCCAGATTGGCAAATGAAAAGAAATATGCATTTTTTAAACAACTGCTGGTGGGAATGTAAACTGATTCCACCTTTTTTTGGGGGGTGGGGGGCAATCTGATAACCTGTGTTAGGACCTTTTTAAGAATAGTTCATATCCTTTGAAGTTAGGAGTCCCTAAGACCCCACTCAGGTTCTAATTCCATAAGGGGACTCATAAGAATCAACATATAGTCAGTATTCATGGCTATGATTCATTACACAACTTCCTAGGGTTCAGCCCTATTCCTTTCCCTTACTTCCCAGGCCTTGTTCTTGGCCACTCCAAGTACCCCTCCACCAAAGCCCTGATGGACTGCCTCTTATTGACAGCGAGGAGCAGCCATTTTATTAGACGGCTGTGAGAATAAGACGATGTGAAAGGTGTGGCTCATGTCTTATATTTATGATCAACTTGGCCCTTTACTTCCTTAGCTCGGGCTCCTCCAGTTCCGTCCTTAGATGCTCAGAATCTTCTTCTAAGATAAGAAGACTCTTCTCTTCTTCCACAACCTTCCAAAGAATCAATTCCCACTACTCCACCCCTCTTTAGAATCAACCCTGACCTCAATCTCAGTTGGAGCTTAAGGTGAAGGTTTTTGAGAATAGGAAGGGCCCTGCACAGGCAGGAGGGAGTGCCCTGGCCGCCCTCTAGGCCGTGGTCCCAAGACCGCCTTCCTTCTTGTGCATCATGCAGTCACAGGGGCTTCCCTTTCACGGAAGAGGCGCTGGGACGCAGAGCTGACGGGCTGCTGAATGCTGGAGCCGTCAGAGCCCACAGTGATGCCTTGAGAAGGGAGTCATTCATTTCCCTGCGTGTGTGGGATGATCTAAGTTTTGACCCGTGAGACAAAACCCACCTTCCTTTTCTGTTCTCCTGAGTAGGAGGCAGAAAAAAAAAAACAGGACACAGGGGAGAAGCACACGAGGACATCTGTGTACAACACTCAAAAGAAAGTGCAAGAATGCACCTGGAAAAATTCATCTTAAAGAAACCAAGTTTTGTGAAAACAAAAAAAATCTTGGATTTTGCAGCTACTAATTTACCTGTGACCTCAGGCGGATTTCTCGTCTGGAACCTCATCTTTCTGAGGACCTCCGAGCCCTAACGTGAAAACGACCTGTGGGCCCCAGAGAGGCAAGGGATGACCTTCAACTGGGTCCAAACCCCTAGTCCGGGGAGCAAAGATCTGGGGTAGGGGAGTAGTGGAGAGGGGAGCTTGAGTACAAAACTACGTGTATATGTGCATTTTTCTGGGAAAGAGTCCAGAGCTATCAATGGGGTCGGTGGCTCAAAGGTCCTGAAGACCTAGATCTCAGATATTTTCAGTTTCGAAACTGCAAGGTTCCAGGACCACCTAACCCAGCCCGCACCTTCCCTTCCTGCCCTCAGCAAGTCAGAATCTCCCGAGCCGGAGGAAGAGGAGACTGGGCCTCGTCTCTCATCTCGCTGCGCCCGGTCCGGGGGTTTACCTGCTCACAGGCTCTGGCCTGCGGCTCCTCTACTCCTCGTTCTCCACCTTTAGGCGAGCACTGCCGGGCCACGGACCATGGGCGCCGCCATGTTGTCAAAACAGCAACTTTATCGATAGCGTCCGCAGTCGACACAGACAGACGGGGGCGGGACCGGGGAAGGGAGGAGAGCAACCCAGTCCTCGACTCCCAGCAGCCCGCCGGGCGGGGCGGGGCGTCTGCGCGGCGGCCCGGGGCTCCGCCTCTCGGCCTCTGGCACGCCCTTTAACTGCTCTGGTGTCGGCAAAGCTCTAGACGTCTGGGACTCAAATTATTACAGTTATAGCAGACGGATGAAAGTCGTTGATTTAGTGGCCTCAGAATAAACTAGGCGGCAGCTGGTGAAAAGAGCCCTGGGATATAGCCCAGACCCCAGGGTTCGAATCCCAGCGTAGCAACAACTGCCTCCTGGGCTTGGGCAGGTCTCGACCTCTTGATTCCTAATTGACTGCATGATGAGTGAGGCACCTTCTTCCACCATATTGCGTAATCCTCTAGCCCTGGGGCGGGGGGTGGAATTACCTGGCCAAGAATAGGTTTGGGGTAAGGTACTTTTCTCACCTGGCAAGTGTGCTGGGAGTCAGGAAAGCATGATGCCTTCCCTTTCCTCGAGGAGTTTGTATATCCCATGCCCCCACTGCCACACACCCGGCAAGTGTTTCATGCTTGTAATAAATCAACAAATCAAAGAATTGCAAAGAACCAGTGGTGTTAAAGCATAATTTTCAAAAAGGTAAAACCGATTTAAAGGAGAACTTGAAGAACTCATATATGTGGGCAGTCAAGAATACTGAAATGAATTTGCCAATTGTGCAAAATTGGTTAATATCCTATAGGACAGGAAAAAGTAATGTTTGGGAGCCATTTCTTTCCTACAGGCTTGAAATCGTATCTCTACCAAACAAAATTCGTCCCATGATTACAGTAGTCCCTCCTATTCTCACGAGACATGTTCCAAGACCTTCAGTGGATGCCTGAAACTGCGGCGGTACTGAACCCTATGTATACTGTTTTTCTTGCCTATGCATACATACCTATGATAAGGTTTAATTTGTAAATTAGACACAGTAAGATATTAACAACAATACCCAATAATAAAATAGAACAATTATAACAATATGCTGTAATAAAAGTTATATGACTGTGGTCTCTCTTGAAACAGCTTATTGTACTGTCCTCACCCTTATTGTGATCTGTCGATCTGATAGCCACGATGGCTACTAAGTTGGGTAGCTATATAGCGTGGATATGCTGGACAAAGGGATGATTCACAATGGTTCACATCCCAGGCAGGAGGTAGCAAGATTTCATCACTCTACTCAGAATGGCATGCAACTTAAAACTTATGAATTATTTATTGCTGAAATTTTTCATTTAATATTTTTGGACCTTGGTTGACTGCAGGTAACTGAAACCTCAGAAAGTGAAACTGAAGATAAGGGGGACTACTGTATCCATATTCTACATTTTTATTTATTTATTTATTTATCTGGGACAGGGTCTCACTCTGTTACCCAGGCTGGAGTGCGGTGGCACGATCTTGGCTCACTGCAACCTCCACCTCCTGGGTTCAAGCAATTCTCCTGCCTCAGCCTCCTAAATAGCTGGGACTACAGGTGCACACCACCATGCCCGGCTAATTTTTGTATTTTTAGTAGAGAAGGAGTTCCCCATGTTGACCAGGCTGCTCTTGAACTCCTGACCTCAAGTAATCCGCCTGCCTTGGCCTCCCAAAGTGCTGGGATTACAGGCATGAGCCACCACACCCGGCCTCATATTCCATATTTTAGCTTCTATTCTTACGAAGATGAACAATAGCTAGTTAACAGAGAGGCAGGCAAATGTATGCACTCCTATAGCATCAGATAATCCCCCAATACTCCACCCAAGCGACATACAGTATTCTCTTTTGCCCATTTCCATGTCTTTAACAAGGTTTCCTAATAGTTCAACATCCAAATACCTTGTTATTCAAGGTGTGGTCTCCAGCATCAGCCTCACCTGGGAATTTGCTGGAAATGAGAAACTCAGTCTCTGCCCTAGACCTGCTGAATCAGACTCTGAATTTTAACAAGACTCCTAACTGATCCTAGACACATTCAATTTGAAGACTCACTGTCCTAGAATGTGAGAGCTCCTTTCTAGTCCAATCTCCTCGTTTTACAGATAAATAAACTGAGGCCCAAAAGAGCTGACTGTTTTGCTCAGGTCATAAGGCAAATTAGTCAAAGATTTGTTATTCAAAACTGGATCTCCATTCTGGCAGAATAGTGCCCTTCTCAAGTTGCAGAATGGAAGATCATAAAGAGCTTAGAACTTCTAGTCCAATCCTCTTCAAAGACAAGGACACTGAGGTCCAAAGGTTGGACACAGCTTACCTAAGGTCACATATGTAGTTGATGATGGAGACAGGGTTCCAACCAGGTCCCACTCCGAACACCAGATGCTTAGTTTAAACTGATACCATGGAAACATTGGCTGGCATATTAACCTGCCACACTTGATGCAGTTTAGCCTTCAGGTATGTCACGTGCATCCATATATAACTAGAGTGCCCCTTTCTCTAATTTACCCAAAATACAGCCTCTAACCTTATTTTGGTTGAAAATCTGTCTTGCCTATCGTGAATTACATTTAACATTGACATTTCTAGAAGATTATTTCAAATAGAATTTTTCTAAAAGTCACTTACTTTACTGGAAACTTGCTATTTTTACTTCAAAGAAGGCAGTAGCATGAAAGTAAATCCTTTTCACTCTTAAAGGGCTTGCTTGAATACATTATTAAATGAAGCAGACAAGTTGCTAGGCTGTGTAGAATGTTACCTCATTGGTTTGTTTTTTAAAAAAGGAAAGGAAATAAAAGAAAGGCATTTGTTAGTATATGCATAGAAAGAAATATAAAAAACTATATCCCAAACTATTTCCTGTGATGATCTCTAGGGATAGTAGGATTTTATGGACCTTTCTATTAACAATGTTTCTGCATTCTTTTTGCTTTTTCTATTAGCTGTATGGGGCTGAATAATGCCCCCCAAAGATAGATCCAGGTTCTACTCCCTGGAACCTGCGAATGTCACCTTATATAGCAAAAGAGACTTTGCACATGTGATTATATTAAGGATCTTGAGATAGGGAGATTATCCTGGCTAATGCCAGGTGGCCCTAAATGCAATCACAAGGGTCCTTATAAGAGGGAGGCAGAGAGAAATTTGAGAGAAGAGGCAAGGTGATCACTGAAACAAGATGCTACAATGCTGTTTTAGAAGATGAAGGAAAGGACCATGAGCCAAAGAATGTAAGGAGTGCAGCTCATGCAGTTGAAGATGAAAAAGGCAGGAATACACATTTTTCTCATGTGATCCAGCAACTCTACTTCTGAGTAGATACCCAAAAGGTTTGAAAGTAGGGCCTCAAAGAGATATTTGTACACCCATGTTTATAGCAGCATTGTTCACTACAGCAAAAAGGTACAAGTAACCGAAGTGTCCATCCACGGCTTAAATGTATATAAAAGAAAATGGTATATACATTCAATGGAATATTATTCAGCCCTTAAGGAAGGAAATTCTGACACACACTACACATGGATGAATCAAATGCTCAGTGAAATAAGGTGGTCACTGAAGGACAAATATTGTATGATTCCTTTCATATAAGGTATTTAGAGCCATCAAATTCTAAGATGGAAAGTAGAATGGCCATTGCCAGAGGATAGGGTAATGGGGAGGGAGTGGGAAGTTATTATTTAAGGGATACAGAGTTCCAGTTTGGGAAGATAAAAAGAGTTCTGGAGATGGAAGGTGGGGATGTTTGCACAACAATGTGAATGTACTTAATGTCACTGAACTGTACATTTAAAAATGGTTAAAATGGTAATTGTCATTATATATATATTTTACCATAATTTAAAAAAAAAAGAAAACAGGCCAGGTGTGGTGGCTTATTCCTATAATCCCAGCACTTTGGGAGGCCAAGGCAGGTGGATCACTTGAGGTCAGGAGTTTGAGACCAGCCTGGCCAACAAGGTGAAACCCTATCTACTAAAAATACAAAAGTATCCAGGCGTAGTGGTGTGCACCTGTAATCCCAGCTACTTGGGAGACTGAGGCAGGTGAATTGCTTGAACCAGAGAGGTGGAGGTTGCAGTGAGCCAATATCACATCATTGCACTCCAGCCTGGGCAACAAGAGCGAAACTCCATTTCAAAAAAAAAAAAAAAAAAAGAAAAAGAAAACAGATTCTCTCCTAGAGCCTCCACATGGAATGAGTCCCTGCCAACACCTTGATTTCTGCCCAGTGAAACTGATTTGGGATTCTCTTACATCCAGACTTGTAAGATAATAAATGCATTCTTTTTTTTAAGCCACCAAGTTTGTGGTAATTTGTTATAGCAGCCATAAGAAACTAATACAGTTTCTGTATTAGCTGGGGATTAGTTTTCTGGGATGAGTTTGTGTTAGTTTTGGGATTTTATATCCCAAAAAGAGTGTAAAGATTTCTTTGTTAAATAAAGGAACTGCTACCCATCACCATTTGTTTAATTTTATGCCTTTCACAGTGTTGTTTGTTATTAACACTCTAACTTATGGATCTTCAGAAATATTTTTACTTGCCACCGTCTCATTAAAGGAGCTTGGCTCTCCAGAGTCACACCCATAACACTATTTGTCCCCTACGGCCAGGACTCAACTTGAAGGACAAGTCAGAGTCAAACAATACTAGAGATCATAAACAGTCCTCAAAGAAAGCCTTCTTCATATTTGATAAGAGTTGTAATAGCTGTGATAGTGGGCATCCTTGTCTTATTCCATTAGTTCCTC
The DNA here is from genome assembly GCF_000001405.40 of Homo sapiens. Classification (NCBI taxonomy): domain Eukaryota; kingdom Metazoa; phylum Chordata; class Mammalia; order Primates; family Hominidae; genus Homo; species Homo sapiens. The sequence continues at coordinate 45,383,819 of NC_000003.12, read as the reverse complement.
ACTTGAATGGGGTTGCCTCTAATGTTCTACCTTTAAATATGATGCTTGCTTTAAGTTTTTCTTAAATACTCTTTGTAGTATCCCACCTCTAAGATAGCCTCCAATGAGCTTCACCTGCTGGTATTCATGCCCTCATGTAGTTTCTTCCCACATTGTACCACGATTAGTTAGTCTGACCAATACAATACAGCAGAAGTAATAGTATCTCACTTTCTAGATTAGGTTATAAGAGATATTGCATCTTCTATCTAGGTCATTCTCACTGTGTGTGTCTTGCATCACTTACCCTGGAGGTAAGCCACATCATTAGCCTATAGAAAAGGCTATATGCTGAAGAAATGAAGCCAACTGCCAACAGCCAGGTCCATGTATAATGGACCCTCCAACCCCATGTAGTCTTCAAAGACAGCAGCCCCAGCTGACAGTTTGACTGAGACCTCTTGGAGACCCCGAGGCAGAACCACCCAGCTAAGCCATTCCCAGAAGCTGTGTGAGATTGTGTTTGTAGTTTTAAGCTGCTATGTTTGGGGGATAATTTGTTTCTCAGAAACAGATAAAAAATAGTCTTTATCACAAGTTTCCTTCTATTACCTAGTCTAGGATCCAGCCCAGGGACATTTTGCATTAAATTATTATGTCTCCTTTGTCTCCTGCAAGCTGGGACAGCCTCTCTCTCTTTTTTGCCTTTCATGACCTTGACACTTCTGAAGAGGTGTACTAATCAGGTATTTTGTAGAATGTTCCTCCTGCTTTATTCCGGTTTTGTATTTTGGCAGCAATACCATGGAAGTGAAGGCAGTGCCCTTCTTGGGTGACTTTAAAAGGAATAGAAAATGCATTAATCTGGGTGCAGTGGCTGATGCCTATAATGCCAACACTTTGGGAGGCCAAGATGGAAGGATTGGTTGAGCCCAGGAGTTTGCCACCAGCCTGGACAACATAGCAAGACCTTGTCTCTACAAAAAACTTTTTAAAAAATTAGCCAGGGAGGGTGTTGCATGCCTGTGGTCCCAGCTACTTGGGAGGCTGGAGTGGGAGGATAGCTTAAGCCCAGGAGTTTGAGGCTGCAGTGAACCATGACTGCCCTGCTGTACTCCAGCCTGGGCTACAGTGAGGCCCAGTCTCAAAAAAAAAAGAAAAGAAAAGAAAAATGAAAAAGAAAATCCATGAATACATTTGTAAGAAGGTGGAGATAATCAAATACAAGGACAAATTGATGATGCAGGAAAGGGAGGAAGTAACTGGAGGAGAGAAGTCTGCGAAAAGGTAAGAATCTCTGAAAAAATGCTAAGCTCGTTGAGGTGGACTTTAATATTTTATTCTTTGTATTAAGGTACTGAAGTTTTTACAACAGACAGGTATTACTTTTGTGATTAAAAAACAATAAGTCTATTCATCATGGTGGGTGGGAGGCAGGACTAGATTGCAGCTCCAACTCGGAAGGACAGAGCAGCATGCTGAGGCTTGCATAGGGAATTTTAGCTCCAGAACGACTGCAAGAACAAACCTGGAATCCCGAGAGGACCCACAGACCCTCTGAGGGAAGTGGACTGCTCCTGCAGGACCTAGGAGACACCCCAAATGCTGTGAGTGCCCAAACTGCTAAAGTGGGAAACGGAGATCCTCTGCTCCCTACTACACACCCCCACTGGAGAAACTGAAGGTCTAGTTTGTGGGGAAAGTTTCCAACCTTACCTGGAGCTGAGTCAATTTAGAGTGCCGAGCAAAATAAAGGGGTAGAAGAAGCAACAGGAAAGGCCCTGGGAGCTCACTGGGTCCCCAGGCAGGCCATTCCTGCCTAGCACCACAGGGATCCTTCAGGAGAGTGGCCAGAGGCACGGGGGGAAATGCCACAGGGAGAAGGAAATCTCCAGCTTAACTTTGTAATAATTTGAACCAGGCGAGAAGCCTTCTGGCCAGAACTCAGGGGAGGGTGTGAATCTGGTGTGCAGACTCCACAGGTGGGGGAAAAACCAAAGCCCTTTTCCTTCGCAGCTGGGAGGTGGGTAGCCTGGCGCAAGTTCTCAAGCCCTGCTCACCCACCACCTGGAAACAGACTCAGGGCTGTTAGCAGGGGCACAGTGAGAGTGAGACAGGCCCTTCAGATGGCATGGGAGCTGGGTGAGGCCTATGACTGCCGACTTTCCCCCACTTCCCTGACAACCTGCATGACTCAGCAGAGGCAGCCATAATCCTCCTAGGTACACAACTCCACTGACCTGGGAACCTCACTCTCATCCCCCACAGCAGCTGCAGCAAGACCCACCCAAGGAGACTCTGAGCTCAGACACGCTTAGCCCTGCCCCTAGCTGATGCGCCTTCCCTATCCACCCTGGTAGCTGAAGACAAAAGGCATATAATCTTGGGAGTTCTAGGGCCCCGTCCACTGCCGGTTCCTTTCCATACTACCACAGCTGATGCTCTCTGGAAAGTGTCACCTCCTGGCAGGAGGCCAACCACAGCACAAAAATAGAACATTAAACCGCCAAAGCTAACAACTTTCACAGAGTCATTTCACCCCCCCACCACCTCCACCAGAACAGGTGCTGTATCCATAGCTGAGAGACCCATAGATGGTTCACATCACAGGACTCTGTGCAGACAACCCCCCCATGCCAGTCCAGAACCAGGAAGTCTTGCTGGATGGCTAGGCCCAGAAGAGAGATAACAATCACTGCATCTTGGCTCACAAGAAGCCACATCCATAGGAGTAGGGGGAGAGTATTACATCAAGGGAACACACTGTGGGACAAAAGAATCTAAACGACAGCCTTCAGCCCTAGACCTTCCCTCTGACAGAACCTACCCAAATGAGAAGGAGTCAGAAAACCGGATCTGGTAATATGACAAAACAAGGCTCTTTAACACACGTCCCCTCCCCCCCCAAAAAAAAATCACACTAGCTCACCAACAATGGATCCAAACCAAGAAGAAATCCCTGATTTACCTGAAAAAGAATTCAGGAGCTTAGTTATTAAGCTAATCAGGGAGAAACCAGAGAAAGGCGAAGCCCAATGCAAGGAAATCCAAAAAACAATACAAGAAGGAAATAGATACCATAAAGAAAAAACAATCAAAACTTCAGGAAACATTGGACACACTTTTAGAAATGCAAAATGCTCTGGAAAGTCTCAGCAATAGAACTTAACAAGTAGAAGAAAGAAATTCAGAGCTTGAAGACAAGGTCTTCAAATTAACCCAATCCAACACAGACAAAAAAAGAATAAGAAAATATGAACAAAGCCTCCAAGAAGTCTGGGATTGTGTTAAACAACCAAACCTAACAATAATCAGTGTTCCTGGGGAAGAAGAGAAATCTAAAAGTCTGAAAAACATATTTGTGGGAATAATCGAGGAAAACTTCCCTGGCCTTGCTAGAGATCTGGACATCCAAATACAAGAAGAATAAAGAACACCTGGGAAATTCATCGCAAAAAGATCATTGCCTAGGCACATTGTCATCAGGCTATCTAAAGTTAAGATGAAGGAAAGAATCTTAACAGCTGTGAGATAAAAGCAACAGTAACCTATAAAGGAAAACCTATCAGATTAACAGAAGATTTCTCAGCAGACACCCTACAAGCTAGAAAGGATAGGGGCCCTATCTTCAGTCTCCTCAAACAAAACAATTATCAGCCAAGAATTTTGTATCCAGCGAAACTAAGCATCATATATCAAGGAAAGATAACCTTTTTCAGACAAACAAATGCTGAGAGAATTCACCACTACCAAGCTGACACTAAAGGAACTGCTAAAAGGAGCTCTAAATCTTGAAACAAATCCTGGAAACACATCCAAACAGAACCCCTTTAAAGCATAAATCACACAGGACCTATAAAACAAAAATAGAATTTAAAAAACAAAAATAAAAGACAAAAAAACCAAGTTACACAGGCCTCAAATAGCACAATGACTGGAATGGTACCTCACATTTCAATACTAACATTGAATGTAAATGGCCTAAATGCTCCACTTAAAAGATACAGACCTGGCCAGGTGTGGTGGCTCACGCCTGTAATCCCAGCACTTTGGGAGCCCAAGGTGGCAGGGTCACTTGAGGCCAGGAGTTTGAGACCAGCCTGGCCAACATGGTGAAACCCCTTCCCTACTAAAAATACACAAGTTAGCCAGGTGTGGTGGCATGCACCTGTAATCCCAGCTACTTGGGAGGTTGAGGCAGGATAATTGCTTGAATCTGGAAGGCAGAGGCTGCAGTGAGCCGAGATTGTGCCACTGCACTCCAACCTGGGTGACAAAGTGAGACTCCGTCTCAAAAAAAAAAAAAAGAAAAATAAAGAAAAAAGAAAAGATACAGAACAGCAGAATGGATAAGAACTCACCAATAAACTATCTGCTGCCTTCAGGAGACTCATCTAACACATAAGGTCTCACATAAACTTAAAATAAAGGGATGGAAAAGGCATTTTATGCAAATGGACACCAAAAGTGTGCAGGGTTAGCTATTCTTATATCAGACAAAACAAACTTTAAAGCAACATCAGTTAAAAGAGACAAAGAGGGACATTATATAATGGTAAAAGGCCACATCCAACAGGAAAATATCACAATCTTAAACATATTTGCACCTAACACTGGAGCTCCCAAATTTATAAAACAATTACTAATAGACCTAAGAAATGACATAGACAGCAACACAATAATAGTGGGGGACTTCAGTACTCCACTGACAGCACTAGACAGGTCATCAAGACAGAAAGTCAACATAGAAACAATGGATTTAAAGTATACCTTGGAACAAATGGAATTAACAGATATATACAGAACATTTCATCCAACAACTTCAGAATACACATTCTATTCAACAGCACATGGAAATTTCTTCAAGATAGACCATATGATAGGCCACAAAACGAGCTTCAATAAACTTACAAAAATTGAAATTATATCAAGCACTTTCAGACCACAGAGGAACAAACCTGGAAATCACCTCCTAAAGGAATGTTTAACACCATGCAAACACATGGAAAAGAAATAACCTGCTCCTGAATGAGCACTGGGTCAAAAACGAAATCAAGATGGAAATTAAAAAATTCTGCAAACTGAACAACAATAATGACACAACCTATCAAAACCTCTGGGATACAGCAAAGGCCATGCTAAGAGGAAAGTTCATAGCCCTAAACACCTACATCAAAAAGGCTGAAAGACCACAAACTGACATTCTAAGGACACACCCCAAGGAACTAGAGAAACAAGAACAAACCAAACTCAAACCTAGCAGAAGAAAGGAAATAACCAAGATCAGGGCAGAACTAAATGAAATTGAAACAAAAAAAATACAAAAGATAAATGAAATTAAAAGCTGATTATTTGAAAAGATAAATAAAATTGATAGACCATTAGCAAGATTAACCAAGAAAAGAAGAGAGAAAATCCAAATAACCTCATTAAAAAATGAAATGGGAGATATTACAACTGACACCAATGAAATACAGTAGATCATTCAAGGCTACTATGAACACCTTTGCACACATAAACTAGAAAACCTAGAAGAGATGGATAAATTCCTGAAAACATACAGCCCTCCTACTTTAAATCAGGAAGAATTAGATAGCCTGAACAGACCAGTAACAAGCAGCGAGATTGAAATGGTAATTTAAAATTTTTCTACAAAATAAAGTCCAGGACCAGATGGATTCACAGCAGAATTCTACCAGACATTTAAAGAAGAATTGGCACCAATCCCTTTGACACTATTCCACAAGAAAAAGAAAAAGGGAACCCTCCCTAATTCATTCTATTAAGCCAGCATCACCCCATAACCAAAAAAGAAAACTACAGTTTGATATCCCTGATGAACATAGACACAAAAATCCTTTCCAAAATACTAGCAAATCAAATCTAACAACATATCAAAAAGATAATACACCATGATTAAGTGGATTTCATACCAGGGATGCAGAAATGGTTTCACATATGCAAGTCAATAAATATCATACACCACATAAACAGAATTAAAAACAAAAATCACATGATTATCTCAATAGATGCAGAAAAAGCATTCAACCAAATCCAGCATCCCTTTATGATTAAAACTCTCAGCAAAATCGGTATACAGGGACATGCCTATTACATACAATGTAATAAAAGCCATCTATGACAAACCCACAGCCAATATAATACTGAATGGGGAAAAGTTGAAAGCATTCCCTCCGAGAACTGGAACAAGACAAGGATGCCCACTCTCACCACTCCTCTTCAACATAATACTAGAAGTCCTAGCCAGAGCAATCAGACAAGAGAAAGAAATAAAGGGCATTCAAATTGGTAAAGAGGAAGTCAAACTGTCACTGTTTGCTGAAAACATGATCATTTACCCCGAAAATCCTAAAGACGGCTGGGCATGGTGGCTCACACCTGTAATCCCAGCACTTTGGGAGGCTGAGGTGGGTGAATCACAAGGTCAGGAGTTTGAGACCAGCCTGGCCAATACAGTGAAACTCCATCTCTACCAAAAATACAAAAATTAGCCAGGTGTGATGGTGGGCACCTGTAGCCCCACCTACTTGGGAGGCTGTGGCAGGAGATAATTGCTTGAACCCAGGAGGCGGAGGTTGTAGTGAGCCAAGATTGCTCCACTGCACTCCAGCCTGGGTGACAGAGCCAAACTCCGTCTCAAAAGAAAAGAAAAGAAAAGAAAAGAAAAGAAAAGAAAAGAAAAGAAAAGAAAACCCTAAGGACTCCTCCAGAAAGCTCCTAGAACTGATAAAAGAACTTAGCAAAGTTTCCAGATACAAGGTCAATGTACACAAATCAGTAGCTCTTCTATACATCAACAGCGACCAAGTGGAGAATCAAATCAAGACCTCAACCCCTTTTACAATAGCTGCCAAAAAATAAATAAATAAATAAAATAAAATACTTAGGAATATACCTAACCAAGGAGGTGAAAGATCTCTGTAAGGAAAACTACAAAACACTGCTGTAAGAAATCACAGATGACACAAACAAATGGAAATATGTTGGGAACAGGCCCCCCAGAATCTGGCCATAAACTGGCCCCAAAACTGGCCATAAACAAAATCTCTGCAGCACTGCGACATGTTCATGATGGCCATAATGCCCACGCTGGAAGGTTGTGGGTTTACTGGAATGAGGGTAAGGAACACCTGGCCCACCCAGGGCGGAAAACCCCTTAAAGGCATTCTTAAACCACAAACAATAGCATGAGCGATCTGTGCCTTAAGGACATGGTCCTGCTGCAGATAACTAGCCCAACTCATCCCTTTATTTCGGCCCATCCCTTTGTTTCCCAAAAGGGATACTTTTAGTTAATCTAATATCTATAGAAACAATGCTAATGACTGGTTGGCTGTTAACAAATACATGGATAAATCTCTGTTCGAGACTCTCAGCTCTGAAGGCTGTGAGACCCCTGATTTCCCACTTCACACCTGTATATTTCTGTGTGTGTGTCTTTAATTCTTCTAGCGCTGCTGGGTTAGGGTCTCTCCAACTGAGCTGGTCTCAGCAGAAATACATCCCATGCTCATGGATGGGTAGAATCAATATTGTGAAAGTGACCATACTGCCAAAAGCAATCTGCAAATTCAACGCAATCCTCATCAAAATACCACAATCATTCTTCACAGAATTAGGAAAAACAGTTCTAAAATTCATATAGAATAAAAAAAGAGCCTGCATAGCCAAAGCAAGACTAAGCAAAAAGAACAAATCTGGGGGCATCACACTACCTGATTTCAAACTATACCATAAGGCCATGGTCACCAAAACAGCATGGTACTGGTATAAAAATAGGCACATAGACCAATGGAACAGAATAGAGAAACCAGAAGTAAACCCAAATACTTACAGCCAACTGATCTTTGACAACGCAAACAAAAACATAAAGTGGGGAAAGGACACCCTTTTCAACAAATGGCACTGGGATAATTGGCTAGCCACATGTAGGAGAATGAAACTGGACCCTCATCTCTCACCTTATACAAAAATCAGCTCAAGATGGATTAAGGACTTAAACCTAAGATGTGAAACTATAAAAATTCTAGAAGATAACATTGGAAAAACCCTTCTAGACACTGGCTTAGGCAAGGATTTCATGACCAAGAATCCAAAAGAAAATGCAATGAAAACAAAGATAAATATTTGGGACTTAATTAAACTAAAGCGCTTTTGCATGGCAAAAGGAACAATCAGCAGAGTAAACAGACAACCACAGAGTGGGAGAATATCTTCACAATCTATACATTTGACAAAGGACTAATATCCAGACTCTATGATGAACTCAAACACATCAGTAAGAAAAAACAAACAATTCCATCAAAAAGTGGGTAAGGACATGAATAGACAATTCTCAAAAGAAGATATACAAATGGCCATGAACATATGAAAAAATGCTCAACATCACTAATGATCAGGAAAATTCAAGTCAAAACCACAATGTGATACCACCTTACTCCTGCAAGAATGGCCATAATCAAAAAGTCAAAAAACAGTAGATGTTGGTGTGGATGCAGTGATCAGGGAACACTTCCACACTGCTGGTGGGAATGTAAACTAGTACAGCCACTATGGAAAACAGTGTGGAGATTCCTTAAAGAACTAAAAGTAGAACTACCATTTGATCCAGCAATCCCACTACTGGGTATCTACCCAGAGGAAAAGAAGTCATTATATGAAAAAGATACTTGCACATGCGTGTTTACAGCAGCACAATTCACAACTGCAAAATCGTGGAACCAACCCAGATGCCCATCAATCAACGAGTGAATAAAGAAACTGATATATACATATGATGAAATACTGCTCAGCCATAAAAAGGAATGAGTTAATGGCATTTGCAGCAACCTAGATGAGACTGGAGACTATTATTCTAAGTGAAGTAACTCAGGAATGGAAAACCAAGCATCGTATGTTCTGACTGATATGTGGGAGCTAAGCTAAGAGGACACAAAGGCATAGGAATGATACAATGGGCCAGGCAAGGGTGGCTCACGCCTGTCATCCCAGCACTTTGGGAGGCCGAGGCGGGTGGATCATGAGGTCAGGAGATCGAGACCATCCTGGCTAACACGGTGAAACCCCGTTTCTACTAAAAATACAAAAAATTAGCCGGGCATGGTGGTGGGCGCCTGTAGTCCCAGCTACTCAGGAGGCTGAGGCAGGAGAATGGCTGAACCCGGGAGGCGGAGCTTGCAGTGAGCCGAGATCGCACCACTGCACTCCAGCCTGGGCGACAGAGTGAGACTCCATCTCAAAAAAAAAAAAAAAAAGAATGATACAATGGACTTTGGGGACTTGAGGGGGAAGGATGGAAGGGGAGTGAGGAATAAAAGACTACAAATATGGTGCAGTGTATACTGCTCAGGTGATGGGTGCACCAAAATCTCACAAATCACCACTAAAGAACTTACTCATGTAACCAAATACCACCTGTACCCCAATAACCTATGGAAGAATAAAAATAAATAAATAAAAATAAATAAATGCTTTAAAAAATAAGTATTTATTAGTTTTTAACTTTAAGCTTAGTCCTTTTTCAAAAATTACACTATCTTGGTTTTCCACATCATAGGAAGCTTCTGTAGAATGTGTTTGAAATGTTTGTTCCTTGGTGCCATAAAGAAATAGCACTTGAACATAAATTTAATTTATTTAGTAAGGCCATTTTTACTTCCTGCAGAAAGGGTACACTTGCTAGCAGTTTTGCCACAAAAGTACACTGAACAAAGGAAACAGGGTCATTTATAACCTGACACATTCACCCTACTGCTGTGTCTGGTTTCCACTGGCTGGAGCGGGACCTCACATTCTGTATTTGTCCTGATTGGCTAGCAACTTAGAACTTTTTAAAAGAGGCAAAGGTAGAAGGGAACAAAGGAAGGAGGAAGTAACTTGTGGAATGCTGAGAAAGGTAAAAACACTTTCAAGTAAGGAAGAGGAACAGGCTATGACCTAATGCTTGCTTGGACCAGTATAAGCATGCTAGGGCAAATATTTAAGCTAAATTGTGGGAGCTAAGAACATAAAGTACATTGATTTCCTTATTATGGCTAGCAGATATTTAAGAATGTTAGCACAGGTCTTTCAATAAATTTTGCTTCTAAGAGAAGTTACTATTTATTCCTAATTAGATGGGGAGGAAAGTCTTTGAAAAGGAACCTCTACTTTACTTTTTACACATGGACACCCGCAAAATTGACTTTCTTCCCAATGTAATTACCTGTTTTCTTTTATTGCATTTGATCTTCAGCCTGAACCACCGCACATCTCCCACCCTTGTGTCTCCCCCTCCAGCTCTGTCGTCCTTCTCTGCTTGTCTCCTTTGCCTTGGTTTTCATTCAGCCAATGCTGCAAACCCCGCAACAGGCAGGCCCCGCATCAGGAAATGGGCCTACAGCGATGAACTGGCCAGGCTCTCTGCCCTCCAGGGAATCTTTGTGTCTAATTCTACTCCATGACTGGGTGCCTCTGCCTGTCTTCCCATCTGTGTGTCTTTCATATTCTGGAACCTGACCCTCCAAGTCTCTCTCTCTCTCTCCCTCTTTCTCTCTCTATCTCTCTTTCTCTCCTCTCTACTGTTGCTTCCCAACCACCCTCTCAGATGGTCTTTGTGGTCCCCACCATGCTACCTCCTCACCCCCTTCCTACCTCACCTTGCCTCACCTACTCTGTTGGAACCTGCCAGGGTTTAGGCATTCTGGATTAATTTAAGTAGTATTTAAAATTTCTTAATGATCAATTTGCTGAGTTATTTGTGGAATCCCTTAACATCGTGTCACTTGAATCAGTGTGACATTATTTCTCTGCCCTCTGTTCATTTTCCCTACTTCTTGCTGCTTGCTCTGCACTCTATTTGGCTAATATAAAAGCCTGTGGCAAACATCTCCAGGAATGGGAATCTTTATTGCTTTGACCATCTCATCCCCTTAAGGTAAAAACAAGACTATTCCTCCTTGCTTACCCCTCTAGGTAAGGCAAACTCACTAGAAATGACCTAGAAGTGTAAGAGTAATACATAATTCCAACTTGGTATTTATTTCCATGCTTTAACCAGGTATATTCTTACCTGAGCTGTCACATTTTATTTTATTTTATTTATTTTGAGATGGAGTTTGCTCTTATTGCCCAGGCTGGAGTATAATGGTGCCATCTCGGCTCACCAAAACCTCCGCCTCCAGGGTTCAAGTGATTCTCCTGTCTCAGCCTCCCAAGTAGCTGGGATTATAGGCATGCACCACCACATCTGGATAATTTTGTATTTTTAGTAGAGACAGGATTTCTCCATGTTGGTCAGGCTGGTCTCGAACTCCCGACCTCAGGTGATCCACCCGCCTCGGCCTCCCAAAATGTTGGGATTAGAGGTGTGAGCCACCTTGCCTGGCAGCTGTCACATTTTAGATGTTGATTTAGATCTTCTGGGAACAACTTTCAGTCTCCCAGTATGGAGATGAAGGCAAACCTCAAGATACATGCTACTATATGAATTACTTTTCAATAAAATTGCCCCAGCTGTGATAACCAAATCGCTTAAGGTATAGATGGGCTTATCATCTATTGTTTCCTAGCATCTATTCCTCCCTCTTTCCTAATCATCACTTTTGGAATTCCCTTTAGGAAACTACCCCTTGACCCAATTCTGGGCCATTTAGTCTATGGACTTGACCTGCATCCCCAGGTCTAAGGTGCGGTGTAAACTACTCAGCTCATTCTATCCCAGGAACACAGAGACAGTTCAGTCAGAAACATGACCTAAGCCAGAGCAATCAGGGGGAAGCACAGGACTTCTGCTAGGAATACTAGATCCCAGATTCTCTTTCCTTCTGTGTGTAATAAAAACCTTAGGAGCTGCTGCAGCCATCCCAGAACCGAACCGCTGCTGCAACAAATATGGAAGTGCAGATATCTCTTTGATATACTTATTTCCTTTCTTTTGAGTATATACCCAGCAGTAGGATTGCTGTATCATATGGCAACTCTATTTTTAGTTTTTTGAGGAACCTTCAAACTGTTCTCCATAGTGATTGTACTAATTTACATTCCCACCAACAGTGTGAGGGTTCCCATTTCTCCGCATCCTTGCCAGCGTTTGTTATTGCCTGATGATGTCTCATTGTAGTTTTGATTTGCATTTCTCTGAAGATCAAAGATGTTGAGCATCTTTTCATATCCCTGTTTGCCATTTGTATCTCTTGTTTTGAGAAATGTCTATTCAAATCTTTTGACCATTTTTTAATCAGATTTTTACTTTTTTTTTTTCCTACAGAGTTATTCAAGCTCCTTATATATTCTGGTGATTAATCCCTGTGAGATGGGTAGTTTGCAAATATTTTCACCCATTCTGTGGGTTGTCTCTTCATTTTGTTGACTGTAGCCTTTACTGTGCAGAAGTAGGGTGTTGAAGTCTCCAGCTATTATTGTTTTGGGGCCTATCTCTCTCTTTAGCTCTAATAATACTTGCTGGGTGTTCCAGTATTGGGCACACATGTATTTAAACTTGTTATATCCCTTTTAATAAACTTTCTACCCCTATCTCTTTCTCTACCTCCTCTTTAAGGCCAATAACTCTTAAATATGCCATTTTGAGGCTATTTTCTTGATTCTGTAAGTGTGCTTCCTTGTTTCTTATTCTTTTTTTTGTCTCCTCTGACTTTGTATTTTCAAATAGCCTGTCTTCAAGCTCATTAATTCTTTCTTCTGCTTGATCAATTCTGCTATTAAAGGACTCCAATGTATTCTTCAGTATGTCAATTGCATTTTCCAGCTCCAGAATTTCTGCTTGATGCTTTTTAATTATTTCAATATCTTTGTTAATTATTATTATTATTTTTGAGACAGAGTCTTACTCTGTTTCCCAGGCTGGACTGCAGTGGTGCAATCTCAGTTCACTGCAACCTCCGCCTCCTGGATTCAAGTAATTCTCCTGTCTCAGCCTCCCTAGTAGCTGGGATTACAGGCATGTGCCACCATGCCCGGCTATTTTTTTTTTTTTGTATTTTTAGTAGAAATAGGGTTTCACCATGTTGGCCAGGCTGGTCTCAAACTCCTGGCCTTAAGTGACCTACCTACCTTGGCTTCACAAAGTGCTGGTATTATAGGCATGGGCCACCATGCCCAGCCTATTTGTTAAACTTATCTGGCAGAATTCAGAATTCCTTCCCTGTGTTATCTTGAAATTCTCTGAGTTTCTTGAACACAACTATTTTGATTTCTGTCTGAAAGGTCACATATTTTTGTTTCTCTAGGATTGGTCCTTGGTGTCTTATTTAGTTCATTTGGTGAGGTCATGCTTTCCTTCTTTTTTTTTTTTTTTTTTTTTTTTGAGATGGAGTCTTACTCAGTCGCCCAGGCTGGAGTGCAGTTGTGCGATCTCAGCTCACTGAAAACTCTGCCTCCCAGGTTCACACCATTCTCCTGCCTCAGTCTCCCGTGTAGCAGGGACTACAGGTGCCCGCCACCACGCCCAGCTAATTTTTGTATTTTTAGTAGAGATGGGGTTTCACTGTGTTAGCCAGGATGGTCTCGATCTCCTGACCTCGTGATCTGCCCGCCTTGGCCTCCCAAAGTGCTGGGATTACAGGCATGAGCCACCGCGCCCAGCCAAGGTCATGCTTTCTTGGATGGTGTTGATGCTAGTAGATCTTTGGTGTCTGGGCATTGAAGAGTTAGGTATTTATTGTAGTCTTCACTGTCTGGGCTTTTTAGTAACCATCCTCCCTGGGAAGACTTTCCACACATTTGAAAGGGCTTGGGTGTGGTGATCTAAGCTATATCAGCTTTAGAAAGCACCCCAAGCACAGTAACACTGTGGTTCTTGCGGAATCATAGAGGTACTACCTTGATGGTCTTAGACCTGATCTAGGAGAATTCTCTGGACTACTAGGCAGAGATTCTTGTTTTCTTCCCTTACTTTCTCCCAAACAAATGGAGTCTCTCTCCCTCTGTTCTGAGCCACCTATAGCTGGGGGTAGATTAACACAAGCACACCTATGGCCACCACCACTATGGGTGTACTGGGTCAGACCTGAAACCAACATAGCTCTGGGTCTCACCCAAGGCCTGCTGTAACCACTCCCTGGCTACTGCCTATCTTCTCTCAAGGCCCTGGGGCTCTACAATCAGCAGGTGGCAAAAATCACCCAGGATTGTGTCCTTCCCTTCAGGACAGAGAGTTCCCTCAGGGCTCAAGTGGGTCCAGTTGTATTGTCCGGGAGTCAGGGGCTACAGTCAAAAACCTTATAAGTTTACCTGGTGTTCTATTGTACTGCAGCTGAGCTGGCACTCAAACCATGAGATGTAGTCCTTCCCACTCTTCTCTCCCCTTTCAAAGTTGGAGGAGCCTCCCCATAACTACAAGCCACAAAGAGAACTGCCAGATTACCAACAATGTTCTCTTAAGGCCCAAGGGCTCTTAAGTCAGCTGTGGTAAATGCTGCCTGGGCTGGGACTCACCCTTTAGAGCAGTGGGCTCCCCTTTGGCCCAGAGCAGATCCAGATATGCCATCCAAGAGTTAAGTTCTGGAATCAGGGACTCCAAGAGTCTGCTTGGTGCTCTATCCCTCTGTGGCCATGCTGGTACCTAAGGTGTAAGACAAAGTCCTCTTTACTTTTCCCTCTGCTTTTCTCAAGCAGAAGGAGTTTTGCCCTGTAGCCACCACAGCTGGTAATATGCTGAGTCTCACCTGAAGCCACCAAGTCTCAGAGGTTCACCCGAGGACTCGATGCAGTACCTGGGTATTGCTGCTTGTTACTCAAGGCCCAAGGGCTCTTCAGTGAGCAGGTGATGAATGCTGCTGGAACTGGGGCCTTTCCTTTAAGGCATCAGGTTCCCTTCTAGCCCAGGGTATGTCTAGAAATGTCATCTGGTAGCCAGGGCCTGGAAATGAGGCCTCACAACTCTTACCAGTACCCTATCCTGCTGTGGCTCATCTGGTATCCAGGATGCAAGACAAAGTCCTCCCCACTCTTCCCTCTCCTCTCCTCAAGCGAAAGGAAGGGGTCTTTTTTGGAGCCATGAGCTGTGCAGCCTGGGGTTAGGAAAAGGGTGATGCCAGCACTCCCTTGGCTACCCCAGCTGGTGCCTCAGTAGGTCACCTGTCCCCCTACTCTACTGTCTCTGGGCCAGTTCAGGAGTAGGACTCTTCTAAGAGTTGCTGTCCTTATGGCCTAGACTGCTTTTCAAGTTTATTTAGAGACTGAGAGCACTCTGGCCCTTGGAGGCGAGGTTTGCAGGCACTCACGTTTGGACTGCTGGGTAGGGCTGTTTTAAATGCTCCCTCCCTTGGCAGGCATCAGCTGGGTTTGGTCTGGTTTTCCTTTCTGCTCTAACAGGACAGCCCTGGGTTCAATGCCTCACAATTGCTATCCTCTCCCTCCCCCAGCACTCAGAGATGCTCTCTGCACCAGGTCACAGCTGCCAGGGATGGGGAAGGGGTGGCGTCGGCGATTCAGGACTTTTTTCTATCTCTTCAGTGCCTCTTTCAGCACTATGAAGTTAAAACCAGGTACTATGAGGGCTCACCTGATTTTTGATTATTATGAAGGTGTTTTTTCTGTGTATATAGTTGTTAAATTGGTGTCCTTGTTGGGGAGAGGATCCATGGAGCCTTTTATTCCACCATCTTGCTCCGCCTCTCCTAGATGTAATCTTTTAAAAGGTGAGGAGTATAGTAGAGTCCCATTTTTTACGGATTTCATATTTGAGAATTTGTTTACTTGCTAAAATTGATGTGTAACCCTAAAATCGATACAGCACTTTTAAGATCATTGACAGACATGCAGAGAGGGTGAAAAATTTGAGCTCCCCTAGGTGCACATTCCTGGCTGAGGCTAAGCAAGGTGATGCTCTGCCTTCTTGTTTCAGCTAATCCTGTAAGCAGTGTCCCTTTTGCAGTATATTCAGTGTCATGCTTTTTACATTTTTGTGCATTTTATTGGGATTTCTCTGTTTGAAATGGTCCCAGCCACAGTGCTAAAGTGCTGTCTAGTGTTTCTAAGGGCAGGAAGGCTGTGATGTGCCTTACAGAGAAAATACGCTTAGAGACCATATTTGGAAACACACAAAAGACAAGGGTATGTATTCATCAGCTGACAAAAATGTTATGACTAGAGGCTTGCAGGAATCTAATCCTGTCTTCCCTAGGAATAATGGTTTGGTGTTTGTAAATTCAGTCCTCAAGACATCTTTATAGAACATAACTAACTACTACTGTGAACAATGAGGAACAACTGCATGTACAAGGCAAACAGGAGTGACACGGCCCTTCTGACATCATAGCTTAGTCATTAACAGCTCATACTCTGGGTGGAAATAGCCTGGCTTTGAAGCTCAGGCCTACCACTTTTATGATGTAGTCTTGGGCAAATTACTAAACCTCCCTGGGCCTCACTTGCTCTGTGGGTAAACAGGATCATTGCGCTGGGAGGATTAAATGAGATTATCATATGCAGTTCCTGGCCACATTCAAGACACTCGATAATGGCAGTTAATGTTTTTGTTATTTTTATTGAATTTAAAGAGTCAGTCCAAGCATCCTGTTAAGTGGTTCAAAAGTGCTAAGAGGCCGGGCACTGTGGCTCACACTTGTAATCCCAGTGCTTTGGAAGGCTGATGCGGGTGCATCACTTGAGTTCAAGAGCTTGAGACCAGCCTGGACAACATGGTGAAACCTTGTCTCTACCAAAAATACAAAAAAATTAGCCAGGCGTAGTGGTGTGCACCGATGGTCCCAGCTACTTGGGAGGCTGAGGTGGGAGAATCGCTTGAGTCCGGGAGGTGGAGGTTGCAGCAAGGCAAGATCGTGCCACTGCATTCCTGCCTAGGTGACAGAGTGAGACCTCACCTAAAAAAAGAAAAAAAAAATACTAAGATTGTATAGGAAAGGAAGAAATCTCTCCCTATTACTGACCATTCAGTGGAGGAAGAAATGGTACGGAGTTTTCATCTGTGATATTCCTGCCAGACTGTAAGTTCTTTGAGGGCATGAACTGAGTCTTGTACACACCCCGGGAAATACCATAGCAAGCGAATAAGCTCAGAAAGAAGACCGTTCTGGGGAAGAATTGAGGCTCAGTCACTTGCTGATGTGTGAGCTTGGACAAATCACCTACCTTTGATTTTTTTCACCTGTAAATAGGGTAAAAATGAGAATGCCTACCTTTTAGGGATGGTGCCACTTGTAAGTACAATAATTCATGGAAAATGCCTCATATAATGCCTGGCACATGGGGCTTTCAGTAAATGTTTGTTTCTCCATTCCTGCAGCAGCCAGCCAGCTTCCTTGATTATAGTCCTGGCTCAATAAACATCTGCCAATTTAGCTCCTCCTTGAATTGGTGGGGCCCCAGGGCTCATGCTTGCTGAACTGGATGAATCTGCAGAAAAGACTTCTCTGAGGAGGAGCCTCTCCCTGAGTTCCCTATACCTTCTCTTAGGCCCCAGTCCAGGGGACAGCCCTCTACTCCTGTTACTTTCTGAATGGAACGTAGATACAAGATAGGGAAAAAAGCAATTTAAACCCAACATTCTTATGTGGACACCATTTGTGTGTAAAGTCTGTACCTGGCTATCTCCCTCTTCTGGATTTATCTTTGCATCTGACACAGCACCTATCAACCTTAGCAACTAATATTTGTTGAGCACTTAATATGTGTCATCAGGCAGTGTGTTAAACCCTTAATAAATATTAATCCATCTAAGCTTTATAACAAACCCTCTCAATAGGTACTATGATCATTGTTTTGCAGATGAGGAAATTGGGACCCAGGGAGATTAAGAAAAACCACTCAACACCACACAGCTAGCAAGTGCTAGACTGGGATTTGAACCCAGGCAGTCTGGCTCCAGAGCTCATGCTCTTAACCACTAAAGCTGGGCTGCCTCCCTCAATCCTTGCTACACATACTTGCTTGATAAATACGAGTTAAATGTCTGTTGAGTAAAAAGCAACAGGCCTGTCAACTAGCCATCATCCCATGTAGTCAATCTTTCCCCTCCATGCACAAAGGTAAAGATGAAAGGCATGCTTTGTTTCTTGCTCTGAAGGTCATCTGTCCTGGTTTTCCTCAAATTGAGCCTCAACTTCTTTAGAGCATCACTTCACCCATGCAATGTCCAAACAGGTCTTATTTCAAGTGTTTACTCTTCTGAACCCCAAGAAAATTTTAAATTATTCTCTTTTAAGCACTGATAATAAATCAATTTCCCACTATCTGTAAGCCTTGCTTCTTGGGAATAGACTCAGGAATTGGATGGACCATTTTTTCACATTGCTTCACGCTGACCTGCAGGATAGGCCTGGCATTGATGAGCCAAAGGACTAACGACGATCTTTGCAAAGCCAGCATCTGACAGGTCAGTAACTAGGAATATAGGAGTGGATGCCCTTCTGAAACTCCTCACAAGACAATCCAGGCCTCAAGTGTCCTGAAGTAAAATCAGTGTTTTCTTAGGAGCCTGATACTGAAAGGGATTCATCTTGGGCATCCCTTTCAGGGTCACAAGGTTTGCTGAAAGTTGTCTCTTTTATTATCTTTCAAAACTTTGATGCTTTCCCCTAAATGCCTTACAGTGCTGAGTGTATATGAAAAAACCCATTCAGAATGACTCATACCACAATTATACTTGGACTCAGAGACAGACCTTGGGATTAAGCTTTTAATCTATTCATTACAGGGGAGAAAAAAAATCCTTTCCATTGCTGCAAATCTCCTTAGGCCTTGTGATTGCTTCTAGAAAAAGATGATCCTATTTGAAGAAATACTGTATTTTATAAAACAGTATTGAGTTACATTTGACCTGCAGATATTTAGAATTTGTTGTTGTTAGTCTAAGAATGGGTTATAGGTGACACACATTTATTTGCAAATGTATTAAATGTATCTTGCCCATCTTTTGGTGATATCTGCAATTCTAATAAAGAACTTTTAATGGATCCTATATCTCTTACATTTCTGCCATCAATTGGGCATTTAGTCATAGTGACTTTTAGTGTCTCTTATATTCTTGTAGGGTTAATTAGCCCCCGACTTCATGTGTATGTCTATTGCCCCCCACCAAGTAGTCTATAAGTTAATTAAATCAATGATCATGCTCCTTTGATCCTCAATCAGCAGTTCAGCTTATATACAGAGGACAGCAAATTATGTATTGCTCCCAAAGACCTAGTTAAGTATTTTCCAGGCCCAATTATACAGCAGACGAATAGAGAACAAGTAGGCTTTAGTTTCTTATGCTGCCCAACTTATGGGGTGTAGAGATTGTGTCTGTAAAAAATTTAACAAGCACAAGGCTCAAGGAGGGAGCTGGGGAACTGGTCAGCTGATAGGAATAACAACAATAATGTAACTGCACCACCACATCCTTCAGTGGCTGGAAGGGCTTGCCAGCACGTGCTTCGCCTGACAGTGGCTTCCTGGTGGCTGTTGACAAACACACCCAAGTAGAGAGGATGGTACCAAACACAGCTGAACTAATCGCCTTTCGGATCAATCAGAATAAGTATCTGAGGAGCTCCCTCAAGCCCCTTCTTTCTAGTCTTTCTCTCTCTCTTCTCCCACCTCATTTCCCTCAGTCTTTTTTTACCCTTCATGTTTCTCCCTTCTCCCAAACATAGTTTCTAAATATGTAAGACAAACCAGCCTTTCTCTGTCTAATAATGATTGCCTTTCACAGCAGACCTTCAAATTCTTACACTGAATGATCCCTTTCCCACCAGAGGGGAAGATGACAAGAAACTAGAAATCCAGGCTGGCCAAATGATAACATCAAAATCACGATTACCATCATCATCATCTACATTCTCTACCAGGAGCCCTAGGAGAAAAGAGGGAAGGAGAGGGAAGGAAGAACGAGGAGTTGAGCTAAGAAGGAAGAGAAAAAAATGGAGGGAAGGGAAGGAGGAGGAATAGAAGAAGGAGGGGAAAGACAAGAAAGAGCAAGAGAAGGAAATGGAAGAGGAGGAAAAGTGGGAGGAGTAGAAGAAGGAGAAAACTGAGAAACAGAGGAAAGAGAGGGAGAAGAAGAAGAACATGCAAGAGGAAGAGGTAGCAACCTTGGGACTGGCCAGGCAATGAGATAGTGTCCCCCGGCCCTCAGCCCTGATAGGGGAATGCCATTCTAGAGCTCACAAAGGGTTGAAAGCAGGTAATTACCACCACAATGCAATCTGCCAGTCCACTGGACTGTTCTGTAGCCATTTAAATCTGGATCACCCTGTCCCCAGAAATAGGATGAGGATGCTAACAGCCCTCAATTATAGAGCCCTTTTTACAGGCCAGCACTCTGCTGGCTGGCAGCAAACAAACCATTTCACCTCTCTAAACCTCAGCTTTTTGTCTACAAACAAGGGGGTAGGTGTGGTACCTATCTCACAGGTCTGCTATAAGGAGTAAGAACACATATAAAGCAGAAGGTACCATGCCTGGTGCAATGTAAGCTCTCAAGAATACCAGCCCCTGGTATTATATGTAGGGCTGCCCCTTCCAGGAGTTGTGGGTTGGGTAAGCAAGGAAACCTGTTTGGTGTGTAGATCCAGCAAAGGTACAGGTGAATTAGTACTGATAAACTGCAAAAAGGTACGTATTCAATTCCTGGTTCAGTTACCACATCCTGTACAAAGTATGGGCCTGGGGAGAGTCATTGTTCAGGTTAGTTAAAACTCTGCTTCTCAAACATGTATGTTCATGAATCACCCTGGGATCAAATGGTCTGGGTGATCCCTGAGCCTGGATCTGAGATTCTGGGCCTAAGATTCTACATTTCTAACAGGTTCCCAGGGAATGCTGATGCTGCCGTTGCATGGGCAACCCTGTGAGCAACAGAGAGCTAACTGATAGATCCGGTGTAACAGAGCCGATTGCAACATCAAAGCCATGCAGAAATAAAGTCAAGACACATGACCACTGGTTACTTCCCAGTGCTTACTCAGTCTTTTAATTATGGGGGCAAAGGCCCATCTGAATGAGTGGGAAGCTTGAGTAATGAAACTTACCAAGAAAAAGGAAGGAAAAAAGGAAGGTAGGAGGGAAGGAAGGAAAGAAGGGAAATGAAATCGAAGTGAATGACTTCTAAGGCTACACAATACAAGAAAAGAAGAATTAACAGAATTTTGCCTACTAGAGATTAGTTCTATTGAATCTACTTGAATAAATACATTTAAATCATTTGAAATTAACCAACTGTTCATCAAATAGAGACTGCCAAAGCTCTTGGAAAATATTTTTTTAAAGAGTACTTAACATCTCTTCACCTGAGTCCTATTTACATATTAAATTTGCTTAGCAGATCCAAAGGCAAAGACTAATCCCAATAAAAATAACCACACTTTCTTCTGAATTGAACTAACCACATATGAACAACTCAATTCAATCCACCAGACAGTGTCTGAACATCCTGTATTGTGCTAAACACCATTGTGCTAAACAATGTCCTGGGGATAAAGAGAAAAAAGACACCAAAGAACATTCTCAGGAGCTCAGGGTCTACTAGTGGAGACAGACAATGACGCCTTTCACTCTGTGATGATGGTAAGCACGCAGTGGCTACAGAATACAGAGAAGCCACACATCTCTCAGCCTGGAGATAAAGAGGAGGGCAGGCAGGGAAGGAATAGATCAGGAAAGGCTTCCTGGAGGAGGTGATTTGAGTGCTGTCCTGCCCCTGTAATGGCCAAACATCCTTCTGGCTGTTCATTCCTCAAGTCCCCAAAACGGGATCTAGGAAGATGAGTAGCCTGTGGTCAGAAGAGCAAAGTTTCTGGAGCCCTCTGACCTCCACAGCAAGGTGTGAGACATCTTCAGTTCCTTGCCCCTTAGAGACCTGCAAAAAGACTTAAATAACTACACAATAATAGAGACCTCAACATCCCACTGACAGTGTTAAATCATCAAGGCGGAAAACTAACAGATATTCTGGACCTAAAGTTGACACTTGACCAATTGGGCCTAATAGATATCTATAGAATACTCCACCTCAAAATAACAAACTATACATTCTTCTCATCTGCACATGGCACATACTCTAAGGTCAACCACATGCTCAACCATAAAGCAAATCTCAACAAATTTTTAAAAATTGAAATTATACCAGCCATACTCTTGGACCACAGTACAATAAAAACAGAAATCAGTACCAAGAAGATCTCTCAAAACCATACAATGCATGGAAATTAGGCAACTTGGCTCCTGAATGACTTTTGGGTAAAGAACAAAATTAAGGCAGAAATTTTTTAAAAAAATTGAAACTAACGAAAACAGAGAGACAACAAAACATAATCTTTGGGGCCGGGCACAGTGGCTCATGCCTCTAATTGAAATCAGGAGTTTGAGACCAGCCTGGCCAAAACGGTGAAACCCTGTCTCTACTAAAAATACAAAAAATTAGCCAGGCATGGTGGCACATGCCTGTAATCCCAGCTACTCAGGAGGCTGAGGCACGAGAATCGCTTGAACCTAGGAGTTGGAGGTTGCAGTGAGCCAAGATCACGCCATTGCAGTCCAACCTGGGCAAGAGAGGGAGACTCTGACTCAAAAAAATATATAATAATAATCTTTGTGACACAGCTAAAGCAGTGTACAGAGAAAAATTTATAGCATTTAATTGCCTACATCAAGAAGTTAGAAAGATCTCAAATTAACTACCTAACATCACACCTGGAGGAACTAGAAAAACCAGAGCAAACCAATCCCAAAACAGCAGAAAAAAAGAAATGACTAAAATCAGAGCAGAACTGAAAGAAATTAAGATGTGAAAATCCATACAAAAGATCAATGAAACCAAAAGTTGGCTGTTTGAAAGAATTGACAATATTTATAGACTGCTAGCAAGACTAAAAAGAAGGCCAAGCATGGTGGCTCATGCCTGTAATCCCAGCACTTTGGGAAGCCAAGGCAGACAGATCACTTGAGGCCAAGATTTCAAGACTAGCTTGGCCAACGTGGCAAAACTCTGTCTCTGCTAAAAAGAAAAACAACAACAACAACAAAAACCAAACCAAAACAAAACAAAAAAGCCCAGAGGAAAGAAGAGAGAAAATCCAAATAAGCACAATCAGAAATGAGAAAGGTGACGTTACAACCAACTCCACAGAAATGCAAAAATCCTCAGATTATTATGAACACCTCTATGCACTCAAACTAGAAAATCTAGAAGAAATGGATAAATTCCTGGAAACATACAACCTCCCAAGATTGAAGCAGGAAGAAACCGAAATTCTGAACAGACCAATTAACGAGTTCTGAAATTGAATCAATTAAAAACTTACCAACCAAAAAATGCCCTGGACCAAAAGGATTCACAGCCAAATTCTACCGGGTGTACAAAAGAGAACTAGTCTTGGCCAGGCACAGTGGCTCATGCCTGTAATCCCAGCACTTTGGGAGGCCAAGGCGGGTGGATCACCTGAGGTCAGGAGTTCGAGACCAGTCTGACCAACATGGTGAAACCCCGTCTCTACTAAAAATACAAAAAAGTTAGCTGGGCATTGTGGCACATGCCTGTAATCCAGGCTACTCAGGAGCCTGAGGCAGGAGAATCACTTGAACCTGGAGGCAGAGGTTGCAGTGAGCCAAGATCGCCCCATTGCCCTCCAGCCTGGGTGACAAGAGTGAAAATCCATCTCAAAAAAAAAAAAAAATGCTAGTCTCAATCCTACTGAAATTATTCCAAAAAATTGAGGAGAAAGGACTCCTTCCTACCTCATTCTTCAAAGCCAGCATCATTCTAATACCAAAACATGGCAGAGACACATGAAAAAAGAAAACTTCAAGTCAATGTTCCTGATGGACATAGATGCAAAAACCCTCCAACAATATACTATCATGCTGAATCCAGCAGCACATCAAAAAGTTAATTCATCATGATCAAGTAGGCTTTATTCCTGGGATGCAAGGTTGGTTCAACATATACAAATAATAAACATGTTTCACCACATAAATAGAACTGAAAACAAAAACCACATGATCACCTCAATAGATGCAGAAAAGGCTTTTGATAAAATTCAACATCCCTTCATGTTAAAAACCATCAAGAAATTAGGCATCAAAGGAACATACCTCAAAATAATAACAGGCATCTGTGACAAACCCACAGCCACATTATATTGAATGGGCAAAGGCTGTAAGCATTCCCCTTGAGAACTGGAACAAGATAAGGATCCCCAGTCTCACCACTCTTATTTAACATAGTACTGGAAGTCCTAGCCAGAGCAATCAAGCAAGAGAAAGAAATAAAAGGTACCTAAATAGGAAGAGAGGAAGTCAAATTATCTCTCTTTGCAGACAATATGATTCTACACCTATACTCTAAAGACTCTGCCAATAGGCTCCTAGAACTGATAAATGACTTCAGTAAAGTTTCAGGGTAAAAAATCAATGAACAAAAATCAATAGCATTTCTGTAAGATAATATTCTGAGAGGCAAATCAAGAATGCAATTCCATTTACAATAGGCGCACACAAAAAAGAATAAAATACCTAGGAATACAGTTAACCAAAGAGATGAAAGATCTCTACAATGAGAATTACAAAACACTGCTGAAAGAAATCAGAGATGACACAAACGAAAAAACATTCTGTGCTCATGGATTGAAAGAATCAGTATTGATAAAATGACCATACGGCCCAAAGCAATTTACAGATTCAACACTATTCCTATCAAACCACCAATATCATTTTTCACAGAATTAGAAAAAACTATTCTAAAATTCATATGTAACAAAAAAAGAGCCTGAATAGCCAAAGCAATCTTAAGCAAAAAGAACAAAGCTGGAGGCATCATATTACCTGATTTCAAACTATACTACAAGGCCACAGTAACCAAAACAGCATGGTACTGGTACAAAAACAAATAAATAGACCAACGGAGCAGGATAGATAATCTAGTAATAAATCCATACACCTACAGCCATCTGATCTTCAACAAAGTTGACAAAACAAGCAATGGGGAAAGGACTGCCTATTCAATAAATGGTGCTGGGACAACTGGCTAGCCATATGCAGAAGACTGAAACTGGATCCCTACCTTTCACCATATACAAAAGTTAACTTAAGATGGATTAGGCCAGGCACGGTGGCTCAAGCCTCTAATCCTAGCATTTCGGGAGGCCAAGGCAGGTGGACCACCTGAGGTCAGGAATTTGAGATCAGCCTGGCCAACATGGTGAAAACCCGTCTCTACTAAAAATACAAAAATTAGCTGGCCGTGGTGGTGCATGCCTGTACTCCCAGCTACTTGGGAGGCTGAGGAGGGGAGTTCGCTTAATCCCGGGAGGCAGAAGTTGTGGTGAACTGAGATCATGCCACTGCACTCCAGCCTGGGCAACAGAGTAAGATTCTGTCTCAAAAAAAAAAAAAAAAAAAAAAAAAAGATGGATTAAAGACTTAAATGTAAGACCTAAAACTATAAAACTCGTAGAAGAAAAACTAGGAAATACCATTCTGGACATTGGCCTTGGCAAATAATTTATGACTAAGTCCCCCAAAACAACAAAAAGAATAAAAATTGGCCAGGCATGGTGGTTAACGTCTGTAATCCCAACACATTGAGAGGCTGAGGTAGCTGAGCCCAGGAGTTTGAGACAGCCTGGGCAACATGGTGAAACCCCATGTCTACAAAAAATACAAAAATTAGCCAAGTGTGGTGGCACATGTCTGTAGTCCCAGCTACTTGGGAGGCTGAGGTGGGAGGATCACTTGAGCCCGGGAGGTGGAGGTTGCAGTGAGCCGAGATCAAAACACTGCACTCCAGCCTGGGTGACAGAGTGAGACTCTGTCTCAAAAAAAAAAAAAATTGGACAAGTGGGACCTAATTAAACTAAAGAGCTTCTGCACAGCAAAAGAAACTGTCAACAGAATAAACAGACAACCTACAGAATGGGAGACAATATTAGCAAACTACGCATCCAACAAAGGTCTAAGAATCTATTGGAACTTAACCCCATTAAAAATGGGCAAAGGACATGAACAGACATTTCTCAAAAGAAGACATATATGCAGCCAACAAATATATGAAAAAATGCTCAACATCACTAATCAATAGAGAAATGCAAATCAAAATCACAATGAGATACCATCTCACACCAGAGTCAGAATGGCTGTTATTAGAAAGTCAAAAAATAGGCTGGGCATGGTGGCTCACACCTGTAATCCCAGCACTTTGGGAGGCTGAGGCAGGCAGATCACTTGAGGCCAGGAGTTTGAGACCAGCATGGCCAACATGGAGAAACCCTGTCTCAACTGAAAATACAAAAATTAGCCAAGTGTGATGGCACATGCCTGTAATCCCAGCTACTTGGGAGGCTGAGGCACAAGAATTGCTTGAACCTAGAAGTGGAGGTTGCAGTGAGCTGAGATCTTGCCACTGCACTTCAGCGTGGGCAACAGTGCAAGACTCTTGTTTCAAAAAAAAAAAAAAAAAAAGAAAAAAACCCAAAACCACCCCCTCCAAAAAAGTTAAAAAATAACAGATGTTGATGAGATTACGGATAAAAGGGAACGCTTATACACTGTTGGTGGGAATGCAAATTATTTCAAGCCACTGTGGAAAGCAGTTTGAAGATTTCTCAGATAACTTAAAATGGAACTACCATTTGGCCCAGCAATCCCATTACTGGGTATATACCTAAAGAAAAATAATTATCCTACCAAAAAGATACATGCACTCAGTATGGTCATCACAGCACTATTCACAATAGCAAAGACATGGAATCAACCTAAATGCCCATCAATTGTGGACTAGATAAAGAAAATGCAGTACATATACACCATGGAATACTATGCAGCCATAAAAAAGAACAAAACATGTCCTTTGCAGCAATATGGATGCAGCTGGAGGCCATTATCCTAAGCAAATTAATGCAGGAACAGAAAACCAAATACTCCATGTTCTCACTTATAAGTGGGAGCTAAACACTGACACAAAGATGAGAACAATAGACGCTGAGGACTACTAGAGTGGGGAAGGCGGAATAGGGTGAAGGCTGAAAAACTATCAGGTACTATGCTCACTCCCTTGGTGTTGGGATCATTTGTACACCAAACCCCAGCCACACACAATTTACCCATTAACAAACCTGCACATGTACCCCCAAACCTAAAATGAAAGTCAACAAATTTTTAAAAAGTTAACAAAGAAGGCCACAAAATATCATGTCCGCTGAGAAGAGGGGTCTTGTTCCCTCTCCTCGAATCTGGGGAGGGGGAGCTCTGTTGATTATGTGACAGAAGACAGCAGGATGACGCTGTGCCAGTTTCCAGGCTCGAGTTAAAAGATCAGTTCCTTCCTCTTTCTGTCGCTTGGATCCCTTACTCTGGGCCTGGTGCTCCAAGAATAATACATATTCACGGGTACAAATATTCTTAGTACCACTGAATAACCTCAGTGGGCACCACGAAGAGTAGACCTACCCAGCTGAGCTCTGCCCAGATTCCTGATTCACAAAAACATGACATAAACTAACAGTGTTTTAAGCCACAGCAATAAATATCAGGAACAAACAGTATTTTAACATCTTTTTGTTCAGTAGTTTATAATTCCTGGTTTTTTATTTAATAGTAGAAATCTCTTTTCCAATAAAATCTCATGTGGAACTCTGATATGTAAAGGAGTTCAAGGGGACTTGCTTTGCCTGAAGTCAGGATAGGGGACCTGAACTTCTTAAGACTCCTTATCTCTGTCCCACGGCTGAGACATGTCTGATAAATGGAGGGATCCTCAGGATAGAATTGAAGATAACAGATCTAGTCCTGCTCTTCCTTTTACAAAGACTATACTTGAGGTCCAAGGGTTAAATAGCTTGCTTTACATATGCTGTTCTCAAAGTGTGGTCCCAGGACCAGTAGAATCAATACTATCTGGAAACTTGCTGGAAATGCATATTCTTGAGCCAAACCCCAAAGCTACCAAATCAAAAATTCTGGGTGTAGGGCCCAACAAGCCATCCAAGGGATTCCAATGCAAGTGAAAGTTTGAGAATCACTGCTCTCTATCACAGAGTGAGGTGATTACCAAGGAAATACTTTGAATTGATCAGACCTGGATTTGAATCCCGGCCGCTTCTTAATTTTGTGAACTTGGGCAAGTTACTTAATGTCCCAGCCTCAGTTTCCCTATCTGGAAAAAGAAGAGAGTAATAACTACTGTCTATTCCCCTTTCTATTCCCACTCTCTCCTGTGAAGATACCAGTCCTTTTTTTTTTGTGATGGAAAAGGAGAGAGGGAAGCCCAAAGCTGATGGGATGACTCAGCCCAACCAGAGGAGTGAGTGGGGGCTATTTCCTGAGCCTGGGGTTATGGGGTTCCCTTCTAAGCATCCTTGAGCAATTCAAAGAGAGCAGGTGAAGCAATAAGGATATGTCACCACTGAGATTTAATTCACACTGACTGGCTGGATCAAAATTTCTGAGAGAGGCCCTGGTGTCTCTTGCACACAGACTCAAATTCACCATTGTGTAGGAATGTCTCTCCAGGTCTCATGCCTCTGTCTGCAGCACCATCCCAAGAGCCCTCCACCCCTCCCAGGTCCTTCCCCAACCTTCCCCCAAGATGGAGCAAGCCAGACCACAGCTGGTTCCGCCTCTAATTACTGTTTTCTTCATTAGCCTGTTTTTCCTTCTTTCTCACTATAATGTCAATTCCAGAAGGAGGAGGTTGTCAGGGCAACCCAGAGTGGAGGCGAGAAGTCCATCCTTGACCGAACCTTAACACTGTTTGGTTAAACACCCACAGGGTTCTTGCATACCCTCTGTTTCCTGGTAGCAAGAATGTAACATTTTAACATTTTCTGATTTTCTCTTCTCTCCCTCTAATAATCTCTCTCTCTCCCTCTGCAAAGTCAGCCTGATCTGTGTATATTTTCCTGAATTTAGAAGCTCAATTCCTTTTGTTTCTAATGACGTTGATACTTTCTTCTCCCTGATACAGTAGATCAAGACCCTCCCAATACCCCCACTGATCAGCACTGCCCACACCATCCTCCCTAACATGGCTGGGGGAGGGAATAGATGAGGCCAAGCACCGGGAGAGCCCGAGTGTATGGGGTGGACACATGCAAATCAGAGCTGGTGGTGTTAATGGTTTTATTAATCTCTGTTTCTCTGGCCCACATTCTCTCCATTACAAAACTCGAATGTTGGTGCTGAGTTGCCACAATTAAGTTATGATGGCAATTAAAATGATATGAAAATGGTGTGTAGAGAAAAATATCAGAATACAGACACACATTATGTTTAAGAGAGGAGATGATGATTTTTTTTGTACTTTTATGTATTTCCTGAAAAAAATTTTTTTTTTGAAACAGGGTCTCACTCTATTGCCCAGGCTGGAGTCCAGTGGTGCAATCACAGCTCACTGCAGCTCAAGCAATTCTCCCACCTCAGCCTCCCAAGTAGCTGGGACCACAAGCACCCACCACCATGCTTGACTAAATTTTTTTTTTAAGAGATGGGGTCTCCCTATGCTGCCCAGGCTGTTCCTAGACTCCTAGGATCAAGGGATCCTCTCACTGCAGCCTCCCAAAGGGCTGAGATTACAGGCATGAGCCACTGCACCCTGCCATGTAAATTTCCTGAAATTTTTAAATGATAAGCATATATTACTTTTTTACTTTGTTTTAGAAATAATTATAGATTTATAGGAAGTTACAAAAATAGTACAGAGAGGTTTTATGTACCATTTATCCAGGCATATATTGCTTTTATGATAAAAATAAAGATATTTTATTTTATTTTTTTCTTTTAGAGATAAGGTCTTGCTCTGTCATCCAAGCTGGAGTGCAGTGGTATGATCATAGTTCATTGTAACCTCGAACTCCTAGGCTCAAATGATCTTCCTGCCTCAGCCTCCCAAACACCTGACTACAGGCACCTGCCACCACATCCAGCTATTTAAAAAATAATAATTTTTGGTCTTGAACTTTTGTTGTCAAATAACCCTTCTACCTTGGCCTCCCAAAATGCTGGGATTATAGGCATGAGACATCATGCCCAGCAAAAGTGAAGATACTTTAAAAATACTACCATACATAAAGCAGCCAACTTGAGAGAATTCCCAATGGCCAAATCTGAGCTAATTTGAGCAATAAATAATGATAGGAAAGGATTATCATCTATAAAATAAAATAAATATCCATGAGTCCATATTGATAGAAATAAATACTTGAATAAATACAAAATGAGAAGGGATAGCTCCTCTTTACAGTAGGATTCCAATTTAAAATGTAGACAGAATGATGGAGATAGGAAATCAGCATTAGGCAAATAGCACAGTAATAACTGTTGTCATAAACCATCAATAAATACTAAAATTACAGGCATGAGCCACTGCACCCTGCCATGTTCCAGGCACTGGAGATACAAAATTGAACAAAGGCTTGGTTACCGCACTCAATTACTCCCGGCAATGCTGGTATCCCCAGTCCTGAATGAAGTTGTGGCTTCCTGCTAACTGCCATGCGAGGGAGCCTTTTTGGGAGCAGATCCTTGAGTCCCAGTCAAGCCTTCAGATGGCTACAGCTCTGGCTGGGCAAAAGAGTGATGAGAAACAGGATATCTGCATAGTCTCAAAGTATCTTGCCACAAGATAATTATCAATTACAAAGGGAAAACAGAAAGGGAGCAGACATAACCTTAGCCAAATTATCAAGGTCAACATCACCAGTACTAAGACATGTTGCTACCATGTGTCTCTAATATGATTCACAATATCACTTCTGTTGTGTTCTTATCCAAAATGCATTACCTCAGTCTAATCATGACAAAACCTCAGACAATCCCAAAAGGGATCAATGGAAAAATCCTTCTTTCTTTCTCTCCCTGATCATTGAAGGTCTTCATATGGCTCCTCATGAGGAACATTCCACAAAAT
This sequence comes from Homo sapiens, assembly GCF_000001405.40. Taxonomy (NCBI): domain Eukaryota; kingdom Metazoa; phylum Chordata; class Mammalia; order Primates; family Hominidae; genus Homo; species Homo sapiens. The sequence continues at coordinate 45,352,978 of NC_000003.12, read as the reverse complement.
AACTGACCAGCACTCTTCAGAAGTGGCAAGGTCAGAAGAGACAAGGCGAGACTGAGGAGCTGTCCCAGGCTAAAGGAGGCTAAGGACACAGGACAACTAAATGCAATGTGGAGTCCTGGATAGGATCCTGAACTAGTAAAAGTACATAGGTGGAAAAACTAAGACTGTATCAATTAGAGTTCTCGATTGTAAGCAACACAAACCAACTTTGGTTAAACAAGATTTATTGGAAAAGCATCAGCGTGCAAAGGAGGAGCCTGGAGTTGAACTAAGGCAGACCGGCTCCAGAGACCCAGCTCCTAACTGTTATATTTTACTTCCTTTTGACAAATAAATAAGCATTTATTGAGGCTTTCTGTGTTCCAGGCCCCGGAGATACAAAATTGAACAAAGACTTGGTTACTGAACTCAATTACTCCGGACAATGCTGGTATTCCCAGTCCTGAATGAATGCCATGCTCCAGGCAGGTGCTTAATAAATGGCAATTGAAGGAATCCATCAACCATTGTGGTAACTAGCATCCAAGATGATCTCCACTTCCATTGAGTAGTCCTTCTCTATACTGAATAGCATCCTGCTGGACTAATATAAGAGGGTGGAAGTGATGGTATATGATTACTGAGGCTATGTCAATCTCCTTTTCAAGGGTCACCTGCTCTGGGGCAGCTAGCTACCATGTCACAAGGACACTCAAGCAGTTCAGTTTTACATGGTGAGAAGTTGTGGCTTCCTGCTAACTGCCATGTGAGGGAGCCTTTTTGGGAGCAGATCCTTGAGTCCCAGTCAAGCCTTCAGATGGCTACAGCTCTGGCTGGCACCTTGATTCAACATTGTGCAGAACCCTGAGTCAGAACCACCTAGCTAAAGTGTTCTTCAATTCTGGACCCACCAAAACCATGGGAGATAATATTTATGATTGTTTTTGGTAGCTAAGTTTTAGGGTAATTTTTTGTGCTGCAATACATTAATGATACACCCATTTGATGAATAACTGTCAAACCACCTCTTACCTTCCTGTGTCCTGGGCTTCCTATTATAGCATTGTCATGACAATATTTGATCGTTTACATGCCTGTGTCCACCAGATGGCCTGAGGACAGGGATGGTCCTTTATTTCTGGGTCTCCAGTGCCTGGTGCCGTACTTGACATACAGCGGGTACTCAATAAATACTTGTTGAATGGATGAGAAGTGGAGAAGGCAGTCCTAATCCTGTCTTTATCCAGGGTTCTCTAACAATCCTACTAAATATTGTCACTGGGGAGAAGGAAAAGGGATAGATTTTCTTTAGAACCCTGAAATCAGTAAGTTTTTTTTCATTCCTTGACTTCCAATCATCAACCTGTTCCAAAGATGTCTGTGTTCCAAAGATAGCTGAAATAGAAGCAGAAATGTTTAGCACTGAGATTAATGTCCTCCCACTCCCCACATGGGTTGAGGAAAGGCAATTCCTTACATGCTACAAAGGTATAAAATGACCCTTCATAGGTCATTTCAGCGGGCTGACTTGTCACTGGTTTGTAAATGACACAATGTGTAGAAACTAGTTATATTCAAAATGTGCCTCTTTCCATCTACTTAGAAAATTAACAAGCAACCATTAAAACTTATGAGAAATATTGATCAATATGGAAAATATATAATGTTCAGTGAAAAAGCCAGTAATAAAATTACATGTGCATCACAAAGACTGTATTGAACACCTCTTCAGGTCCTCTTGGCCCCACCTATCTCTTAGTCTAGCCACTGCTGGAGTAACCAGTTGTGGGTCAATTCCAGTCAGCTTCTCACCGGTGCACCCTGATAAATGCCCCATTTCTCTAGCCTCTCACCTTGGGGCTTCTCTGTTGACATCATTGCCTGGACTTAGAGGAAATCCACTCAGCACTGATGCAAGGGCAGTCCAGAAGTGTGGCGGAGTCAACACCCCATGGGGAAAGCCTTTGACAAATGGGGGCTGGGAAGCCATGGAAAAATGCTTCCTTCTTTCTTTCCTCGCTCATTGATGTGGCTCCTCAGATGGTTCTGAGTTGTACTCAGCTGTGGCCAGTTCCATCATTCAGCCTTGTCTGCTTTGCTCCCTCACCGTTTGCTTTTGCTCCCTGGAATCACATTTGTCAATAAAATACTTGCATGGAAACCTTTGTCTCAGTCTCTGCATTCTGGGGAAACCAGGCCAAGACAAACCTCACGACGTTAGAATAAAACTTATTTATAGGGACAGAGATGACAGGAAAAGCACAAATATGATGGCAGTGGTTGTGTTAGGGTGGGGGTATTATGAGTGTTTTTTTATTTTCTTTTCTCTATTTAAAAATTTTTCTTAAATGAAACTTAACTTCTATAATTAAGAAATTTACATTTAAAACATTATTTCCATTTCATAAGTCATTGTCAGAAATGGTACTGAACTAGACAGAAGCACTGACAGAATGTCATTCAGAGACCTCTGCTCGGATGTTAATTATCTTCCTTAAGGAGTGGGGGCAAGGGAGAGACTCTGGGAAGGCATATTGCTGGGGGAGAATACAGGGAGTTGAATTAATTGGCCAGAGTGTTGCTAAGGAGAATCTATCCTCTCTACTCTGTCGTTCTGAGTTTGGCATGGAGCATTTTGCAGCATTTTGACCAGCTCTATTTTTGGCATTTTCTTCCACTTAAAAAGTCTCTATTAATGTTGAGGTATTTTAACGTCCCAGGAACATTTAAGGAAAAGCTCTTCAGCTCCTTTGAGGTCTCCCTGTCCCACCTAGTCAATGGCCAAGGTTAGGGCTGGAGTCCCGGGTCGGGGAGCGGGAGGCGGGGAAACGAGGCAGGAGATGGAGGTGCCTGTGGAAGATCATCACCTGTGGAGGTTCCTATGGGTAAGAACCATCAAGGCAACATCTTTTGGGTAGGGAAAAAGCCCTGGAGCCTGAAGAACAGGTCAACAGAGGTAGGTCTGGAGTAGGGGTAGGGCAGGGAAAGCAGGGATGTCCCCTGTGGGCTGGCTGGCGTCCTAGAGAACTCTACCTCCAGGCTGGCCCTGGTAGCTGGGGCTGGTTTTAAGAGCAAAGGACACACTTAAGGCTGTCAACTCTAGTCAAAGAAGGAAGGCAGAGATCTGGAAATTTCTTTTTTTTTTTTTTTTTTTGAGATGGAGTTTCACTCTGTCACCCAGGCTGGAGTGCAGTGGCACGATTTCAGCTCACTGCAACCTTCACCCTCCGGGTTCAAATGATTCTCCTTCCTCAGCCTCCTGAGTAGCTGGACTACAGGCACCTGCCACCGCGCCTGGCTAATTTTTTGTATTTTTAGTAGACATGGGGTTTCACCATCTTGGCCAGGCTGGTCTTGAACTCCTGACCTCATGATTCACCCACCTCGGCCTCCCAAAGTGCTGGGATTACAGGCATGAGCCACCACGCCTGGCCTGAGGTCTGGAAATTTCAACCCCCAAACCCTTTCGATGCCTGCGTTTTCTAGCAATGTTTCCAGAGTCACCCAAATTTGTTGATTTTGCTTTTCTGCTCTGATTTGGGAAATGCGCCCACAAAATTTCTGGCATTCCAGAAAGCCAGATGACAGGGCTTAGGGTAGCATGTTGAGAACCGTCCAAGCTTCCCTTCATTTCTGAAGGCCTCTCAAAGTGGGAGAAAATAACTGGAAGGGGCCGCCACGAGACGGGGACACCTAAAGGGAAACAACAAGGCGCCAGTGAGGGAAAGCCAGCCGGGGAAGCAGCCTCCAGTACACACTCACCCCTACAATCACATACAAACATATGCAAGTTCGTGGTGTGCAGGTCAATATTTAACAATCAGCCCTCTGGAGTGGCAGGGGTGACTTGTTTGCTGATTTCCATGGAGTAAATGTACTCCCTCCATGGCCAAATTGAAGAGATCCACGGTTTAACACCAGTTTGCAAAATTCCCAAACAGTTAACAATTGGCTCTTTTGAAATGTCATGAATCAGCTGCAACACACCACTGTACAAGCCAGTTCAGCAGCACTGACTTGTCCCCTTAGGCACCCAGCATGTGCTAGGTACGAACTGAAACAACTGCCATGCGGTGGGCTGTTATTAGTATTATACAGATGGAGACATTTAGGCTCCAAACAAACCATTTTCTCAGGGTCACAAAGCTGGAAATAAACAGGACAGGAACTCAAATTCAAGTCTCTAGACCTACACTGTCCAATACAGTAGGCATGAGCTACCCAGTAACTACTGAACACTTTATGTGTGGCCAGTCCAAACTCAGATATTGCTGTAAGTAAAATATACACCAGATTTCAAAGACTTAGTCAGAAAAAATATCTCATTTATATATTTTTTATATTGGTTATATGTTGAAATGATGTTGTGGGTATGCTGGGTTAAATAAAATATATTTTTGAAATAATTTCATGGGCTTCATTTATTTCTAATGTAGTTACTAGACAGTTACATACCTAGCTCATATCCTATTTCTATCGATGTGGCTCTGAACTCCTGGCTCAAGGCTCTCTTTCCAAAACACCAGGTATTTCTCATATTCAGAGATACACAAATTCCTACAGGTTTCTGTGTGTAAAGACACACACACACACACACACACACACACACACAGACACACACTCCCTCTTGTACACAGGGCCACTGACTCTCTGCCCCAATTCCTCTGTATACCCACCCCTCACCACACAGAGCCACTTAGGGAAACAGGCCCTTGAGCCATAAAAGTATATAAACCCAGCTGGGCGCGGTGGCTCACACCTGTAATCCCAGCACTTTGGGAGGCCAAGGTGGGTGGATCACCCGAGGTCAGGAGTTCGAGACCAGCCTGGCCAACATGGCGAAACCCTGTCTCTACTAAAAATACAAAAAATAGCTGGGTGTGGTAGTGGGTGCCTGTAATCCCAGCTACTTGGGAGGCTCAGGAGAATCATCTGAACCTGGGAGGCGGAGGTTGCAGTGCATCAAAATCGTGCCATTGCACTCCAGCCTGGGTGACAAGAGCAAAACTCTGCCTCAAAAAAAAAAAAAAAAGCATACAAACCCCTAGACCTGCCCACAAGGTGCCACCCGAGGACTTCATCCCCCTCCATTGGCCTTGAGGGAAAACACTGTTCTGTAGCATCTACTGGATGCCTCCTACCCACAGACCAGCGTTTTTGTCAGGCTGAGTGGCAGGCACATGACCAGTGGCATCTTTCCCAGCAGCATAAACGTCTTTGAGGAATTCCTCTGAGAGAAAGATATTTGTCTTGGTGCTGAAATATTTCTGCCTGTGAATTTGAGCTGAATGTCTGACCCTTAGGTAACAACAACAGCAGTGGCTCCAGTGTCCAAGATGGAAGTAGCTCCTATTGGGACCAGCCTTTTCCCAAGCTGTCCTCTTCCTGAATTTTCCAGCCTGAATCTTTCCTGACAGAAGTCACCTGTGTTAGAGGGTGCTGATCAGAAGCCCTGCTGCTCCCTGCTTCTCAGTGAATTTGCAGTGCATGTGTGTGGGTGTGTTTAAGTGTATGCGTGTGTGAGGGAAGTAGGAAAATGAACACATTTTCATTCAGGCTCTTCCCTACCTCATCGACAGACACACTTTCTTGGCATGTATGTTTGCTGGCCTGTGTGTCTATGGCACACCTGCTGGCCTTGACTGTGGGGCTGTAGTCTGGCCTCACCACACTGGTTCACTACCTTTTAAGGATCAGGCTCTTTTCAAGTTCACAATCACTGGGCATCCTCAAAGGGTTTTGTTTTTCTTCCCTTAAGCAAAAACACCTTCTAGCCCAGGTAACATTAATCTGATAATCACATGGAGGTAATTATCCAAATGCAGACCTCAGATTCTATAAACAGCCACAGCCACAGCCCCCACTGGGACTCAGCAAAACTCTGCGTCCAGAGATCTCGGCAGACCCCAGCATCTGTCACAACAACCAGTGTGGTTTATAAAGGCTCATTACAGAACTCAGGTAGGCTCCAGAGATGTTGCCTTCCTGCTCCTAATTGCTTAATTAGATGGAATATTGCCTGCTGGATTCAAATCAGATGAGTTTCCCTAGATACATCTGACTACAGAAGGCTCTGGGCTTGGCCGGGAGCGGTGGCTCACGCCTGTAATCCCAGCACCTTGGGAGGCCAAGGCTGGCAGATCATGAGGTCAGGAGATGGAGACCATCCTGGCTAACATGGTGAAACCCCCATCTTTACTAAAAATACAAAAAGTTAGCTGGGCGTGGTGGTGGGCACCTGTAGTCCCAGCTACTCAGGAGGCTGAGGCAGGAGAATGGCATGAACCCGGGAGGTGGAGCTTGCAGTGAGCCGAGATTGCGCCACCGCACTCCAGCCTGGGCAACAGAGTGAGACTCCGTCTAAAAAAAAAAAAAAAAAAAAAAAAGAAGGCTCTGGACTAATTGTTGGGGTAGGGATGGAGATGGGGGGGGCAGTACAATGACCTGGAAGATTCTAGAACCAGCAGTATGATAGGATGAGGCCTGTGTTAACAGAAGGGAAGTAAGGCTCTTGTCTCACACTGCCACGAGTTAGCTGTGTGGCCTGAACACCCAGCTGTCCCTTTGGGCCTTAGTTCCTTCCTCAGTAAAATAAGGTGAGTGAGTCAGCTTCCCTCAGGTTCTGCAACGTCAGGGCTGCAAGTAGCTGAAGACCGCCATTCACACTGGTTTGTCATTTCACATAACAAAGGGCAGAAGAGGGTATGCCTCAGGCAAGGACAATCAACAGATTTATATCATCAAAGGCTCAGGTTCTTTCTCTGCTAGTTATTCTGCTCAGTGGCACATTATGGTCACAAAGTGTCTGTGGCCATTCCAGGTGTCACATCCCAGTAGACACTGTTCAGAGATGGAGAGGGCCCATTTCAGTCTTCTTATTGAGAGGAGGACGTCTTTCCCAGAGGCTCCTCCCAGAGACCACCTCTCTCATTGGAGGAACTTGGTCACATGCTCACTCTCAAGCCAATCACTGATAAGGGGCATGGGACTACTTTGATGAGCTTAGAACCAATCTGGATTTAACTCTGTGGGTAAAGGTGGCACTTGCAAAATATTGAGATTCTGTTAACAGGAGAGAAGGTAGAGTGTGGATGTTAAACAGGCAACCAAGACCATCTGCTATACATACCACTTACATTTAAGTGGAAAATAGGACACAGGTCTGGTCCTATTTCCCCCATCGCCCATTTCTCTCTTCCTTCTTTTAATCCTTTTTATCCCTTTATCCTAGTTAACATTTCAGAGACATAAGACAAATCAAACTGGCTTGAGAAATTTTTTTTAAAAAAAGGAATTTGTTGACACATGTAACTGAAAAGTTGAGGAGGAGATCTGGTCTGGCTTGATCCAGAGGTTTGAACAGTATCATCAAGGAAGGCTGGATCTGTCTCTCCTCCTCTTCATTGCCAGCTCCCTGACAGCTCGTTTCTGTCTCCACTTCTCAGCAGATATGGCCTTTGGTAACTCAAGGCTTACATGGTCCTCAGTACCCAGGCTCTGGAAGGAGGATGTTCCAGTTATCTACTGCTGCATAAAAAATGCTATGGACTAAATGTGTATTTCCCCCAAATCCATATGTTGAAGCCCTATTCCCCAGTGTGATAATATTTGTAGATGGACCCTTTGGGAGGTAATTAGGGTTAGATGAAGTCATGAGGGTGGTGCCTGCATGATGGGATTAGTGCCCTTATAAGAAGCAATACTAGAGAGCTTGTGCTCTCCAAAGAGCACAAGAGAAAAGCCATGCAAGCACGCAGCAAGAAGATGGCTGTCTGCAAGCTAGGAAGAGAACCCTTACCAAGAACTGAATCAGCTGCATCTCCATCTTGTACTTCCAGACTCCAGAACTGTGAGTAAATTTGTGCTAAGTCACCTCATCTGTGTTGTTTTGTTATAGCCGCCTGAACTAAGACAACAAATCATCCTCAAATTTAGTGGCATAAAACATCAGCTGTTTATTATGTTTGTCGATTCCATGGGTCAAAATTTGGACAAGGCATGGTGGGATAGCTGGTCTCTGCTCCATGATGTCTGGGACCTCAGTTGGTGTCTTAGTCTACTCGGGCTGTCATAACAAAATACTATAGACTTGGCGGCTTAAATAAAAGAAATTGATTTTCTCACAGTTCTGGAGGCTGGAAGTCTGACAACAGGCAGTCAGCCTGACTGAGTTCTGGTGAGGGCTCTCTTCCTGGCTTGTAGACAGCCACCTTCTCATTGTGTCCTCGCATGGGCTTTCCTCAGTACATGCATGTGGAGAGGGAGAGAAAGCCATCTGGTAGCTCTTCTTATAAGAGCACTAATCCCATCATGAATGCCCCACTCTCAGGACCTCATCTAACCCGAATCACCTCCCAAAAGGGCCATCTCCAAATACCATTACGTTGGGGGTTGAGGCTTCAACGTATGAATTTGGGGGCGGTTACAAACATTCAGTTCATAAGAGCTGACAGCTGGGAAGCCTCAAATGGCTGGGGGGTGGTATCACCTAAGTGCCTTTTTACTGTGTCTGGCACCTTGAGTGGAATGGCTTAAATGACTGGGGGTTTATTCTCATTCTTTCTGTCTTTCTTCTTCCACATGGTGGCTCAGGGCTCTAAGAGCAAGTGTTTCAGCAAACAAGACAGAGTCCAGAGATCTTTTAGGCCATGGCCTCAAATGTCAAATGGCATCACTTCTGTTATAGTCTATGGTCAAAGCAGTTACAATCCTGCCCAGATTCAAGAGAAGCATCTTGGGCTACATGGGCTCTAGTTCTAAGGGAGAAGTATCAAAAACTTGTGGCGTTCTGTTAAAACTACCACAAGGGGTCCCTCTTTCTCACAAAGTCCTTACAATCCCAGGAAAGGACTCTGATTGGCCTCACTGGGGTCCAAGGACAACCTCTGGACCAATCACCATCAGTATGTTGATTTAGTGCCCTGAGTGGCCAGTCTCAGGTATAAGCTCCACCTTGTGCCATTTGATGGATTGTGTGACCTTGGAGGAAGAGGGTTTGGCTACGGAGTGCTTATGAAATTGACAGGAATCTTTGAGTTCATGGCAAGAGTCCATCAGCCTTTAAATGATGAAATGTACAGATTATTTTTTACCATTGTCTACTGGTAAAAATCAAGGAAGAAGGATAACTTGAGGCAAATAGCACTAAAACTGTACCCAAGCACTAAAACTGTACCTCACCCCTACCACTGCCTGCTCTTTGCTTGCGAGGACCAGGCAGGGAATTGGTCACCACATTCCCAGCCTCTCTCAACTTCCTGTCAATTCTCACCTCCACCTGGTGTCTCTCTCTCTCTCTTCTCCTCTTTCTCCAATCCAGCTCACCCTTTGCCAGACTTCACTTCCTGAAATGTGTCTTCTGCTTAGGTTGTTCCGCGACCCAAACTCCTGAGTAGGTCATTCAAAGCCAATCAAGGCCTGGCCCCAATTTACCTTTCTGACTCTATCTCCTGGAGCTCATCTGTGGGAACCCCTACCTACAGTCAGGCAGATCCTGAGAACACGCCTCGTGTTCTACCTCTGCTAACTTCGCCTGCCTTTCTGCACACCTGCACCTGAGCCAGCCTTCAAGGTCCAACTTCAGATCACCATCTCCTTGACACCATTCCTGATCACCCCAGACTTTGGGGTTTTACTCCTTCCCTAAACAAGTGCACTACATGCTATGTCCATTTCTGGTCTCTGTGTTTGTCTTCTCCATCCCATTCCCGCCAGATCCCCCTGGCAAGCTTGGTGTCCCCAACCCAGGAAGAATTATCCCCTGAAGCAGAAGGAATTTAAGAAACTTCAGGGATTCAGTATTAAGTTGCTTTTGTTGTTCAGCTCTGACTAGTGTGTCCCAGTACTGATAACTGGGTTCCTAACTTGTGTCCTGCAATAATAATGACATCCAACATTTCCAAGCATGGCCTAAGTGCTTTGATATATCCCCTTATTTAATAATAAAAACAATGCTAGTATTTTTTCCCCATTTTACAGAGGCAACTGAGACACAAAGAAGTTAAGTAATCTGTCCCCATTCAAGAGAGAGAACATGGGCTCCACCTCTTGATGAGGGAGTGGCAAACTTTAGGAGAGCATGTGGGACCAGAAACATTGTCGCAACCATTTGTAGAAAATACAGTCTAACACATCATACTCTCCTTCAGGTAATTTTATTTTCAGATAATTACTTTTTATTTTCAGATAATTTGAGAATTATAGAAGAGAGTTGTAAGGATGGTACAGAAAATTCCTGTAGGCCCTTCATCAAAGTTCCTCTAGTATTAATAACATCTTACATCCTCATGGTACACTGCTCAGGGCACATTCAGTCATTATATCTCCCAGTGTCCTCTGATCTGGGCAGTGTCTGGGCCTTTCCCTATCTTTTCTGACCATGATACTTTTGAAGAAGCTTGGGTCAGGTGTATACTCTCACTTTGAAAAAGCACACAAATCTCATGTTCAGCTTTAAGGATGTATGAAATTTTAAAAGTCAATAAAATTCCATGACCGCAGTGAAAATAGTTCTCGTATTGTATGCTCTTCCCATCATATATGACTGTCTAAAGATTGCGAACTCCTTGCCTGAGGCATATAAACCCTCTTTCTTACATGGAAAACAGCTCCTAGGCTGATCTGAGCTTCTGTTTCCACATCCAATAATAAAGGGGTAGTGGGGTGGACTACATAATCTACACTCTCTGCCTTGGCTCTAAAAGTAGATTTCATAAACTAAATTTCATGGACTTAAAAATAGAATTTTTGCTCCTTAATTCTTGATCAAATTTCTACCTTAATTTTAAGGGAAACACAATTAAATCAATATCTTTTCAAGTCTAAAACCTACACTTTTTCTGTCTCTGGGCATTCCTCTCCCCGTCTCTCCACTTCACCAGGCTCAAGACTGTGGGAGGACAGCGGGTGAGCTCAGGAGTCATCATCCCCCAGCCACCAGTGTGCCACCAGCTTTAAGGAAGCATTCAGAGCAGTTCTGATGAGTGAATGGCATCTCTTTCAGATGGACTACCCCGTTTGCCTCCTCACTGCTCTGTTTCTGATGCAAGTTTACTAACTTACATAACTTCCAAGTGCATTTTTCCCTCTAAAATTACACAGTCAGGTCCTCCAGGGCAGTGACCTGGGGCACTATTTCCTTTCCCTGCCCACACTGTGTCCACTTTAGGGGTGGTCAGGGAATATGCAATGACCTACTCACTCCTTGGGTATCAGCAAGACTCGTTCTGGGTATCTCCTAGTAAAATAATTTTTCATTCATTCATTCAACAAATGTTTTTAGACACCTATTATATGCCAGGGGCTGTTCTAGCTGCGAGGCCCTATTCTGTTGGGGATAGGATGTCCAACCTCTCAGATATTTGATATTTGAACATTGCTCTGGAAAATCCCCATCAATTGCTGGCTAAATGTATTGGAAGGATAAAATGGGGTATACATGGTGGCAAAGCAATGTGTGTCTGGGTTTAAGAATAAACAACAGGTTGTTTTATTCCAGGTGAAATATACTATGGGTTTTGCTTGCTCTTTGGTCTTGGATTGATGAGTTTTGCTATGCTTTTGACTCAAATGGCCTGTTCCTAGGTGCAAGGAGAGCCTAGAAATGTAATAAAGGTAAAATGAGGTCTCTGGGTTTAGAATCCATGTACTTTAGAGCAAGACAATTAAACCCAGTGATTTTAGATGGGGCTGGGAGGCTCATCACAGAACCAGCTTTGATTAGAGCTGCTCATTGTGCTCTGCCTTCCTTGAAACCAAAGGGTGCAATTTGGAAGTCACTGGACATCAGGAGACTCCCAGTGCTTCTAGAAACTTACCATCTCTTCCAGTTCTGCATCCCCTGTTCAAATGTCCTGTCAGCCACACCCTGACACACTCCAGCTTCCCTCGGCCTCTAGGTGGATGGGGACAGGACAAACCACACTTCTGAAGTCTTGATGCTGCAGGGATGCTCATTTTACTGTCTCTCAGCTTCAGAGAGAAACCCTTTCCTTTTCAAATAGGATCCAACTGTTTAAGAAAAAACATCTATTGAACTTTGTCTCTTCCTTTGGTCTCTTGGAAAGATGGATTTAGGTTTTGATTCTATCAAAACGAGGAATTGGCCTTATTCTGTAAGATCAGAGATTGGAGGGATTTCTCTTTCCTTTTCTTTTTCTTTTTTTTTTTTTTTTCATTTTTTAAACCCTAAGGGGCAGGTACTGACTGTCAAGAGAGCCACATCTGACTGCAGACTCCCCAGCGTGGCACCGGCTCTCCTGTGTGCAGACCTCAAGTACAGGTAGCCTGTGCTCCCTATCTGCAAGGGGCCGAGGCCCAGAGCCCATCTCAGAGGTCTGGGATTCAGCTGCCATGGGGTACATTCCAGGAGGTGCCATTCACATTATCATCCATGATGAGGTGATGCTGAGCCTGACAGATAAGAAAAGGGTCCCACTCTCCAACAGGCACTTGAAGCTCCAAAGACCTAGATTATTTAATGGAAGGAGGTAGTGTTGCTCCTGCGTCTAAACTGCTGTGTGACCTTCAGCATGGCGCTGAACCTCTCGGACCTGTGTTTCACCCATAAAGTATGGGGTTGAGCCAGACTGGCCTCCTGTTAGGTGCAGGCACAGGCAGGTTCCCTCTTCTTCAAACTGATGCTGACACAGCAAGAGGCCATTACATTAAGGGTTCCATCTTGACCAAATTTGCTTGGCCCCATTATAAAACATAGGTAAAATGTTTCCCTCTCACAAGCACTAAGGAGCATAAAGCTTCCCTTTTTCTTGCTTTTTTTTTTCTTAAATAGCAATAGCCACCAAAATGATACTTTGCATTGAAAATAGAAGGAAGTTGGGAGTGCAAGAGTGTCTGGAGGAGGGTACCAGGAATGAAAGATACATTTGCAAATGTAGTAAGAGGTGACTGGGTGTGATGCACGACTGCTGTTTGCTTGCTGGCTGGCATCCATCCCTCTTTCTCCACTATTGGGAGCTGATAGTGGTGGTGAACTGGCCTGTTTCTCCCGACCCTATCCACCTCTCCACCCCAGATACTGAGCCCTGCACCTTCATGCCTTAATTACTTTGAAATACTTCTTTACAATCACACACCCGATGACTCCCTTCATCATGCTGAATTCTAAATTGCGTTTGAAGTAGCTTCTCCAATGTTAGCCCTCTGATTAGCTTCTTTCTGAGCTCCAAAATGAGGGTAATCAGAGTGGAGGAAAGATTTTACTGCATGTGCTAGGAGGGCGGAGAGGGCAGGGGAGCTCTCCATCACAATTTTCTAATAAGACTTTAAGAGCTTTTAAAAAGTAGGCTCATATCACCCCGCAGGCCTGTGGTCACTCTTCCCCTCATCCCTTCGGGAACACCAGTTCTCAGGATCATCCTCTGCATCTGACTGCACTGCCTTTAGCATTTCCTTCAGCCCTGGTCTCTCCTCTTCTGAGATTACACTTTGTTCCTGAGATTAGGAAAGTGATTATAGCCCTGTTGTCAAGTCACATCCAGCCAGCCCCTACAATCTAGATCAGCTTGACTCAACTCCCCCACTGCACAGCCTGTGGAAGCCCAAAGGCCCCTTCCAAGTTTTCTGAGGATTTCCAAGTGGGGTCTGGCTTTTCCATGGTCATGTCTTCCCAGACATGGGAAGATTTCTAGGGAAGCTAATGAAGCTTCAACTCAAGGCACTTACTTGTGGGAGGTCCCCAGCAAAGTGTTCATGTAGTTGTGTTGTTTTGTCCAATTTGCAATATTTTAATATTCTTTTCCCTTAAGAGGATCTCACCAGACTGAGCTTCAGATTCCACGAAATTTGGACCTGCCCCTGCATCTAGCCCCCATCTCTGTGCCAAAGGGCATTCACCCAGGCACGAGGCTCAGCACTTTGTTTTTGACCAAAAGACCTCCAAGTATTACTGAGTATAGTGTCTTCTCTAAAATGTGTGTGCACATGAGCATGCATATTGGGAGAGTGATGGTGATGGCATGTGAAGAAGGGTTTATGACTTACAATTGGCTGCCAGACGTCCTCATTCTTAGAAATTCCTTTTGGCCCCCAGTGTGGGTCATTTCTGTGACCTTCACCCCAGGGACCCACCCTCTCAGTAACCCTCCAGCTTCTCTCCACTTCTCTGTGCCTTTGCCTCCTTTCTCTTTCCTTCTTCCTCTCAGGAGCACAACAACTTCCTTTTACTCTCTCATTAACCATTACCTTTGGGTTCTTACCCTGTAACCTCCCCTCTCTGCCTTTAAGAAGTTTATCATTGTATTTCCCCAGGCTGGCTTCTCTACGAGGGTTTTGGGTACCTGCTGTTGAGAGAGTAGATACTTTCTACATCACTACCTGGCTTTCACAGAAAGTACTGGGCTTTTCTTTCTAGGGTTTGGGTGAGCAGACCCCGAAACCTGGAGATAACACAGTAATAGAGGTGCCAGAGAAACCTCAGGAAGCAGAGATGCCTGGGAAAAGGTGGGTGGGCTGGGAGCTTTGGTACAAAGTGCGTGTGTTGAGATGCTGGTCCCAGATCCCTCTTTTCCATCCTTTGGAAAGCCCCACGACTTACAGCCAGCTGAATAACACTGAGGAGAAGGGACCATTCCCTTCCTTGTGCCCAACTGGATTCCAACAGCTGTTCCTGGTGGCTCCCATAATACTGTCATATGTTTTTGTTTGTGTGTCTGTTTCTGCCTCCACAATTCTAAGTCCTCGGTGCCAAGACCATACGTTATTCATTTCTGTTCCTCCCCATTTAGCACAGGGCCTGGAGTGCAGACCTCTCTCGAGAAGTTAGATTGTTAAACTGTGATCTGCATTTGGCAGAGCTGGATGGATATAGTGAATCTGGAGCTTTGTGACCAACCTTTGTCCTGCGGCACTAATAGAAAGGACTGAGGGGAAAATGCCGTCAACTTTGCCTGGGTGTTGGGGGGGAAAGCAGATTGCAGGGTGCTTTTCAAATGCAGAACACCTCCAAAACGCCAACGCAGAGTGAGCGTTCCCTATCAGAAAAGCCGCCTACACAGCTCAGGAGAATAAAAGATTTCCAGGCTGACTTGATTTTTGTTAAACATTGATCTTTGACTTTATAATCGGTTGCAAATTCTGCTCAAATTAGAAGGCCAGCTGGTCTTCCGTGGAAACCTAGATTTTAGATGGGGAAAAAGAGGAATTAGAACGCATTAATTTTTAAGAAATAATATTTAAATTAAGAAGGAATATTTAATTACAGTTTACAATGAATTCCTTTTGGTTTTAAAACATCCTAATTATTTAGAATTTACAAGGACTTGAAGACCTATCTACACCATCCCAATTATCAAGGTGCATTTTTCCTGTGAAAACGGTTACATAGTAGTCTCAGTTGCTATTCTAATATATATACTTTTCCTGGAAAATAATGTAGATTTCCATTATATCAAAATGATATAGGCCATTTTGGAAAATACTGACTCCTGTATGTTAATACTAGAGCTGGAAATGACTTCATGGGCCTTACAGTCTATCCCTCTGCCTTCTGGAAGATCTCAGTATCTGAAGCCATGACTGTTGAATTCTGTTTTAGAAAGCCCTCCTGAATCTGACTTTCACAGTATCTGGGTTTTAGTACCCGATCATTATTCCTACCAGGATGTTCTTTCCAGAAAACTGATTTTCTCCAGCTGCAACTTAAGCATGGATCTGTCGAAAGTGGTAATGAATAACCAATGTGTGTGTTTGTTTGTTTTTTTTTTTTAGGAGGAGGAGTCTCACTCTGTCTCCCAGGCTGGAGTGCAGTGTCGCGATCTCGACTCACTGCAACCTCCGCCTCCCAGGTTCAAGCTATTCTCCTGCCTCAGCTTCCCGAGTAGCTGGGACTACAGGCGCTCACCACCATGCCCGGCTAATTTTTTGTATTTTTAGTAGAGATGGGGTTTCACTGTGTTAGCCAGGATGGTCTCCATCTCCTGACCTCATGATCCGCCTGCCTCGGCCTCCCAAAGTGCTGGGATTACAGGTGTGAACCACTGTGCCCGGCCCCAATGTGGTTTTTAAGTCCACTTTCCTCCCAGGGTTAAGGCAGCTGTAGGTATGCTATTTTCCCTTGGCCTCTCCCCTCATCCATTCTCTGCCCTGCCTTGTGCACCAGGAGGCTGGTCCCAAGGACTGCATCACCAGGGGTCCCCGCACCTTCTAGATTCTGGTTGAGTCAGCCAGTGGGAAGCACTGGCAGAGACCTGTGTCGGGGAGGAGAGAGAAGCCAGAGAGGCCTTCTCTGTTTGGCCCCTTCTCTAGCCATGGTGGTGGCCCTATGACCGCAGCACCCATGGAGTGGCCCCTCCTCACAGCCCCAGCTCTCTCAAGGCTCTGAGAATAACTCTTTCTCCTCCTCCAGTCTTCAGGTCCAGAGGTGACAACAGCCCCGCACTGTGGCTAGCCTCTGGATTTCCTTCACCTGCTCACCCTCTGTGAACAGTCCCATCATTGAAGTCTCTTGAACCATAGGGCTGGCTTCTGCTTCTGGCCAGAACTCCACCTCATAAGCTGGGTGATAAGGTGTCGAAAGCCAATTACCTTTTTGTGGAGCAGGGGAGCCCCTTCAGGTATCATGTTTGTCCCATTTCCTCCCTGAATTACCTCAGAGGGTCTGGGTTTCCCCATTGGTCCCAAGGCCAGTGGAAACTTGTGTGTTGTGGACAAATCATGCTGTGCCCACCATGAAGAAGGTTCTGGAATGGGAGCTGGGAGCTGTGGGCGCTAATAGGTAGACCCTACTCCACAGTCCTGTGCCAGAGGGACGTGGACACAGGGTGGATAGTGCTGATGTCGTGGTCATTCTGTGGGTGGAGAAGGACCTCTGCAGTATGGGGAGAAGCCCCAGTCATCGGGCTCCAGGCAGAGACAGCCTCTGACCACAGCCGCCAAGACCTGCCTTTGGTATGCTCAGTCCTTTCTTGCGGCTCCCTGTGCAGATCCCTTTTCAGACCACAGCCCGGGTCCTCCCCTCCTGCCCTGCACAGCTCTCCCTGGATTCTCTTAAAACTTAGGACAGTGATATAAAATGTCTCAGAGTGGCCAGTGACACAGCCCTGAGAAACACCACTGGGAAAACCCCATGCTGACCCCTACACAACCTCTTCTTACCTGCAATGTGTGACAAGCCCCTTTACTCTCTGGGCCACAGTTTCCCCATCTATAAAGAGACACCCTGCCCATTTGCCCCACCAGGGGTTATCAGTGACTCTAATAATGTGTGCAGGGGTACTTTGAACATTGTTTTGGCATCACGTGGTCTTCTCTTTCTGACATCCCACATCCAAATCATCAGGAAATGCAGTAACTAAAGCATTTAAAGCACTAGACCAACAACAGCCTCCAAACTGGCTTTCCTGCTGCCACTTTGTCCCTGCTCCTGAGTCTGTGCTCTACCCACAGCTAGAGTCTTTCTTTAAGACATAAGTTAAAAACATGAGTGAAGATCCTGCAAAGGCTTCCCAGCTGATGTGGGCAAAAGCCAAAGTCATTTAAAGTCATCTACAAGGCCCCGACGATCTGCCAGAGAGTCCAGCCTTCCGATCTGCCAGAGAGTCCAGCCTTGGGCTCCAGGCCCTCCCTGGGCCATGCCCTGGGCCGCCTGCCTTCTAGTATGCCTGGCTTGCCAAGCACACACCCACCTCAGGGCCTTTGCTCCTGCTCCTACCTGTGCCTGGAGCCCCATGATCAGCTTCCTCAGCTCCTTCAGATCTCTGCTCAAACATCACTTTTGCAGCAAGGCCTTCCCTCACCTGTTAGCATCCTCATTCCAGGTACTCCCCATTCCCATGACTCGAGTTAGTTTTCTCCTTGACTCTCCCCTACCTAACACATGCTAACTGCTGCTCACCTGCCTGCTTGGTTCTGGCTCCCTACACAGAACAGTGGTTCATTGCTGGATCTGCAAAGCAGTGCCTGGCATGTTGTAGATGCTTGGCAAATATGTGCTGAATGAACGCATGGGATTAGATTTTATTCCCTTTGCTTTGACTTAGGTCTCTGTATGAAGGCAGGGCCTTCTCTATCTCAGTGAAGCCGTGTGTCATGTGAAATAAACCTGTGTGATGTGGGTAAGAGTCCACAGCTTTCGCCTGAGCTCATAATGAAAGGGGGCTGGTGGCGATGAGAGTACATGGGAAAATGCAATTTTTAAATGGGCATATAAAAATTAGGCTTGGAAATGCACAATCTCATATTTAAAAAAGAAGCTAGGACTGAAATATGTCTAGTGCTAATTTTATTCTACAAACATTGTTCTAAAAATGTAATGCCTTTATAATTTTCTATCTCCCGTGACAATACAATAGCTTTGATGCAATGGTTCCTTACAAAGAAGAAGTGGTGAGGATGAAATTGCAAGTGGGAGAGGGAGAGGGGCTGCAGGAGGGGAGGGGCTCTTCTGGAGAGGCTCCTACACCTCAAACAGGTGTGCCAAGAGCTGAGCAGAGACGAAAGCCTGTCTAACAGGGAGTTTTAACAGGGAAGAATTTGGGCTGGGACTTGGGGATGGGGGATGGGGGTGCATACCTGATAGGAAGGATGTCATAAGCAAAGGTGAGGAGGTAGAACTGGAGCGGGATGTAAATGACTTCATTAGAACAGAGAGCTGGAATGGGGCTGAGAATGCTGGCCAAGACCAATAAGAACGAGCTTCACTGCTGGGTCAGGAGTCCTGCCTGCAGCCTTCATCCAGTGCATGTTGATGGAGCACGGGATGCATGGCAGGTGCTAATCTCAGATCTGCAGTTATGGCCCTAAGCCAGGCAAAGCTCCCACCTGGAGCTCTTCTTGGAGAGATTGGTGGGCTTTGAGAGGGGACTGGAACACACAGCACCTGGACTCTGGGACCAGTGAAGACAGAACCCATCCACTACCTCTGATATCACCACTTCCCAGGGCCCCAGAATCTCTGCCTGAACAAAATGGCTCCAAGTGAAGCCCAAAGGATTTGAAGTTTTGGTTCATTTCCAGGCTGAAGGGAGCTGCATGTGTCACAGATGGACACAGTCACACACCATGTTGGAGTGAGGGGTTTGGGATCTGGCTCTGCCCCTCAGTAGCCATACAGCCTCGAGTGTGGCCCCTGCTTCTCCAAGGTTCATTTCCTTTTCTGTACAAGAGTGGCCCTAGGACCTACCTTCTGATGTATGGACTCAGTGAGCCTGTTCCTAAAACTCTGGGCACAGTGCCTGCCAAGAGGAAATGCCTGGGGTCTGTGGTCATGACTCTTCTGAGCAGGGAAATATCACCAGTAGATGGTCCCAGACACTGACACTTCTCTGACAACAGGGGGCACAGCCCAGTCAACAACCTGGAGGGGACGGGTTCCATGTTCAAGACATACATTAATGAAGAAGACTCACTTTTTTGTGGGCAAAAGCACAGCTATTGACACCTTTTCTTGGCCTGCTGCTTCAGTTGTTGAAAGTGTTTCCACATCTCCCACTTCCTTCCATCTGCACAGCTCTCCAGTGCGGTAAGTAGGATTCATGGTAGTCCCTGTAGGATAGAAGAAGGAGGGAGGCACCGGAGTGGCACCACAGCCCATCCCAGGTAACACTCAGCTGTGGTGCTGATGACGAGTGGCCCTGGCCAAGGCTGGCAGTGTGGCCAGAGCTCAGCCTTCCCAGAGCCCTTCCTACATGAGAGCCGACCATGGCTGGAAATGTCATCTCTCCTCCTTGTCCTGAGGCTGGAGTTAGGCCCCGACTCCCACCTGGGGGTTGTCCTCCCCTCTGTAAAGTGCTTCCTGTGGAGGTGCAGAAGGCACAGAAGCTGTTCTCTCGAGCTGGTTGCCTCCTGCTGTCTGGGTACCATGGCAACAGATAGGCTTCTCAGTACTTCTCAGGTACTTCCACTGCCTGATCCCAAGCAACACCACTGCCCAGGTTGACCCCACCAGGATTCACAGCTATTCTGAGCCAGCACCTTTTTTAGGCATTGAAAGCTGGGCTGTGGCAGACTTCCAGGTCACCCTAACATCAGGTCACCACTATCAGTTGCCTCCAGGGTGTCTGCCCCTTGGAGGTCTTTCTGTGAATTCCCTGGCTATGCCAGGAAGTTGGTGTCTGGCTCCTTACCACGTTTGAGAATTCTTGTTGATAGGATTCTTGATGATAAGTCCCTGTTAAAGTTGCAGCCACAGTACCTTTCACATAGTAGGTGCTCAGAAAAGGACCCCACAGCATACCTTGGTGCCAGACCTACATAGGCTGTGACAGGAAGAACCAACGACTTTTCAGGTCAATAGCTCACGGGAAGCGGGGGTGGGGGGAGCTAGCCCTGGAAACCTGATCACAGCATGATGGGCGCCAAGAGCATGAGTGTGCAGCCAGACTGCCATGGATTGAATCCTAACTCCATTATGTAATTAGCTAAGGACCTTGGGCAAGTTGTTTAACACCTCTGTACCTCAGTTTCCTTACCTGTAAAAATGGAAGAGATAAAAGTATCTTTCCTGGCCGGGCATGGTAGCTCACGCCTGTAATCCCAGCACTTTGGGAGGCCGAGGTGGGAGGATCACTTGAGGTCACGGGTTTGAGACCAGCCTGGCCAACATGGTGAAACCTCGTCTCTACTAAAAATACAAAAATTAGCCAGATGTAGTGGCATGTGCCTGTACTCCCAGCTACTTGGGACACTGAGTCAGGAGAATCACTTGAACCTGGGATTTGGAGGTTGCAGTGGGCAGAGATTGCACCACTGCACTCCAGCCTGGGCAACAAAGTGAGACTTTGTCTCAAAAATAAATAAATAAATAAATTTATCTTTCCCTTTAGTACTTGGAAGGATTGAATGAAGTAATTCCAGCAGACCATGGAAAATTGGTCCTGGTACATCACTAATGCTCCATATGTATTCACTGGCAGTATTTATCATAATTTGGGTATGCTAAAATAAAAAGAAGGTCAGAAAACAGAATATTTTGTGGAAACCATTACTATATATATGCACTGAAAATACATGGAAATAGGTGCTCAAAAATTCCAATAAGGGTTATCTGTGGCTGGTGGGATTATGGATGACTTTCAGTTTCTTTTATATATATATTTTTAATTCCCAACTTTTCTGCAGTGAACTTATATAAAATGACTTTTGAAATGAGATATTTTTAAAGCTTCTTTCAGAAAACCACCTGAGACCTCTAATGCCTCCTCATCCTGAATATCGTTTTGGGTTCTAAGGAGATATTCCTGCTGTTTCCAATTGCCTGGGAACAAAAGGAAACCCGCTGAGACATTTTAGCTCGAGCAGTGGAGGCTATGTTTCTGCAGTATTTTGCCTGTACACCCAACTAGAAAATGAGACATCTTGTGTTTTGAGTGAATCTCTTCCATTAATCATGGGGATACTCCAGGTCTATCCGGCAGAGTGATTGGTATAATTACAGCCTCCATCTTCAAGGATAATGTTGGCAGTCAAGTGCAGTGGGCGTGAAGTAAGCGGAGTCTTCCCAGAGCTTGTAGAGATGTGATTGCTTTCCTGAGTCACAGAAGCAAAGGGCAAGACGGGCTGGGTGGTCCATAGATTTCAGGTGTAGACAGAAGTGTGGCCATAGCTATTGAGAGGACTTCCCAAGGATTCTCCAATATGTAAATACACATGGTGTTGGCTGGAATATTAGGAAAGGATTTTAATAGCCCAGGAATTTCCTTAAGGACAGATTACCCAAGTCTGGCAAGTGAGTTCTCCAGCCAGGCTCTGTATCTCTTTTGCAAGTTAAAGCAGTTTGTACCCATCAAAAGGCTATGACTACTTCAGAGGTTCACTAAAAAATACACAAATTTTAGAGCCCAAGAGGTGGATGGAAAACATGACAAATAAAACATGCCAGTGCCCTGCCACCAGGCCATCTGTCCTCTCTGTTCTCTACTCTGCTAGTAGCTGTGGCTCCCTGGGGGTCTTTGGGCAATGCCAAGAAGATAGAAGCTGACCTGGCTCTGGGAATCCTAGAAAACAACCTCCTCCTCCCTCCTGGTGTCCACCAGTGCTAACGGAATATGTCTCAAGCTCAGCTCAAAGAAGAAAATTGTCACAAAGATTCACACAAGGTATGCCCATGTCTATAAATAATAACAAAACAACAAATCCTTTCCAATTCAGCCCTCTTCCATCACCATAACAACCCCCTTCTAATAAAGAAGAAGGATCAAGACAGGCAGAATGAGGAGCCTGGATGTTTCTCATCGGGGGTTTTCTTAACCCTCCAATCTTTTTGTGGTTTTGGCATCTTGAGACGTACAACATGCGTCAGTGAGCTCTGTGACCACCACCAGGTGGATCCTGCTGCCAACAATAACTCTTAAATCCCTGCTTGTCCTCCCCTACCTGTGCACCCAACCTCAGAATATGACAAGCACCACAGCTACATTAATCACAGGAAGCAAACAGAGGAAAGATGAAGGCTTGGAATGAAATCTATCCTATGTATCCTAATTTCAGGAGGAAGTGTACAAAGCCCTACAAAACGGAGAGAATGCAGGAACTGCAGGCAGTCAGTGTCTTTAGTTCTGGGACAATAAAATGAGGAATTAGCTATCCTAAGGTGAGAACCACAGGCGGAGTTCACAGTGAGGCATATGGCAGTGTCTTGGGCCATTGCTGGTCAGCGGGTGTGGCAGTTAGGAGGGAGAACTGGAGCAAGGAGGGTGCGGGCTGATGAGTGGGCCCCTCTCTCAGTGCCTCCAGCCAGCACCAGCCTTCGCTTCTGCCTCACATATCTCGCAGAACTTCAATGTTGGCCACATCAAACCCCACACTATACAAGGAACAGGATTTGGGACAGTGTTTTTCCCAGAGTAAACACTGACAACATAACAATCCAGCACAGCTTGCAAACTAAATTGGGGTGAGGCACATTTAGGATGTCTGCTCTGCAAGAGACACAGTCTGTCAGCCGGCCAGAAGGATGCTTAACCTGGAGATGAGAGAGGAGGATGCAGGGCCAGGCAGGTTTGAAGTCCTCCTCCCCACAGCTGCCTTTCTATTCTAGCTTGCCCTCGTTTCCTATGAGAGTCTTCTCCGCTTTTAAGTCTACCTGGTATTTAGCAGCGTGAGTTTGTGTCAGTCAGGGTTCAGTACAGGAAATAGAGCAGAAAAGGATTTAACACAGGGAACTGTGCTTACAAATGTTGTTGGAAGGGGTGGGAAAGTGAAGTCTGGAGGCACCACTGGCCTGTGGACTTCAAGATCCAGCCTCACAGCCGAGGTCTACAGGCAGGAGGTCACCACCACGAAGCTGTGATGGCAGTACCCATGCCCAAAGGGGCTTAACTGCCAGCCCTCTCTGCACCACGTCTCCCTTCCTGTATTAGTTTTCTGTGGCTGCCAAAACAAAGAACCACACACTGGATGGCTTAAACAACAGAAATTTATTCTCTCACAGTTCTGGGGGCCAGAAGTCTGAAATCAAGGTTTCCACAGGGACATGCTCTGTCTGAGACTCTGGGTAGAATCCTTCCTTGCATCTTCCCAGCCTCTGGTGGTGGCCAGCAATCCTTGGCACTCCTTCCGCCTGCATCTCTCCACGCTCTGCCTCTGCGTCACATGGAGTTCTTCTCCCTGTGTGTCTGTCTCCACATGGCATTTTCCTCCTATAAGAATACCAGTCAGCCAGGTGCGGTGGCTCACGCCTGTAATCCCGGCATTTTGGGAGGCCGAGGCAGACAGATCACTTAAGGTCAGGAATTCAAGACCAGCGCGGGCAACATGGGGAAACACCATCTCTACTAAAACTACAAAACTTAGCCAAGTGTGGTGGCATGCACCTGTAGTTCCAGTTACTCGGGAGGCTGAGGCAAGAGAATCACTTGAACCTGGGAGGCGGAGGCTCCAGTGAGCTGCAATTGCGCCACTGCACTCCAGCCTGGGTGACAGAGCAAGACTCTATCTCCAAAAAAAACAAAAAAACAAAAAAAAACAAAAAACCAGTCATATTAGATTGGGGTCCTCTCTAATGACACCTTCTTAAATGTTCTTAAATTGATTACGTCTATAAAGACCCTATTTCCAAATAAGGGGAATTCACATTTACAGGTATTTGACCTTAGAACTTCAACAGATCTTTATGAGGAAAACAATTTAACCCATAACTCTAACCTAGCATTGAAGCATCTCATTGGCAGAACCTCATTCACATCCAGATCCCCAGCCAAGCAGTCTGGGAAACACAGTACTAGCTTTCGGACTCTCCAAATAGAGTGAGGTTGAATAGAAAGAGGAGAGCCTGACTGTGTGTCCAGCCCAGGAGGCCACTGTACAAGCACCACCGTGTTCTGACTGAACAGACGATGTAATTGTGCTACACAGAATGAGAGATGGTTCAGGGGAGTGGTTAGCTGCACGGGCTCTGATGTCTGAATGTTAGCCCTTCCCCTGCTGGCTGTGAGGCCTTGGACTAGTTACTTCTCCTCTGTAACCCTCAGCTTCCCCACCTGTAAACGTGAATAATAATCACAGCCATTTCTCAGGTTTTAAGTGAGGGTTAAATGAGACAATGGACTCAAAGTCCCAGGGGCCAGGCATAGGGTAAGCAGTCTACAGATGGTAACGTCTATTAAATTACCAAACTTACTAGGTTTATTCTGTGTCCCACCATGGTAGAGAATTGGATGAACCAGAAGCAGAGACGCACTGTATAGAAGAGTCCACAGAATATTTAGAACCTTATGTAAAAATCAGAAACTCCAAGAATGCCAGCCAAGAATTTTCTGAGGTAAGAATTTTCTCATTCCAAGCAATGACCCATCAGAGAATCAAGAAGCTAAGGGATTTGTGTCTAGAATAGATTTATTCAAGTTCTGCTTGGGATGACCTAACTTTAGTTGAGTTAGAAAATAAAAAGTGGTTGTCAACCTATACATGGGTGTTTTCCTAGACAAGTATTGTTCCATGTTTATCTTCATGAAAAAGGGAAACAAAAGTCACACTAGCCATACTTAGGATTCGGATCACAAATTTTTTTTTCATTTTAACATGCACAGTAGATCAGACATAGCTTTGTTGTGGTCAGCACAACCTGGATAGAAACATATTTTGAGTTTTTCTCTTATTAAATCTGTCTCTTTAAGTGTGATAAAGCAGTTGAGATAGAAATCAGATATTTACTCCTCAGACTGGAGTAAAATTTTCATAGAGAAATTTAGCTGACAAATATTAAGCATTATGCAATTCAATAATAAAACAATCTAACACAAAAAAATAGCAAAAATATTGAGCATTTTGCCAATGAAGATATACAAATTACCAATAAACACTTGAAAAGATGCTCAGCATCACTGGGGAAATGCCAAGTAAAACCACAATGATACACCACAACACAGCGATGAGAATAGCTAAAACAAATAAACAAAATAAACAGAGAATGCCAAGGGCTGATAAGGATGTGGAGCAGCCAGATCTCTCATACATCGCCAGGCAAAATGCAGAGCGGTGCAGCCATTCTGGAAAACAATGTGGCAGGATCTTTTAAAGTTAAACCTAAACTTACTATAAGACCCATACATTCCACTTCTAGATATTTGCCTAATAGGAATGAAAACATATGTTCATGCAAAGATGTGTACATGAATGTTCATAGTGGTTTTATTCAGATCCACCTGGGAGCAACCCAAATGTCCATTAATGTGAATGGAAAAACAGACTGTAGAATGTGCATGCAGTGAAATACCACTTGTCAATAAAAAGGAACAAAATAGCAATGCATGGAACAACACAGAAGAATCAAAAAGCATTATGTTAAAGAAGTCAAAAGATCATGTATTATGTGAGTGCACTTATGTGCGATTCTAGAAAAGGCAAAGCTATAAGGACAGAAGGCAGATCAGTGGCTGCCTGAGGACAGAAGCAACTGCACAGGGACACAAGGAAGTGGTTAGGATGAGCGGATTGTTCTCGTCTGGATTGCGTTGGTGGGTGGGTTGCTGAATCCTATTCCTAGAAGTTGCATTTATCCTGCGAGGGCCCAGAAAGAGGAGAGCATCTTGCCACTATGGGGCCCGGAGAAAGAAAAAATAGAGAATGGATGATTGGTATCATTTTCTATGTTTTCCTCTTTGCCCACAGCAGATTTCTAACAGGGCTGTTTTCTTTTTTAAATGCTGAAATGATTTAAACCATACAGGTGGTGGGGAAGAGCTACATCAGGTTGTTGTAAACTGCTCGAGCTAGCCTAGAGCCTTCTCTGAAGCCCCTTCCACCTACAGCTTCTCTGCCTCAAATCCGATTTCCTGTTCCTGGTGTCCAGGGCAGCATGGTGGCCCTTCCACTCCCAGGCCGCTTTCAGATTCCCTCCAGCTCTCTTCTTTTTCCTCTCTCTCTCTCCCTCTCCAAGCTGAATTGCTACATTTTAAAGTTAATCTATGACAAGATGAGCTGAATGTGACTTAGGATGTGGAAAAATGAAAATCCTGGAACAGTTGAAGGGAGCAGGGGGAGTCCCTGGGCTTCCCTCTGCAGCCTGTGCATGGGGACCCAAGCCATCAGGGTCTGCGCATCTGTGTCCACAGTGGCCTGAGATCAGTAATGTTTGGGTTTCTTGCTCCTCTCTTGGCACTCATGTGTCTACTGCAGCCTTTTAGAGAAATAGGGTGAGTAATTCATCCCAGCGCCTTCTCTGTGCCAGACACTGCTCCAGGTGCTGGGCACTCTAAGACCACTGAAGGAAGTCTCCCCTTTCTGGGCATTCACCGTCTGGTTGGAGGAGGGAGACCAGCCAGTGGTGACTGCAACATGGAAAACACAGAAGGAAGATTTAGAGAAGCCACTCTGGGAACATAAAGGACAAAAGCTCTTTCTGCATGCTGATTTTTTTTTTTTAATAGGAAATTGCTTTCTATCTACTTCCTATTACAGATGTCTTTTAAAAAATCAGCCTCATGGGGCACCAAATAATTAGCCTGCAGGAGATGTTCTCATGCCCAGGGCCAGCCTGGGCCAGGCTTTCTTTGAAGGTAGGCACCTTCCTCTGTGCTGTAGCTCAGCCGAGGGAAAATCAAGGGGCAAATCCAAGTGGGGCTGGATCCACGAGGAGCGGCTGGGGAGAGGGGAATGAAGTAAGTGGGAGGTGGGGAGGCAGGGTCAGGAGGAGCTTTGAGCTTCAACTTGGTGGTTGATCACAGGGTCCCTGTGGCCACAGGAGGGGGCATGACCCCGGGCTTTCCTGGGATCACCTGGGGGTAGACCTCTGCAAGGGCAGTGTGCACCCAGCCTGTGCTGGGCATCTCCCATGTGCCAGGCAGCATGCCAAGGGCTTCCTCTGTGCCTTGCCCCAGAGTTCTCTCAACAGGTAGATCCAAGATTACTTTTTATTTTCCAAGATATATGACACAGGATTACTCTTCTTAATATAGATAAAGGACTCTTTGCGTCCACAGAAAAAAATATAGATTAGATGACAAAGAAACACATCTAATGAACATATGGAAGTATGCTCAGTTTCCTTAAATAGGTACAAAAGCTCAAATTAGATATCTTTTTTTTTTTACCTTTCAAAATTTTTTTAAAGAAAGTTCTGGCTTGGTGAAGTTTTGGCAAAATGAGAAGGCTCATACATGGCTGGTGGATGTATAAATTAATATAAGCATGGCAGGATGGCAGGATTACAGGCTACCTTCATTTTTTTTTCTCTAAGTTTTTCTACAATGAACTTGGTATTATTATCACAGAAAAAGATTATTTTAAAAATCTATGTTCTTGCCCAAAAATGAATCTAATCAAGACTTGAGCCCTAACTTCCACTTTGCATAAGAGAGAAACAAGTTAAATAACACCATGAGGACACAATCTGACAAAATCCAGAAGGTGGAATATTCAATAAAGAAATTGATCATCTTCTCCAAAAGTCAACATCATAAGGGACAAAAAGGTTGAGGAACTATTTTAGACTAACACAGACTAAAGGTGCACAGGGACTGAACACAATGCCCAAACCTTGATGGGGTCCTGACTCAGAACCAAGTCTCAAAGACATTGTAGGGACAGATGAGGAAAGTTGAAGGTTGATTTGTGTCTTGGTTTTCTCTTGGCCACACTACAGATGTGCTGCTCGGTTCACAACTACCTGATCGGCAGAAGTTTCACCCCCAGAATCACCGTCTATATTAGATATACCCAGAGAAGCCATCACAATATGTTGCTAAACCTAGGAGGGATTATGCGCAACTTCAAAATAGCAAAATTTCCTTCTCCGTTTTACATAAAATACCTATCAGAAAACTCTCTAAAATCGGTCTAGGTCTACTAAACTTTCAGTAGGTACCCTATGATTAAATATTAATTTCTTGGCTTATTGGACGAGTAATTATTCCTGTGACTCCCATGTGGTAGAGCAACATGAGGCACAGAGGGTGGGTGGAGGAAGACAAAGGAGACTGCCTGGCACTGTGCCCCCATCTCCCCACAGGAACCCGACATCATCCAAGTCAATCCTGAGCCCCAGGGAGGTTGGGGGTTTCTATGTCTAATTAACAAAAGAAACTCTTGGTTGAGGGCCCAGAATTTCTATACAAGTAGCCAATTTTAGCTCACAAAATTTTGCTATTTGGTTCAAAAACCTCTGTTTGAGGGTGGAGGGACAAAAATATCTAACTTCTAATAATTGTCCCTAAGGTTTAGACAATGGCCTATAATTTACAGAATTATTACACAGACACATCACATTGAAGAGACTCCAAATGTAAGTGGGCAACTGTTCCTTTCAGGCTCAGACTGCTTCCTGGCTGGAGAGAATTTTCCCTGGTCTGCACTGTCCTCTCTGGTGCAGGATGCCAAAGAGTGGGGAGCCCATGAACCTGTGTGGTAGGTAAAGTAGGAACTGTTATCCCCATTTTACAGACTATATAAAGCAAAATTATGTTTATAGGTAATATATAAAATATATATGCATTGATATATTTTACATATACTGTGTATAACATATAAAATATAGGAGATGGAGGCCAGGTGCGGTGGCTCACGCCTGTAATGCCATTACTTTGGGAGGCCAAGGCGGGTGGATCACAAGGTCAAGAGATTGAGACCATCCTGGCTAACACGGTGAAACCCCATCTCTACTAAAAATACAAAAAATTAGCCGGGCATGGTGGCGGGTGCCTGTAGTCCCAGCTACTAGAGAGGCTGAGGCAGGAGAATGGCATGAACCTGGGAGGCGGAGCTTGCAGTGAGCGGAGATCGCGCCACTGCACTCCAGCCTGGGCGACAGAGCGAGACTCTGT
Source organism: Homo sapiens (assembly GCF_000001405.40). Classification (NCBI taxonomy): domain Eukaryota; kingdom Metazoa; phylum Chordata; class Mammalia; order Primates; family Hominidae; genus Homo; species Homo sapiens. The sequence continues at coordinate 45,323,786 of NC_000003.12, read as the reverse complement.
CTCAAAAATATATATATGTGTGTGTGTGTGTGTGTGTGTGTGTGTGTGTGTGTGTGTGTATTATATGAGATGGACACTCAGAGAGGCTTCAACTGCCAACTCCCCACAAAATGCCACCTAAATAACCTGTGGAGCCGGCAGAGCTCAGCTGATTGCTTTCTTCAAGAGAGGCCACTGCCTCAGAACAGGCAGCTCAAGGGTGCCATATCTATGTGATTTGGGGGATATGGTTTAAGATGAGTCTTCATTGAGGTGCAGCTGACTGGCTGGGATTAGATGAAGTTCTTCACTCCCATCCTCCCAGTATAGAGTGCAGTGGTGTGATCATGGCTCACTGCAGCCTCCACCTTCCAGATTCAAGTGATTCTCCCACCTCAGCCTGGGACTTTAGGTGTGCACCACCATGCTTGGCTAATTTTTGTATTTTTTATAAAGATGGTGTCTCATCATTTTGCCCAGGCTGGTCTCAAACGCCTGGACTCAGGCAATCTATTCGCCTCAGCCTCCCAAAGTGCTGGGATTACAGGCATGAGCCACCACGCCCGGCCTGAAGTTACTGATATAAACTTTGAGGATTGGGAGACACAGAGTGGGGAAAGTTTGAATGAACCTTAAGAGTAAACGGTTGCTTGATAAGCCCAAATGAACAATGCATTGTTTGAGAAAGGGTCTTCTTACCCAAATGAAGTCTAGTTGAGTGATAAGTAAAAGTGCAGATAAATGGATTTTCAGAAAGTTAATAAAACAAATAATAAAGTTATTTATAACTTTTTCTTACTGGGCAGGAATTTCTTGCAGAGAATGGGGGGATAATTTTAATGTAGACAGTCTTATACTTAATCCCATTAAACGTGGGGCTGCAGGTGGCTTCCTTCTCAGCAGTAGGGCACAAGGTCCCTCCATGAGAAGCTGGGTGCGCTGGAACTTGACCTCAGTCTCCTGGATCCAGGCTCCTGCCCCTTCCCTCACACCACAATGCCAGTCTTCAACAGTGGTGCTGAGCTCACCCTGCTCAGGCTGCTACAAGACCCCTCTGATAGAGTTCAATCAGACTCTGCACTAGATGCCAACTCATGACCATGGTGGCTCCTCAATGGGTACTGGGGTAAAAACACAGGGCAGGGTCTCAGGAGAGGGCGCTATGGCCTTGGAGTGAGCGAGACCCAAGAATAATGTACCTGTCTGAAGAGTGTCCCCCCAAAATTCAGGTCTAATTGGATCTTATTTGGAGATAGGGTCTTTGTAGATAAAATTAGTTAGGATGAGGTCATACTGGATTAGGGTGGGCCCTAAATCCAATGACTAATGTCCTCCCAAGAAGGTCACATAAAGACACAGGAAAGAAGGCTCTGTGACATCATGACAGTGGCAGAGATTGGCTACAAACCAAGGAACACCCAACGATTTGGGGGCAACCACTAGAAGCCAGGAAGAGGCATGGAAGGATTCTCCCCTAGAGCCTTCAGAGGGAGCATGAGACACCTTGATTCAGACTTCTGGCCTCCAGAACCGCAAGAGAATACATGTCTGTGGTTTTAAGCCCCCAGCTGGTGGCACTTTGTTATAGTAACCATGGGAAACAAATGCGGATGCTGCCTGAGCAGATCTGCCAAGTGCAGCACACACCTGGGCTTGTTTCCCCTGAGCGGGAGCCCACAGCACCCTGGGTAGGATGGGCAGCCTCCCTAGGACTGCGGAGGGGCAGGGGCAACCTCACACAGACAGGGTGGGGTGTCCGGATCACAGCCTTTTCTGGCAGTCTGTCCACTCTGCCAACATTCAAGAAAGGACTCTTTAAAAAAAAATGTCTCCCAACAAAATCAATTCTGGAAAAGCTTCAAAACACAACACAGCTCCCCACTGTGCCTCTTAATTTTCCCCTCCAGAGGAGACAGTCTCGTACCTCATCAGTGCCTCAAAGGAAACAGAACAATCCAGTGCTGTGCTAGGGACAGCGCTCGTGGGCAGGCAGAGCTCACTGTCCTGCCTCCTGGCGGGTGGGCACAGTCACAGTCACAGGGCTTCTGTGAGGACAGGAGTCCTCAGAAACCTGGGACACTTCAGGTTCCCCAACAGGAGCTCTGCCGTTTTAGAGGCCTGCACTGAGCTCTGAGCTAACCCACCCACTTGTTACTGGGATCCAGAAGATTTCTCAGCCCAAAAGTGGCTTGATTGTTTTCTCTATGAGAAACAGGCTTTAATAATAATTAATTTGGCAAACTATAATCGGGGGTTCATGTGAGGATGCTGCAGTGACTCTTGTCGGAAATCAAGAGATGAAGGACACGAGGTCCCACCCCCAGGGCACCATCTATAAGAAATATTAATTAGACTTTGAATGCTTATATTTCCAAAGTGAATCCTTGCACATCCTCTCATCAACCCTCCCCATCGTGCTGATGAGAAGCCTGAGGCTCAAAGAGGCTGAGAGATTTGCCCTGTCTTAGCGTTCATGGGGACTCTCACCCACAGTGCGGGGAGCTGGAACCAGAGTTCCTTCCTCTGGGGACACGATATGTACACATGTTAGCAGGAAGTTAAGGAGGAATGGCAGGTGGCAGGAGGCAGTCCAAGCCCGCGGCCAGAGTTCCAAATTGATTCTTGGGTGAGAGAGAGAAGAGCCTATTGAAAATCCCCATAGCAACAAGACAGAAATCTGGGGGCACCCAGCCCCTGAAGTTTGGGGTGGTGTGGGCAGGGGTGGGAGAATGTAGAGCCTCAAATGTGGTCTTCTGACACAATCTCCAAAGACAGAACAGTGAAGGATTGAAAAGATGAACCACTCATCATTTAGAGTGGGGGTCTCAGTCTGTTATTACAGGCAACCTGGCGGGTGGGGAACTTTAATATCATGAGGCCAGGTCCCAGCCCCAGAGATTCTGACTTCACCATTCAGGGGTGGCCTGGGCATCGGGATTATCAGAACTCCCCGGGGACTTAGAGATCTCTCCGTGTTCATAATCCTATGTTGGTGTTTTTTTCTCCTCCTCCTTGTTTTCTAAAAATTTCACAAGGATCCCCAGAAGGTGTGAGCAGGGCAGGGGATTAACAGACCACACAGAGGCCTGCCTGGGTCTAGGTGAGGAGAGCAGGCCTAGAGGATACTGTGTATGTGTGTTTTTAAAATTAGGAACGGTTTACATGGAGTAAAATTGACCCTTTGAAGTTTACAGTTTTGTGAGTTTTGATTGATGCGTATAATCCTGCAACAATCCCACAATCAAGACATAGAACAGTTTCATCACCCAAGGGACGTTCCTGAATGGAGTTGCAGTGACGATTTAGGCTCCAAACCCGAATCCCCTAAATTCTCTGCCCAATCAAAGAAGTGTATCTGCAGTTCCTTCTCCTATTTCCGGGCCAGGCAACTTTCCTGATAGTTGGAAGCAATGATTTATCCAACAACCCATCTCAGCCTCGTTAGAGCCTGTGTTGAAAAAGCCAGGTTGCTAATGTCACTTTTCTTCCTTCTCCCGAGACCAATTTTCTGGACCTGAATAGCACCCACAGCCAACACCTTTTAAGATCACTAAAGCGACTTCCATGGGAGAAAAAAAAAATCACCCATTTCTCAAAGCAATCACAAGCGCTTTCCTCATGCAGCTGTTCCCAGCTCCTGAGAAATCATTTAATTGGTTTGGAGGTCACAGGATCCTCTTCCATGGTTTGGAGGTCACAGGATCCTCTTCCAATTAGGGTCTCATGCCAGCTGCCATCTGCACTGGGGACAATCGGACTGGGCTTTGTAAGACAAACAAGTCCATCTGAGAGGCAGCCACAGTCCTTCAGCAACCAGCTGGCTCCTTCCACAAGGCAGCCTGTCTGTAGCCTAGAGCTCATCGTTGCCTCCAGGTCTGTTATGTGGGACCAGAATGAAATAAACAGAACAAATATTTTCAACTCAGCCTCTTTCCCTTTTCCAGAGCAGCCCCCATGAGGATAGATGGGGTTGGCAGGGTAGTGGGGCCATTCCGGATCTTATCTTTCAGCCGTAGTGGAAGGAGAGCTTCCTGCCATGGCTCGTTGGCATGTCGACTCTATTGCCCCCTTCCCTACGATGCTCATACCGTATTAAATCTGCCTCTGTTTCAATGCCAGGGAGGGGACCCACTGAGGAGCTAAGTGTCAGGAACATGGTGAACAGGGGGTGGTGTGTACATGGGAGTATTTAACAAAATGTTCCCAAGTTGGGAGGACTTGCAAGAAAATGGAGGGAGGGAGGACGACTTAGGCCAAATGGTGGAGTCAACAAAGCCCCAGCTCCTGTGATTCCTCCTCCACAAATCCCTCCTGGAATCATGCCTCTAAATGTCTAAAGGGACATCTACTGTGCTCCCAGGGCCCTGAGGATCAGCTCCCCGCTGAGCCTTGGAGTGACTCCAGTTCAGGAGTCACACCCTCCCAGACAGACCAGGGCTGTAGGCCTTCAGGTAAAGCTGCGTGGCTAAACCTATATTGAGGAAGATTTATCTGGACCCCTACCCTAACTCCAACACATTAATACTTGTTTTTCCTGGGGCTGGGGGAGGGAAGCCCCCTGCTGCCCTGACCTAAGCCCACCCTGGAACTGTGGCAGAAATGGTAGCTCCACAGACCACCCTTCCTTGTGGATGAAACTTGTACATGCCCTCATTAGGCCCAGAACTGCCTAATTAACTCTTGAGTTAGAGAATCCTTGAGTCAAAAGCAAATCATAAAGGGGAAAGCCTGGGCCAGAGCCTTTATTTATTAGGGTTTCTGTGGGAAAGATAAGGTGGGATAGGGTAAGCAGTTTAGGAGTAAATGATTCTGGATGGCTTTGGGGCCATAGAGGTTGTTCCTAGTTGTCTGACACTCACTGGGCCCTGGGTTGATGTAGGGCGGGGGGCGGGGTGGAGGGAGTAAATCCAGGGCTCAGGCTTGGTTAGTTTTCATATGAAAGGCATCCTCAAGGGAGCCCTTTGCTATCTCTAATAATTGGCTAGCCCTGGGAGGAGCAGTCTCTCTCAGCAAGGTCAGAAATGCTAGAGCATCAAGAATACAGAAAATAAGAAAAGAGAGGAATTGGCCCAGTGATGAAAGGATGTCAAACAGATAAATTCAGAGTCTAAGAAAACACAGTTAAAACAGAGGTCCCATTCCCCTCTCTCTGCCTTCCCAGCCACCTGTCCCACTGTTACAGTAGGTAGCTAATCAGACATGAGCAGGACAGAAGAGCCCCACCACCAACAACCAGGAGTGTCAGGTGACCATCAGGTGATAGGCAGTTTGTTAACTGTCTTTCTTTTTTTCTTTATTTTTTTTTTTAGATGGAGTTTTGCTCTTGTTGCCTAGGCTGGAGTATAATGGTGCAATCTCGGCTGACTGCAACCTCTGCTTCCCGGGTTCAAGTGATTCTCCCACATCAGCCTCCCAAGTAGCTGGGATTACAGGCACCCACCACCAAACCCAGCTAATTTTTTTTTTTTTTTTTTTTAGTAAAGAACATCCACCTGCCTTGGCCTCCCAAATTATTGCTGGGATTACAGGTGTGAACCACGGCCGCTGGCCTTAACTGTCTTTCTAAAATAATAATTGATTGCAGCCAGCACCAGGGAAAGGCAGTCTCCCAATAAACAGAAACACCTGAAACTGGTGATCAGCTGCTTCCTGGTAAGATTTCAGGAGTTAGGTGAGTGCACTCATGCACGTACACTAAAAGGCAAAATGGCAGAATTTAACTGGTATATGACCTTCTCTAGGAATGCTAGAGATTGGTAAGGGAAGAATGTCTCTAGTGAGCATGCGTATAACTCCAGTAAACACACTGTATTTGTGGCTGGCCCCTCGCAAGGGCTAACAGGCCATTGTGCATGCAGACAGCCCACCCCAGGGGAAGAATCAGGGGCAGAAGGCACGCAAGGCCCTGGAAGCATGCCAACGTATAAAACCCCAAGTCAGAGGTCAAACAGAGCACTTGATCTCTCAAGCTGCCCACTTGGCCCTCTTCCAATTATACTTCTTTTCATTCCTGCTCTAAATCTTTTTAATAAACTTTCCCTCCTGGTCTAAAACTTGCCTCGGTCTCTCCTTCTATCTTGGGCCCCTCAGTCGAATTCTTTCTTCTGAGGAGGCAAGAATCGAGGTTGCTGCAGACCAGTACAGATTCGTCACGAGTAACATACGTTGGTGCTTCGTGACTCTAATACGTTCCCTAGTGCTAACAACACCTGGGCCCTGATGGTCAGGAAACTCATCCTCCTCTGGCTCTCCTGTCAGCCCCGCAGAGCCCTTATGACCATGTTGAAACTCATTGTTTTTCAAACCCCAAACTTGTCAAGATCGTAGATTCTTTCCCTTCTGAGATAGAGTGTAAGAGAGAAGTTCTTAACTCCTTCCCCCTATGCCCTGCCAGGGTTCCTTAGCTCCAAATGGCTCAAGCTCTTCAGAAAGGGCATGGCAAAGAAGCCATAGGATGGTGCAGTCAGCAAAGAGACTGCTGGGCATTCTTTTTTTTTTTTTTTTTTGATACAGAGTCTCGCTCTGTCACCCAGGCTGGAGTGCAGTGGCGCAATCTTGGTTCACTGCAACCTCTACCTCCTGGGTTCAAGCAATTCTCCTGCCTCAGCCTCCTGAGTAGCTGGGATTACAGGCATGCACCACCATGCCTGGCTAATATTTTAGTAGAGACAGGGTTTTACCATGTTGGTAAGGCTGGTCTCAAGCTCCTGACCTCTTGATCTGCCTGCCTCAGCCTCCCCTGCTAGGCACTCTGAACCAGCCAGAGGCCTCTGTCTACCTGTGGAATCACTTCATTCTAGCCGGTGTGTCTGGCTCATGTTTCTTAATGCACACCCCTTGGCCACAGTGCACTGGAGCCAGCTTGTGCCAGCTCAGGAGAGCCCATCATGTGCATTTCTTCCTGGCTCTATTCAGAAGCGTCATGCTGACAGTTTGAAATGGGCCATGGTGGGAGTATTTACACCACAGTAATCAGCAAACTAAGACCCAGAGCTACCTCTCTCTCCAGAGCTGGTTGTTAAATAGACACTAGCCCTCCCCTGCCTGAGGCCAGGTTTCTCATAGAAACAAGTCAGTACCACACCTCCTCTCCAAAAAACCAGATCAACAGGGCTCTTCTCTCCTCAAATGCTCCATGGTACAGAAACTCTATCCTTTCCTTGGATTCATTTACTCCATAGTCAAACCTCAGGCTTCTTTTTTCCTTTTTCTTTTTTTTTTTTTGAAATGGAGTCTCACTCTGTCGCCTAGGCTGGAGTGCAGTGGCGTGATCTCAGCTCACTGCAAGCTCTGCCTCCCGAGTAGCTGGTACTACAGGAGCCCACAACCATGCCCAGCTAATTTTTTTTTTTTTGTATTTTTAGTACAGATGGGGTTTCACTGTGTTAGCCAGGATGGTCTCGATCTCTTGACCTCATGATCTGCCTGCCTCGGCCTCCCAAAGTGCTGGCATTACAGGTGTGAGCCACCGCGCCTGGCCCTGGCTTCTTTTTTTCCTAGCTGGATGCCCTTGGGTAAGTCCCGGGGCCTCTCTGTCCCTCTGTTTCCTTGTCCATGAAACAGAGACAATACTATCTATCATATAGGCAGGCAGCATCTAACTGAGCTTTTTAGAATGGGCCTATGCAATTGTAATCAGTGATCTGTGGACAAAGTGTTGACTCGATGTGTCTCTTACTATGCAGGGAAAACAAAACCTTCGTCTTCCCCAATACCAGCTCCCTAGGCAGGGCTCCATCTGGCCATTGGATCTGACTCTGGCAGTGGCATACCAAGGGAAGGGCAGTGGCAGGGGAGTCTGCCTTGGGAATAGGTAATAACGGGTGCATTGTCTGTAGAGAATTAGAAAGGGAAATAAGACTAAGAGTTGGTCTGCTTTTAAAAACTCACACGCATCAATGATTCTGATATTTGTTAGTTATAAAATATTCCTCCCTTCTGGGGTGGGAAGAGAGTGAGAGAAACTGTTCCTTTTGCCCCTCCCTCTGTCAGGGTTCTGTTGGCAGCTGCCCATTCTGGGCATTCAACAGTTAAGGAGAGAGTCAATTACAGAGAGACTTTGGACATTCACCGCCACAGTTCTTAGGTCTCTCACTGTTCCCACAAACACCCTGCTGTCTTGGGTTCTGGGAATGCAGCATTTTTCTGCGCTGAAGTCTGTGGTAGAGTTCGCAAATGGCTGCCATATTTGCAGATGGTCCTAGCAAGATGTGGAGGCTGTTTCTCTACATCTTCAATCTGCTCTGGCCCATGACTTGCTTTGGTCAACAGAATATAGCAGAAGTGATGATGTGCGAGTTCCAAGCCTGGGCCTCAAGAAGCCTTGTATGCTCCGCTCTTACCTTTGGAACTCTGTCACCACCAAGTGCAGAAGCCCAGGCTAGTACACTGCTGGAGTATCATGGAGCCATCTTCCCAACCACCCAGCCAACACTAGGAGAATGAATGAGGCTGTTGTAGGTTAGCCACTGAGCCATCTTCCCAACCACCCAGCCGACAACCAGCCAACACTAGGAGAATGAATGAGGCTGTTGTAGGTTAGCCACTCCCCAGCAGACCTGCCTGCTAACTGCAGACACTTGAGCAAGTCAGGCTGAGATCAGCCATACAAGGTCCAGATTTGTAGAACCTCCCGGCTGACCCATGGACTCAAGAACAACAATAAATATTGGGTATTTTAAGCTACTAATTTTGGGGATAATTTTGTTTTTGAGATGGAGTCCCATTCTGTCGCCCAAGCTGGAGTGCAGTGGTGCCATCTTGGCTTGCTGCAACCTCCGCCACCTGGATTCAAGAGATTCTCCTGCCTCAGCCTCCCAAGTAGCTGGCATTACAGGAGTGAGCCACATGCCTGGCTAATTTTTGTATTTTTAGTAGAGACAGGGTTTCACCATGTTGGCCAGGTTGGTCTCAAACTCCTGACCTCAGGTGATCCACCCACCTCTGCCTCCCAAAGTGCTGGGATTACAGGCGTGAGCCACCACACCCAGCCGGGGATAATTCTTTATGCAGTAAAAGTTAACAGTGTCTTTTTGCTTGCTGGTTACCTCTGGCCCTGTCCTCATGTCTGCAGGATGAAATTTCATCTCCCCCAAGACCTAGACTGAAAGCCACTTCCTTCAACCAGTCTTCTCAGAGTTCCCAGGCTGGAATTCCTATCTTCTTCCTGCGGCATTTGGTTTTTCCATTTCTGTGTTTCTTGCAATTTGCTTTGCCTTGGATATATATGTACATAAGCCTTCAGTGAAGAGGGGTATCAGTTCTTGATCATCATTGTAACCTCTGAAGTACCTAAAATACAGTAACCCTGAGGTTCTCAAAATTTAATGAACAGAAAAATAACTTGGGGAGCTATCTAGTCATGCAGAATCCCAGCCCAGTGCCAGAAATTCTGATTCATTAATTCTGGGTTGGGCCCAGAAAACTGAATGCTTAACAAGTACTTCAGGAGATATAGATGCAGGTGGTGTGTGAACTACACTTAGACCAGCACTGCAGCATGGATATGTCCATGGAATAAAACAAGAGGACTCTGAGACCCAGGAAGTCAAGTAACTTGTCCAAGATCACACCTGGAGAGTGAGAAAGCTGGGTTTAGATCCAGCTCCAGACAGCTGGCACATACTCAGTGTGAGTTCTCTGCAAAGGAGAACATATCATGTGGGTCACTTGTACAGCTCTGAACTCTAAAGGTATACTAGCAGCCATTATGGGTTTTCTTTCTGTAAAGAAGACAAACAATTTTGGGAAAACATGTGTGTGCATGCACACACACCTTTTGACAGCTGTTTCTCGGAGAGTCTGCCAGCAGACGGCCCTCCTACCATTCATCATAGTTCTCTGCTACACTGGGAAGGTGCTGGGTTGATTGCTAGGCGTTGCCAGCACTACTTCGGATAAAGAATCAGCCTCCCGCCTGAACACTGACAAATACAGAGAACTCAACGCCCGAGTCTGTCTTCCCTTCAAGTCCCCAGTGTCAGGCCTCTGAGCCCAAGCTAAGCCATCATATCCCCTGTGACCTGCACGTACACATTCAGATGGCTGGTTCCTGCCTTAACTGATGACATTCCACCACAAAAGAAGTGAAAATGGCCTGTTCTTGCCTTAACTGATGACATTATCTTGTGAAATTCCTTCTCCTGGCTCATCCTGGCTCAAAAGCTCCCCTACTGAGCACCTTGTGACCCCCCACTCCCGCCTGCCAGAGAACCCCCCTTTTTCCTTTACCTACTCAAATCCTATAAAACGGCCCCACCCCTATCTCCCTTCGCTGACTCTCTTTTCAGACTCAGCCCGCCTGCACCCAGGTGAAATAAACAGCCTCGTTGCTCACACAAAGCCTGTTTGGTGGTCTCTTCACACGGACGCGCATGAAACCCAGCAAGGTAGCTTTGATGACGCCCAGATGGGGGCCATGTGTGTAAATAAATGAAGTCCACCCAAATGAGAACAAATAAAGGCTCTTTATTCAGAGCTTGCTGTAGCAAATAAGTCAGCAGCATCAGTTGCGTTTGGCAGAGACTCCCAGGCAGGCAGGGGAGTGGGAAAGCTTGTTAGTGAATAAAGGGAAGGCTCCAGATATGCCCCAATAGAAGGCTGCTGGTATGGAGGGTGCTGTAGGTGGGAGAACTTGAAGTGGGGCATCCTATGTGATTGCTTAGGGGAGCACATTTGGCTTTCCATGGTTGGTCTTAAGTTGGAAAGGGATACAAATTAGAGAAGCTGGCAGTTATTGATTACATTCCGGTTGTTTTGTGGCCAACTCTTACTAAGGTTGTGGTTTGGCTCCCTGAACTGGAGGTTGCAGACTGAGGGACAGAGCTCTATTTTAACATACAGCCTGGCCATTATCCATTCATATATTCATTCTCTCAAAGGGAATTTCCAATAAGTTTCTCCTTAGCTGTTCAGCCCCATCCTTACTTCCTATAGAAAAATCTGATATCACAGATTCAATGGTGTGTGAAATATGCCCCCAACCACATGCCACCCTCATATCCCAGCATCCAGAGGACACAGCTGAGTGAAGCTCGAGCAAAAGTGCCTCCTCTCTGGGGACTCTGGAATGGAGCTCTGCTCCCATTCATGTCCCAATCCATGGTCAGAGACATCTGTGGAGGAAAATCCACCTTCTGAGTCACTAAGAACTTGTATCACCTCCACCCACACCCACCCCATTTCCTCCAATACTGTTCTGACACAGGAACACTCAGTGGCCTGTAAGTTTCATTCTAAGGAGAGAAGTTTTGCATAAAGGGCCTCCTGACATCACGATTGGGGCATAAACAGATTTCCAGGGGACATTCTGCCCTCCCCCTTCTTTTCAGGGACAACCCTCCATGTTGTTCATGCCGAGGGCCTGGGAGTCATCTTCAAACTGCCTGCTCACCTCCCATGTGCGGTTCAGTCTTTTCCCAAGTCCTATCTATTCTATCTCCAAAATCTTTCCCCATTCCGTCTAATTCCCAGTTCTCTCCTCCCCACCACCCCCATCCTAACCCAAGCCACATCTCTTACCTGACTTTGCAAAAGCTCCCTGTAAGTCTCCTCTGTTAATTTAACTAAGCCAAAGCTCCCAAACTCGGCTGAAATAAGAATTACAAAGGGTTTATTTGTCTTATAAAGAAAGAAGGAAGGACGGTTAATGTTCTCAGCATAAGAAAGAAGCTTCACAGGTACTTATTGCTTTTAGAAAATGCGAATGTCACTGAAAATGTTATCTACCAGGGCGATCAATTAAAACTATAGCATTTTTAGGGTTTAAAAATTATAGTTATAGGGCAGAGCAACCATCTCCAAAATCTAGGCATCTTAGAAAAGACCTTTTCATAAAGAACATTTTCAAAGACAGCTTAGAATGGAATAGTGTCTGCTTTTCTGCAGCTGCAGGGAAGGAAGCAACATTTTTCTTTCTTATTGGGATGAGAGTTCTTTCACCAACAGAAGAGCCTGCAGTTTCAATATTAAGCACTAGAATTTGATTAGTAAACATCGAGAGGCAAAAGTTTGACTAAGTAACTCAACACTTGTGGCAAACAAATGACAGAAAGAGAACGGTGACAAATGGAATACAGTGCACGTGGTGAAATGTTGCCTCTGAACCCCATTTCCCCTCTTCACCCTCCAGGGGGATTCACTAAGTAGCCAGGGGGTCTGTGAATATGACCCTGTCCCTCTCTGCTTAAGTCACAGCACTTGCCTTTTGGCCCCATGGCTTGTTGGGTAAATTATCAGCCCCATGGGGATGACGATGTGCTGTACCTTCTGCCCCCTGCCTCTCCAGCTGTTTCCTGTCCATGTCCACCTCACTAACCAGCCCCACTGGTCTTCCCTCAGATCCCAGAAGTTCCATGTTCCTTCCTGCATTAAAGCCTCCACACTCCCTGTTCCCCCTGCCTGGAACGCTGTCCCTTCATGCCTGGTCCATCCCTGGTCACCTGTCAGGTTGCAGTGTAAATGGTTTCCTCTCAGGCCAGCCCCACCCTCTACTCCCCGCCCAAACCCAAATGATATCTTTCTGTTGTACCCTTTCATAACATCCTAAACTTTTCTAACACTTGTCACAATTTACAATATATATTTTTGCTTTTTTGTTTTATATCTGTCTCCCTTCCAAGTATAAATTCATGAAGGCAGGAGCACTATCTGATTTTTTTTCAACACTGTATCCTCATCCATAACACTTAATAAAAATAATAACTGTTAACATTTACCAAATGCTTATAATGCACCTGGCCCCATCCTGAATGCTTTAAGATTATCAACAACATTTCACAAATATTTATTGAGCAATGATTTTGTGCCAGGCGTGGTAGTAGGTGCTGGGATACATCATTGAACAGAACAGACAAAAGTCACCAGCCTCATAGAGCTGACATTAGTCGGGGAGACAGACACTAAACAAGATTAATAAGTTAATTATAGGGTATATTCAAGGTGATAGTGCCAAGGAGAAAGATAATGCAAGGAAGGGGATAGAATAATACGTATAATGAGATATATATTTTCCCTCTTTTCATGGATGAGAAAACTGAGATAGAAAGAAGTAAAAACTTGTCCAGAATTTGAGACCTTCGTTATTAAGTGTCAGATTCAAGATTTAAACCAAGTTCTGACACCACATGCCTAACATTCCACTTTCCTACTCACAAAATAGGAACTCTCTGCTTCGAGTTGGTGTTTGAATTTAAAAAATAATAAAATAAAAGCCAAAATAGGAACTCAGTAGGATTTGGTGGGGGAAGGAATGAAAGAATGAATCCAGGGGTTACTTGTGCTGTTCAGGTAACCTGAGTATTCACATTGGTTGGGATCTGTTGTGGTTTAGACAACTGCTTTTACAAGTTTGCCCATGAGTCCTAAGGTCCATAGAGACACTTTAGGGGTCACCACAGGAGAGTGGAATCCCTGCTCCTCTCCTGCCTCCAGCCAAAGCAACTCTCCTGTTATCTAACTAATATATTGGGGTTCCAGGTGACCTGTCTTTTGAAAGAAAGATTAAACACTTTGAAAACTGTTCTAGACAAAAGTACAACTGAGGGAACTAGCATAGTGAAAATCTCATTCAATGTGAGAGCAATGGTAGACGGAGCTAGTCCAACCCCTCATTCTACTGAGGCAGAAACTGAGGTCGAGAACAGCGACATGACTTACCCAGAGTCATACAGCCAGTGGCAGTCAGCACTAGGACTCCTGTCTCCATTCCAGCACCCTTGCTTCTGCATCACTGCTGTTGACAGACCATTAAGTACCAGGGAGGAGAGTAGGGCTGGCACTGACTCAACTGAGGCTTCTGTGAAGCCAGCTTGGACAGTGTGGCACTGGTGAATGATAATTGATCCCATTTCCTCTTCTTCCTGGGCAGGTGGCTAGGCTTCATTTCATTACATGTGATGTATTTTTTAAATTTATGTTTTTTTGGCATCCCTTGAGATCATGTGTGGCCTCGTGGCTGAGTTCTTGCCAGTAGATTGTGAATAAAGCAATAAGCATCACTTTCAGGCCGGAAAGAACTCTCCAAAATAATGGGTTGTGCTGACATCAGAGCCTAGCAGTAAAAAAAAAAAAAAAAAAAAAAAAAAAAAAGACAGTCAATGGCAAGAAACAGTAAAATACAGTGGTTAATGGTCAGGCTTTGAAGTTGAACAGAACTAAGTTTGAGTTCCTGCTTTACCATGTACAAAACTCAGTGACTTTGACAAGTCTTTTAACTTCTTTGAGCTTCAATTTCTTCATGAAGATACTAGCTAGTTCCATAGGAAAGGAATCCATGTGTACAGTATTGATGGAGACTTTTGGTTGCAGACAACAGAATCTGTTCTAGCTAAGGAGTTTATTAAGCAGAATAGAAAATGCGCCCAAATTGAATCCTGGCTGGTCTTCCAGGAACAACTGCCAAAGCTACACTGCAGACCTCGACCACCAAAAGAGCTACTCCTCTGCCTAACCAGGAAACTAAAGAATTAGGACGCTGCCACTACAGTTGCTGACTCCAGGACCATGCTGCCTCTTACCTAAGTTGTACCAGGAAAATGGATGCCTCCCACCCTGCTTCTCTATTTAAGTAACTTAGTTACAAACCAAAGTCTCGCACAAGATCACCAGATGCATTGAACCTAAATCACATTTGGAAATTAACAGTTAGGGGGTCTGGAAAATGCCACAGCATTTCAGTCTTTGCCATATGGTGTGGTACTTTAGAAAGATGTTAGAAAGGGTATTGAGTGAGCCAGTACATCTATGGAAAACTTAATGCAGTTTCTGGCACATAGATGCTACACAATATTTTAGGCCAGGAGTGGTGACTCGCGCTTGTAATCCCCGCAGTTTGGGAGGCCAAGGTGGGCAGATCACCTGAGGTCAGGAATTCGAGACCAGCCTGGCCAACATGGCAAAACCCTGTCTCTACTAAAACTACAAAAATTAGCCGAGTGTGGTGGCACGTGCCTGTAATCCCAGCGAGGCAGGAGAATTGCTTGAACCTGGGAGGGGCAGGTTGCAGTGAGCCGAGAGACTCACTTTTTTGAGACAGAGTCTCAAAAAAAGAAAAAAAAAAAGCTGCACGATGTTTTAACTAGAGTTAGCATAGCTTAGTATTAAGGACCTAAACTCTGAAGCCACATTCTCTGGGTTAAAATCCCTGCTCCACCACAATCAGCTGTGTTACCCTAGCAACCCACCTCCCTCTGTGGTCCAGCTTACACACCATACAATTAGGCCTGTTTCCCTTTATTTGTCATAAAATAGGTTAATTATAATTATATAAGCAAAGGTATAGGCTTGCTGTGGGAAATGGATGAGTTAATAAGTAAAGCACTCAAGAGAAATACCTGGTCATAGAATCTCAATTAACTTGATTAGCTTTTGCTGCTACCAGCTCACTGTTTGTCCTGTCTTCATGGATCCCAGGAGTAACTGCGTTTACTGGAGACCTCTGATACCATGTGGGTATGCAAACTCTGCAGACTCTGATGGTCAACTTTGTCTCTCATCTGGGAATTTCATTCCTTTCCCCAAATGCTATTAGACAAAGAGCTTGATGATGATAATCAGCAATAGCCAGGCCCTCCATCAATTGCTTTATTCATAGTATTGCATTATTGCTCACAACATCTTTTTGGAAATTGGTATTATCACCCCCAACTTACAGGTTAGGAAACTGAGGTTCGCGGGTGTTAGGTAAATTGCCAAGGGTCATATTGCTGGTTGGTTTCAGATTTGTGATCTTGGGTCCGGAATTGGCGGGTTCTTGGTCTCACTGACTTAAAGAATGAAGCCGCAGACCCTTGCAGTGGGTGTTACAGTTCTTAAAGGTGGCGTGTCCGGAGTCTGTTCCTTTTGCTGTTCGGATATGTTTGAAGTTTTTTCCTTCTGGTGGGTTCGTGGTCTCACTGGCTCAGGAGTGAAGCTGCAGACCTCCGCAGTGAGTGTTACAGCTCTTAAAGCAGCACGTGTGGAGTTGTTCGTTCCTCCTGGTGGGTTCCTGGTCTCCATGGCTTCAGGAGTGAAGCTGCAGACCTTCACGCTGAGTGTTACAGCTCATAAAGGCAGTGTGGACCCAAAGAGTGAGCAGTAGCAAGATTTACGGCAAAGAACAAAAGACCAAAGCCTCCACAATGTGGAAGGGAACCCCAGCAGGTTACCACTGCTGACTCAGGCAGCTTGCTTTTATTCTCTTATCTGGCCCCACCCACATCCTGCTGATTGGTCCATTTTACAGAGAGCTGATTGGGCTGTTTTACAGGGAGCTGATTGGTCCGTTTTGACAGGGTGCTGATTGGTGCGTTTACAATCCCTGAGCTAGACACAAAAGTTCTCCTCTTCCCCACTAGATTAGCTAGATACAGAGTGTCAATTGGTGTATTTACAAACCCTGAGCTAGACACAGAGTGTTGATTGGTGCATTTACAAACCTTGTGCTAGATAGAGTGCCGACTGATGCGTTCACAATCCCTTAGCTAGACATAAAGATTCTCCAAGTCCCCACCAGATTAGCTAGAGACAGAGTGCCAACTGGTGCATCCACAAACCCTGAGCTAGACACAGGGTGCTGATTGGTGTGTTTACAAATCTTGAGCTAGATACGGAATGCTGATTGGTGTATTTACAATCCCTTAGCTAGACATAAAGGTTCTCCAAGTCCCCACTAGACTCAGGAGCCCAGCTGGCTTCACCCAGTGGATCCCACACTGGGGCCACAGGTGGAGCTGCCTGCCAGTCCCGTGCTGTGCATCCGCACTCCTCAGCCCTTGAGCGGTCGATGGGACCACGTGCCGTGGAGTAGGGGGTGGTGCTCGTTGGGAGGCTCGGGCCGCGCAGGAGCCCAGGGTGGGGAGCCGGGGGTGGGGTGGGGGGGGGAGGTGCAGGCATGGTGGGCTGCAGGTCCCGAGTCCTGCCCCACGGGGAGGCCTCTAAGGCCTGGCGAGAAATCGAGCTCAGCACCGGTGGGCCGGTACTGCTGGGGGACCTGGCGCACCCTCCGCAGCTGCTGGCCCGGGTGCTAAGCCCTTCACTGCCCCGGGGCCAGTGGGGCAGGCCGGACGCTCCGAGTGCGGGACTGCCAAGCCCACGCCCACCCAGAACTCTAGCTGGCCGGGAAGTGCCAGTGCGCAGCCCCGGTTCCCGCCGGTGCCTGTCCCTCCACACCTCCCCGCAGGCTGAGGGAGCCAGCTCCGGCCTCGACCATCCCAGGAAGGGGCTCCCACAGTGCAGCGGTGGGCTGAAGGGCTCCTCAAGCGTGACCAGAGTGGGCGCCGAGGCCGAGGAGGCGCCAAGAGCGAGCGAGGGCTTCGAGGGCTGCCGGCACACTGTCACCTCTCAATCTGAGGCCAGCTCTCTGCTCATGTGTGTGTGTGCCACCATGCCTGGTTGTAATACACTAACCTACATTTTCTTTAATGCTTTCACTGGTTCAGGTGGGGAAGAGCTGTATTCTCCTTATGATTCAGTTCAGTGAATATTTACTCTGATCCCTGGAGTATAGCAATAAGTAAGAAAGGGTTCCCATCTTAGAGGAAACTTCAATCAGGGAGACGTTGGCATTTAGACAGTTAAAACATACACAAGCAACGAGAAGTGTGTAAACGGTACAGAATTAACACAAAAGAGCTGTCAGTTAACTAGGGCTCTAGACAAGGCTTCAGGGCAGAGATGAAGGCTGAGTGGGGTTACAAATGTCAAAGGTGGGGCAGAAAGCAGAGCAGGAGGGGAAGACACATCACAACAGAGCAGTATGTGAAAAGGCACTGAGGTATGAAAAGCAGCATGGGATGCCCAGGGAATGACAAGGAGGTCTATGATTTCGAAGTACAAGGTGTAATGTAAAGAAGAGCAGAAAATGAGATTGGCGAGAATCTTGGGGAATACTGAAAAGCCACATAAAGGCAATGGGGAGTTAGGAAAAAGAAAAGGGTTTTAAGCAGTTAAAAGACAAAGTATGGCTTGCATTTTAGACCAATTCCTGCTTCAAAGGCTGGCTAATGTGTAGATCCCAGTGCAAACGAAAATGTGGAGGCCCTTGTCCACATGGGAGACAAGTTCTGTTAAAGGTACTAATACATAGAGTTTTTTCTTTAAAAGTATTTAATTATTTCTAAAACATAAGTTTTGTTTTTCTGTTCTCCATTTTATTTATTTCTACTCTAGTTTTTATTTTCTTGTTTTTGCTTGCTTTGAGTTTTGTTTGCTCTTCTTTTTCTCATTTCCTAACATGGAAGATTAAGCTATTGATTTCAGATTGCTTTTTTAAATATAGGCATTTGTGACTGTAAATTTCCCTCTAAGCACTACTTTACCTGTATTCCGTAAGTTTTAGTGTTTTATATTTTTGTATTTTCTTTTTTTTTTTTGGTGGGGTCGGGGAGCAGAGTCTCATTCTGTCACCCAGGCTGGAGTGCAGCGGCACAATCTCAGCTCACTATAACCTCTGCCTCCCGGGTTCAAGTGATTCTCGTGCCTCAGCCTCCTGAGTAACTAGGATTGCAGGTGTGTGCCATCACGCCTGGATAATTTTTGTATTTTTAGTAGAGACAGGGTTTCACCATGTTGGCCATGCTGGTCAACTCCTGGCCTCAAGCTATCTGCCTATCTTGACTTCCCAAAGTGCTGGGATTACAGGTGTGAGCTGCCACACCCGCTGGTTTTATATTTTCTAATACAAAAAATATTTTCTAATTTCCCTTGTGATTTCTTCTTTGTTCTCTTGTTAGTTAGAAATAAATTTGTAAATTTTCCAAATGACCTCCTGTTATTGATCCTCTAATTTGATTCCATTGTAATTGGAGAATACACTTTGTATTATTTTATTTTTTGCATGTATTGAGATTTGTTTTATAGGTTAGCACATGATCTATCCTGGGGAATGTTCCATGTGTACTTGAGAACAATATATATTCTGGATGGATTGTTCCATAGATGTCTGTTAGATCTAGTTGTTTATAGTGTTGTTCAAACCTTATGTATCCTTGTTGATCTTCTGCCTAGTTGTTTTATCCATTATTGCAAGTGGGGTAATGAGGTTTTCAAATATTATTGAATGTTTTATTTCTCCCTTCAATTCTGTTTTGTTTTTTTTTCTTTTCATTTTTTTTTTTTTCTTTCTCGTGAGCAGGTCATGCTTTAACAACTTTGTTAGTTTTTCCCTCAAGTATTTTAGGACTCTGCTTTTAGGTGCATATATGTTAATAATTGTTATGTCTTCCTAATGGGCTGGCCCTTTTATCATGATAAAATGTTCCTGTTTAACTGTAGTAATATTTTTGTTTTAAAGTCTATTTTGTCTGATATTTCTATAGATATTTCATCTCTCTTGTGGCTGCTGTTTGTATGGCATATCTCTTTCCATTCTTTTACTTTCAATCTACAGTCATGAACTGTATGATAATGTCTGGTCAACAATGGACTGCATATATGATGGTGGTCTCATAAGATTATAATACAATATTTTTACTATGCCTTTTTCTATGTTTAGATATACAAATACTTACCATTGTATTACAGTTGCCTACAGTTTTCCATGTAGTTAACATGCTGAACAGGTTTAGCCTAGGAGCACTAGGCTATGCTGTATACCTAGGTATGTAGTAGGCTATACCATCTAGATTTGTGTGAGTATTCTTTATGAGGTTTGTACAACAACAAAATGGTCTAATGATGCATTTCTTAGAATGTATCCCTGTCATTAAGTGATGCATGACTGAATTTATATCTTTGAATCTAAGGTGTGTTTCCTGTAGAGAACATATAGGTGGATTTTAAAAAATGCAGTCTGACAATCTCTGACTTTTGATTGTAATGCTTGATCTATTCACATTTATTGTTATTATTAATATGTTATATTTATTTCTGCAATTTTGACCTTTTTTTCCCATATGTTGCATGCTATTTTTGTTCCTCTGTTCCTCTTTTAGTGCCTTCTTTTGCATTAAGTGAATCATTTCTAGTGTAACATTTGAATTCCTTTAATGATTTTTAACAAGTTATTTCCTTATTAGTTGCTGTATGGCTTATATAACTCAGCTTATTAGAATCTACTTCATATTTATTAACTTAATTTGAATGATATGTATAAACTCTAGTCCTACATAGCTCTATTTCCTCCCTACCCTTTTATATATTACCAAAGTTATACAAATATATCTATATATGTATGTTACTCTATAATACCTTGCTATAAGTATTACTATATATAATTATATATAATACTTTATAGTAATACTTTATAGTAATACTTTATAGTAATACTTTATAGTAATACTATAAAGTATTACTTTATATAGTTTTATGTCTTTCTTTTTTTTTTTTTTTTTTTTTTGAGACAGAGTCTTGCTCTGTCACCCAGGCTGGAGTGTGGTGGCATGATCTTGGCTCACTGCAACCTCCACCTCCCAGGTTCAAGCAATTCTCCTGCCTCAGCCTCCCGAGTACCTGGGACTACAGGTGCGTGCCACCACACCTGGCTAATTTTTTTGTATTTTTAGTAGAGACGGGGTTTCACCGTGTTAGCCAGAATGGTCTTGATCTCCTGACCTTGTGATCTGCCTGCCTCGGTCTCCCAAAGTGCTGGGATAACAGGTGTTAGCCACCACGCCCAGTCAGTTTTCTGTCTTTTAAACGAGCTGAGAGGACAACAAATATATCTTTGTAGAGTTTGTTATATTAATCTTCTTATTTACCATTTCTGATTCTCCTAATTTCTTCCTGTGTAATTGAGTTACCATCTAGTATCATTTCCTTATTCTAATATAGCTTCATCCTCCACCTGCTTCCTTTGTGCTGTTATTGTCAAATATATTGTATTTCTATATGTAATAGACCCAACAATGCAATTATGTAAATATTTTGTTTTATAGAATATAAAAATAAGGGGAAAATGAAAGTATACTCTCTTTTAAATGAAATAGGAAATTACTCACATAATTACCTTTACCAGCACTCTTTTCTCTGTGTGTAAATTTTAATTATGACCTAGCATCACTTGCTTTCAGCCTGAAGAACTACCTATAATATTGCTTGTAAGGTAGGTCTGCTAGCAGCAACAAATTCTCTCAGTTTTTGTTTACCTGGGAATATTTTTATTTTGCCTTTTTTTCTCCTTCATTTTTGTAAAGATAGTTTTGCTGGGTATGCAATTCTTGGTTAGCAGTTTTGTTTTGCTTTGTTTTAGCATTTTGAGCATGTCATTCTACTGCCTTTAGCCTCTTGTTTCTGACTAGAAAGCAGATAATAATCTTATTGGAGTTACCTTATGCACATGAGTTATTTTCTCTTGCGGCATTCAAGATTTTCTCTTTGTCTTTTTCAACATTTGACTATGATGTAGATTTCCTTGTGTATACTCCACTTGGAGTTTGTTGAGTTTCTTGGATGTTTTTCATCAAATTTGGGAAGGTTTCAGCCATTATTTTTTCAAATAAGTTTTTTTCTTTTTTTCCCTCTCCATCTAGTATTTCTATTACACATATGTTGGTGGACTTAATAGTGTCTCACGTTTTCCTGAGGCTCTGTTCATTTTTATTTATTCTTATTCTCTCTTTTTATATTGTATAATCTCTATCAATCTATATTCAAGTTCACTGATTCATTCTTCTGCCAGCTCAACTCTATTGTTGATTTCTGCTAGTGAATTTTTCATTTAGGTTATTGCACTTTCAATCTAAAGTTTTTATTTGGTTCCTTTAAAAAATTATTTCTAGGCCAGGCACCGTGGCTCACACCTGTAATCCCAGCACTTTGGGAGGCCAAGGCGGGCGAATCACCTGAGGTCCGGAGTTTGAGACCAGCCTGACCAACATGGAGAAACCCTGTCTCTACTAAAAATACAAAATTAGCTGGGCATGGTGGCACATGCCTGTAATCCCAGCTACTCCAGAGGCTGAGGCAGGAGAATGGCTTGAACCCGGGAGGTGGAGGTTGCTGTAAGCCAAGATCACACCATTGCATTCCAGCCCAGGCAACAAGAGAGAAACTCCATCTGAAAAAAAAAAAAAATCATTTCTATCTTTTCATTGATAGTCTGTATTTGAGGAGACATTGTCATTATACCTTCCTTTCATTCGTTAAACATGGTTTTCTTTAGGTCTTTGAATATATTCTTAATAGCTGCTTTAAAGTATTTGGCTGCTAAGTCCAATATCTGGGCCCCCTCAAAGGCATTTCGAGTGCCTGATTTTAACCCCCTGTGTATAAGTCACATTTTCCTGCTTCTTTGAATGTGTAATAATTATTTGTTTAGAACTGTTCCTTCTAGGAAAGATGACAACTCTGGATACTGATTTCCCTCTCTCCCTCAGGGCTTGTTGTTGTTTGCTTATTTATTTGCTTAGTGACTTGGCTGCACTGGTTCAGTGAAGTCTACTTCCTCCACAGTGCGCAGTCTCTGATATTGCCCTTTAAAGGGCACTGCCTTGGGCATGCACTTAATCTTCTCAATCACCAGAAATGACTCTGGTTTTAGCTGGATTCTCTTTGATTGTCTGTTTCTCTGACCACTCCATTCAACTTAAGATTGGTCTGTATCTATTGAGATCATATCCAGTTGTTCACCTCTACAAATTGCTGTCTGATTGCTCTATTGCTTTTAAGGATGCTCTAGGATGTAAATCATTCTGCAGTCTGATCCAGTTGAAGTCAAATCCCTTAGTAGGGCAGAATGTTGCCAGTCTTTGAGACCTGCCTCAACCCTCCACTGGAAAGAATCTCTGCTCTATAGAGCTGAGGGTGGGATGAGAGTTGGAGAACTTATTCTTTACCAGATGTCTTACTCAGGTCTCCTGTATGGTGCAGGAATTGGGGGTGGGGGCAGGAACTGATGCCGGCACTCAGCTGCTGCCACCACTCAGTATGGATCTTCTGCAGCCCAGAGCCGGGGCAGTTGGGATCTGCTAGTGTCCACTGGCTACCTAATCTATTCAGAATAGGTCTCTGTCCTAGGAAGCTGGGGTGTGTGAGAGTTGCCAGCTGGCTGCTGGGCCCACTAAAGTAGCTGTCCTGCAACACAGCTATGTGGTGAATGGGGGAATGTGGCCTTCACCAGCTTCCCCACTCATATCCTCCCTGCATAGCAGGAGTTGGGGGTGAGGAAGTGGGAAATACACAGTTGCCACCATCCACTCTATATAGGCTTTCCACAGCATAGAGATGTGGAAAATAATATCTGTTGATGGTTACTGTGATGGTTAATACTGAATGTCAACTTGTTTGGATTGAAGGATACAAACTTAATCCTGGGTGTGTCTGTGAGGGTGTTGTCAAAGGAGATTAACATTTGAGTCAGTGGGCTGGGAAAGGCAGACCCACCCTTAATCTGGTGAGCACAGTCTAATCCAGCTGCCAGTGAATATAAAGCAGGCAGAAAAACATGAAAGGTGAGACTGGCCTAGCCTCCCAGCCTACCTCTTTCTCCTATACTGGATGCTTCCTGCCTTTGAACATCGGACTCCAAGTTCTTCAGTTTTGAGACTCGGACTGGCTCTCCTTGCTCCTCAAGCTTCCAGACAGCCTACTGTGGGACCTTATGATCATGTATTAAGTTAATACTTAATAAACTCCCATATATATATATATATATCTCCTATATATGTATCTCCTATATATATATCTCCTATATATATATATCTCATATATATCTCATATATGTATCTCATATATATCTCATATATATATCTCATATATGTATCTCATATATATATTTTATTAGTTCTGTCCCTCTAGAGAATCCTGACTAATACAGTCACTACCTGCAGTATATGTTTGGCTATGTAAACATTTTTGACTTTTATATGTCAAAATTAAAACAAAATTAAAAGGTAAGTGACAAGGTGGGATAAAGTTATTTGAACAAACATGATATATAAATACATAACGTGTTTAATATATAGGGGACTTTTAAAAAATCAGTAAGAAAACATTAACAGTGCAAAAGTAAAATAAAAAAATGAAAGTCATGAATAAGCAAGACACAAAAGAATATGTGCAAATGATAATAAACATTATGAAAATATATCCAATCTCAAAAATTAGGAAATACAAATTAAAACACCACCAAGATACCACTTTTGCCTACAAAATGGAAAAGATTCTTTCAAAGTCAATATCATGCCAGTAATGATGTAGTGAGCTGGACTCTTATTTCTGTTCAAACTACAAATTGGTACAACCATTCTGGAAAGGAATTTGGCAATATTTATCAAAATACTCTAAAATGGTTATATCCTTACATGCAGAAGTTTCTGCTGAGAATCTGATCCTATATAAAGTAGCCAGAGGACGTCCACTGTAATAAGAGCAAAATATTAGAAAGTACTAAGTGTGTAGCCATAAAGACATAGTTAAATAAATAATGCTAATTCATCCATTAAAAAGTCACACAGTTAGTTAAAAAACAACCCATGTTTTTAAGGAGTATTTAGTAATATGGGAAAATGTTCACAATGCAATGTTTAGTGAAAAGGAATATAAAACTGTATATATGGCATGATATCATTTTTGCAAAACACAGAAGCAAATATGTATCTTTGCCCTTGTGTGTGTTGGAGGCAGGGGGATTCTGTGTGTCCATGCGCCTGTGTGTCAGGGGCATCCTAGCTAAGGACAAAGATATGTTTCAAGGTACTCAAGGCATCCATTTGAATGAGCTGATATATGTGAAGCTCTTCTCCGATGGCTAATTGAGGAGGGAGGAGGTACTAGTACCTGGGGATGAGGAGAAGTGAGGTAAGGAGTAGAGAGATGAGTTCAAGAAAGTGCACAGAATGGGGTTTGCTTTCTGTTCATCTCCTTGGACCAGTCTGGATCCTGACTGAAATGACAGATGCAGAAGCTGAAGTTGTTGATTTTACAAAATACTTTCTAAGGCTCTAGGGACTAGCAAATCTGCTTTATAGCCTGATGGCAAGAGTGACACTTATAGGTGGGAGAATTCCTACCCTCACTCTTCATAAATCCAGCCTCTTCAGCCTGACTGCTTCAGGAGGAACAGGAGCCAGTCCTCTGAGAAAGGATGTTGGTGTCTGCACCTGAACCCCATTCAGCAGGGGTCATGGTGGGTTCTCCAAAGTGCCTTCTGGGAGACTAGACATCAAATATGTAGAGTAGGAACTCAAAGAGCTTGGAAGTTAGTTCTTAGTCCTGGATTTGAATCCTGCCTCTGGAAACTGTATAACTTTAGTCATGCTTCATAACTTTTGGAAGACCCAATCTTGACATCTACAAATGAACATTATAGTGCCCACTATTGTGAAGAGTGAGATGGTATACATAAATCTCATAACAACATTCCTGTACATATAAAGAGGCTCAACAAAAATTTAATGGCAATGACAATGAGTGATTCCAAGCTGCAGGCTGATAGCGTTGAAGGATCCTTCAAACATTTGAAGGAAGCCTTTGGAGACATCCTAAAGCAACTCTTTTTCCACCTAGAAATTTAGAGATTGGTTTTTTAAAGTTCTATAGCAAAATCTCAGTTTAAGTGGGCATCTCCTTGGCTGTCCTTTAAACACAAAGCCACCTGCTGTCTTTGCTTTCTCCCCATTCCCCTGCCTGCTTCCATTAATAGTCCTCTCCTGTTTGACACTAGACTTGATGAAAAGATGAGTTTCCTTTGCAGACATAAGAACTGTGTTGTTTCAACAAAAGCTTGCATAATCTTCCTTAGATGTGTTGACAGCATTTTTATCACCTAGACATCCGATTAAAGACTTGAGCATGTCTAGCTTTTAATTGCCTTGCTCACCCACACAGAAGCTGTTTGGAGCGTTAATATGGGCTGTTTAGTACTTTCTGATTGCAACTCTACTGATGTAAACAGCACCCCGGCTCCTTGGTGAGATGAGGAGGGGAGACTTTAAATTTCTTGTTCTTCTCCAGTAAGAATTTCTCAAGAATTTATCACCAAAAAGCTCATACATTTCATAATTACAAAGGCTATATAAAGACCACAAAGAAGAGGTGAAACAACAAAGGCGATGTCAGAAGCAAAAAAAGAGGGAAGGCGGAAAATGATGAGAGAAAGAGATGATGAGGAAAATAGTTATTTGATGGGACCAGTGCAACATCATCATAAGTAAGAAGAGTGTTGAAGGGGGTAGGTGTGTATATTGTGCATCTCCTCTGCATCAGCTACTGTGTCAGAATGAACTGGAATTAAGAGAATGCTAATCCATGCTGGTACTACCCACGCAGGTGGCTGACACAGAGGCCATTTGCAGTCACTTTGGCAACTCTTGTAGGGGCAGAGAAAGTCAAATGTTCCTTGGCACAATTATACCAAGGATATGACAGTCATGCTCATGACAGGAAGAGACTGTCCTCATATTGAGACTGGACTTGCCTCTGTGGGGAATGAGGTCAACGCTTGCCTCAGTAAGGTTGCTTGCTTCATGGATAACTTGTAAGAAAATCCTCTGCAGCTCTCATGGGTTGGGAGATTAGAATGGAATCAGAGTATCCGCCATCATCCTTACCAAAGGGGCCAGAGGACATCGATTAATTTCTAGGCAAATCCCAAGGTGCCCACATTTACAAAATACAAGAGGCTGAGAGAAGCAAAGCCCTTTTCCCCTTTGGCATGCATCTGTGGCAGCACCAAGGGAAAGAGGCAATGTCTGGAGGTAATCAACACCAGTCTAGGCCACACCAAAAAAAGCTCCTAACTCCACACTTGTGAAACAAGCATGTAGCCCTCACTCCTGTTCCCCCACCTGCCATAAAGGCTGCTACCTTCTAATTCCTACCATATAGAAATTCTGAGCTCAATGACAGGAGTGGAATTGCTTGAGGCTCCTGGAATTGTGGGGCTGTAGACTGGGGACTTTGAAAGAAAGACTTAGAGGAGTAAAGGGGAAGAGGGATTGAGAGAACAGAAAGGGAAGTTGACAGAGAGGCATAGTACACATGAGAAACTTCCCTCTCTTTCTCTTTTATTTTTTTAAAGACTTTGTGCACATTGCTTCTCAGCCTTTTGGCTAAGATCAAGTACAGACTTTGTGCACTAGAATTAAGTTGATCATATTCACATAGGTTAACTATAATCATGGATCTATGGAAATTCTCTTTTTCTTTTTTGTCTTCAGACCCATAATTGATTTCATACACATCCTACTGCCTTAGCAGATAGCTAGAGAAGTCTGATGTGAGTCCTGCCTGATCTCTCTCTACCTCTGCAATCTGTCTTTCTGCAGTTCCTACTGCCCGTCATATATGCAAGTGGGCTGTTGGCTTATCCTTCAACTGTATGTCTAGAGACAAGCTCCAACTATCTCTCTCCAATGCCAAAAATCCCACAGGTTGGCTAGGCACGGTGTCTTACACCTGTAATCCTAGCACTCTGGGAGGCCAAGGCGGGCAGATTGCCTGAGCTCAGGAGTTTGAGACCAGCCTGGGCAACACGGTGAAACACAGTCTCTACTAAAATACAAAAAATTAGCTGGGTGTTGTGGTGCGTGCCTGTAGTCCCAGCTACTCAAGTTGCTGAGGCAGGAGAATTGCTTGAACCCAGGAGGTGGAGGTTTCAATGAGCAGAGATGGTGCCACTCCACTCCAGCCTGGGCGACACAGTGAGACTCCATCTCAAAAAGCAAAACAAAACAAAACAAAATCCCACAGGTCATCTTATTGGCTCAGATTGGGCCTGATGCCCAACTCACAACAATCACTCTGGTCAGGGAAGTTGAATCATTTCTCAATATGGCAGCTCCCGGCTGGGCACAGTGGCACATGCCTGTAATCCTAGCACTTTGGGAGTTCGAAGCGGGAGGAATGCTTGAGCGCAGGAGTTCGAGAGCAGCCTGGGCAACATAGTGAGAGGTCATCTCTACAAAAAGTTAAAAAAATTAGCCAGGCATGGTGGCTTGTGCCTGTGATCCCAGCTACTTGGGAGGCTGAGGTGGGAGAATCACAAGTCTGGGAGGTTGAGGCTACAGTGAGCTGAGATTGCACCACCGCGCTCCAGCCTGGGCAACAGAGCGAGACCTTGTCTCAAAATATATACATATATCTGAAATATATATATATATTCACTCTGTTGTCCAGGCAGCCCCCAATCAAGCCACTTGGTTAAAATAGAAGATAGAAGAGAAAGAGCAAGAGAGAGAGTACTAGTTTGGATAGACAAAACAATGGATGTCTACTTGAGGCAATCACTGAAGTTCATGGATTCTTCAGTATACCTTAGGAAGGACTTTTTTATTTTGTGTTAATTTGGTGTTGTGAACCCAACAGCTGATATATATATATCTGATATAATCCTGCACCAGTTTTTCACCTTCTTCACAGTAACCCATCACAACTTTCAATCCTATTCTGTCATTATTCTTTGAGCTACAAGGAAGTAGGGCTAGTAATTTTGATGATACTAATTACAAGACAACAATAATACTAATTACAGCAACTAATTAACAAGAACTCACCAGGTGTTATCAACTCTGCTAAGAGTTAGAAATAAATAAACCTGGCTGGGGGAGGTGGCTCACACCTGTAATCCCAGCATTTTGGGAGGCTGAGGTGGGTAGATCACTTGAGGTCAGGAGTTTGAGAGCAGCCTGGCCAACATGGCGAAACCCTGTCTCTAATAAAAATGCAAAAATTAGCTGGGCATGGTTGCATGCACCTGTAATCCCAGCTACTCGGGAGACTAACGCAGGAGAATTGCTTGAGCTCACGAGGCAGAGGTTTCAGCCAGCCGAGATCACGCCACTGCACTCTACCCCAGGTGGCAGAGTGAGACTCCGTCTCAAAAAATAATAAATAAATAAATAATAAACCAATGCATAGAGTAGTTTGAACAAGGTCATAAAATTAGTACATGACAGAGCCAGAATTTGAACCCAGGTGTGCCTCCTTCTAAAATCATCTTATATTTTGGAGACCTCTATTGACAAGGTATGAGCAAGAGTGTGAGTGCCAAAAGAGCAGGAACTTACTTTTTTTTTTTTTTTTTGAGACAGAGTCTCGCTCTGTCACGCAGGCTGGAGTGCAGTGGCATGATCTCGGCTCACTGCAAGCTGCGCCTCCCAGGTTCATGCAATTCTCCTGCCTCAGCCTCCCAAGTAGCTGGGACTACAGGTGCCCACCACCACACCTGGCTAATTTTTTGTATTTTTTTTAGTACAGACAGGGTTTCACCACGTTACCCAGGATGGTCTCGATCTCCTGACCTTGTGATCCACCTGCCTCGGCCTCCCCAGGTTCTGGGATTACAGGCGTGAGCCACCGTGCCCGGCTGGAACTTACTTAAAAAAAAAAAAAAATTCCTAGAGCACCAACCACAAAGCTTTGCACATCATAGGAACTTAAACATTTACCAAACTGAATGTTGCTCCAAGAGGTCCATCTGGGTTCTTCCCTGGGACAGCCAAGCATTTTCAAGAGCTGCAGCTGCATTTACTTGAAGATTGTTCCATCAGGGAGGTGGGTAGGCTTTTCAGAGTTTGTTGCAAAATATCTGATAGGCAGGTTAGGTTTCATGTGTACTTAAGACAAAAGCATACAATTGTAGTACATGCTGATTTGTGATATTTCTGCTATATTGTACTGTAATACGCACAATTTTCAGATCTGAAGAGATTTATATGTGAGTTCTTGAGCTTTTTCATAGACTAATGACACTAAGTCTATTCATATTGAAATGTCCTATTTTGAGAGGTTAATGAGTCTGTTCAGCTTCTTTTTTTCCACTGACTTGATGGACTTTAAGCAGTCTCTGGATGAGCCCAGCTAAGACTCCAATTAGACACCAAATGCAGTCTCCATGGGAACTCTGCTTTTAAGGTTTAGTTATTATGTTGATATTATTACGGAGGTTCATGGATAAAATAGAGAAGTTGACAAAGATCTAGAAATAAGAAATTTGGGGAGAAGGTGTGTACTGGACTCCACCTTCACTATGGTGAGAACAGGGGCGATGAAAAGCATCTGAGATAAAGGCTTGGTGGAGGCCTCACCAAGAAGCTGATGGGAAGGTTAAACGTGGTAGGGGCGGCAGAGTGGAATGGGAACTCTCTGAGTCCCAATGTGTTTGCAGCAGGTCTGGGTTCCCTCCTGTGGTCCCTGTTGTGTTGTGACCCAGCCTTTTCAGAGAGCTGCAGCCCCGGTGATGGCACTTAGCTAACTTCTAGAGCTTCTAGACTCTATCGGGAAGGAAACCAAAATATTCCTCTTTAACATGCTGGGGATTTTAGTTAAAGGTAAAAGGTCAAAACACAGGAGCTCATGCTGCCCCTCCTCTCTGCTTTTAGCAGTTCAAAACAGAGCTGAGACAGCAGTGCCAGAGAATCTAGGAGCAGACTTCACTCTTCCCATCAATTTACCTTCCCACATTTTCCTGCCTGCAGATACTCTCTTCTTTGTCTTGTCCTTATATAAGATGTATGGCTCTTTGTTAAAATACTACTTAAACAAGGTCCCTAAACCACTGGCTTAAGAGAAAAATACTTTTGAACTTTGGCCTCTCCCATATGATGGATATAACACACTTGAATAGACTTCTGTTTGTTTTTCTTTTGTTAATTTGACTTTTATTTTGGGGAGAATGTCTCAACTAAGAACATTTCAAAAGAAGGAAAAAACTTGTATTTTCTCCCCTACAGTTGTTTAGGCTGCTCAGGCCCCATTGCACCCCTTCTGGAATCTTCACATTTCCTTTGGAAATTCATCCTGCGACTCGATTACTTGTTGGCTCAAGCAGGACTAATTCCGGCGGGCCAGTGGCTCAAATGTGGCCATTGGGAATACTGCATCCCACTGGCCACTTAATTGATTCAGGCTATGCGCATGATCCAAGGTGGCCAATCAGACCTGAGCCAGGCCAATTGAAAAGCCATCCCTAGGAATGTTATCCGAATAATTGTGAAAAAGACTACTTTTTTACCAGTTGCTCAACTGATAAAGCCAGCAGCTGCTGTTAACCATTTTTGCCATCAGAGAGAAGAGGTTTAATGGTACCATTTTAGGCATTGATCCCACCATTTGAGTCTGTAGCTATGTGAGCCAATAAAGTCCCCTCTATGCTTAAGATAGCGTAAGTTGTATTTCTTTCACTTATACCTGAAAAATTCCCAATGTGGAAGCCAACCCCAGTCAATTAATAGTGGCTGCCTGAAGCTCTGTGTTAAGGACTGTAAGGCTGCGTCCTGGCTCAGTAGAAGAAATACTATGATTGATTAGCATTGTTTGCCTTAGGCAAGGGATGAGAAATCAGTGGCATGTGTGCTTTATATATGCCCTTCCTATGTCTGAAATTCTTTCATTGCTGCTGGGCTTTGTGGAATAACTATCAGTTGGTTCATCTGTTAATAGTCATCTTGTCTAATTTCTATGGATGGTGTTCTGCACTGGGTGTTTGTGTCCCCTCAAAATTTATATGTTGAAGCTCTAACCCCTAGTGTGGCCATGCTTGGAGATGGCCTCTAAGAAAGTAATTAAAATTAAATGAGGACATAAGAGTGGGGCCCAAATGCAATCAGATTAATGTTCTTATCAGAAGAGACACTAAAGAGCCTCCTATCCCCACCCCACACTGAGAGAAGGTCATGTAATGACATATAGCAAGAAGGCAGCTGTCTGCAAGCCAGGAAGAGAGCCCTCATCAGAGATCAACACTGGAATCTGGGAATTTTAGCCTCCACAACTGTGAGAAAATAAAGTTCTGTTGTTTAAGCCACCCAGTAACTTGTTCTGGCAGCCCAAGGAAAGTAATACAGATGGTAAAGCAAAATTATGACACATGGTGTGGGGTATTTCTGTTGGTGTGCTCTGACTTTGTGATACAAATGGCCAATATCAGTCAGGACCCAGAGGCTCTTCCCATTTAATTATAAGCTTCTACCAAAGACTGAGACATGTGCACTCAGAGCAGCCATGATAGGGCACAGCCCCTTAGAGTCATTCATTATTCAGATAAAGGGTATATATGTATATATACATATGAAACACTACGTCCCTAACAACTATGAGGATGACATTTGGGAGCTTGGCCATTAAATTTCCTTTAAGCAATACTTTCAATTTTCTAGTCCTGAGCTTTCGTGTGCAGGGATCTGAGGCCAGCATGTTTGGCCCAGAGTATGGACGGGTTTATACTCCTCCAAGCCTTCATCCCATTGACTGAAAAAAGCTTGTTGGTATAATCTGAGTAAATTCTTAAAAATAGAGTAAGTCTATTTTTTATCCATAGAGACCTTTGTAAGCCTTCTCAGGTTCCCTCTATTGCCTCCTTCCTTCTGTCCTTTGGTCAACAGCCCAACCTCCACTGGTACCGGGTCACTCTCCACTTTCAGACTTGAAGGAACCATGGGGTTCCCTGGGTGGCTACCAACAGGTAGTGAAGAAATGTGGGGATCAAAAATAAAATCAGGCCGGGTGTGGTGGCTCATGCCTGTAATTCCAGCACTTTGGGAGGCTGAGGCAGGTGGATCACCTGAGGTCAAGAGTTCGACACCAGCCTGGCCAATATGGTGAAATCCTGTTTCTACTAAAAATACAAAACTTAGCTGGGGGTGGTGGCATGTGCCTGTAACCCAGCTACATGGGAGGCTGAGGCAGGAGAATTGCTTGAACCCAGGAGGCAGAGGTTGCATGAGCCGAGATCATGCCACTGCACTCCAGACTGGGCAACAGAGCAAGACTCCATTTCAAAAAAAATAAAATAAAAATAAAATCAGATCAAGTTAGAAAAATTGTAAAAGCTTATTGTGCATGCAAAAGAACAGTTCTCAAACTGGGAGATTTTGCACTAAAAGTAGTAAGAAGCCCTTGTTTCAGCAGTTACATCACAGTTTATAAAGTACAAAGAAGGAAGTATTTTTTACTTTTTTTCTGATTGGCTGTTAAACATTAACATTCTTTTTAGGGCAAGTAGAGATTTTTAAGCTGATTTGTCTACAGCTGATTTCACTGTATCATGCTGACAAGGATGTAAAGCTTATGTTTTGTGTTTCATTTATATTTACAGCTATTGTTTAGGGGAAATCAGGATGACTTCAGTTTTGGCTATGCAGCTATGGATAGTTGGTCTTGGGTTTCTCTAAATTGTGGCTTCCATTTTTATTTTTCTTTAGCAGCAGGAAGTAGCTCCCTGTGAGGTGAATGCTGACCCCAAGAACAGGTGATGTTGAACCAAACAGATCAACCCACACTCCTTTCTGTGTTCCAGGGACTACACTGTAACAAGGGCAGCTCTCTTTGGTCATTATTTTGGAAAAGTCCAATGTGCTGAGCAGACATGCCTGCTAAGCCATCCACTCTGCTGCTTCTCGGCTTGCCATGCCATGGTATCCAGTGTGGTAACATGTTGCAGTATGCTGTTTTGCATCTTTTCTTACCCCTTCCTCACTCTCACTACCCAGGCTTGGCACTTCTCAAGCAACTAGTGCCAGTAGTTTAAGCTCTGTTTCAGGCTTTGCTTTTGAGAGCACTTAAGCTAAGAAATCCTTCTTCTTGATGGCTTTTCTAGGATTCACCCAGGTATTTGATCAAGTTCAGACTATTGAAATCCTTGTTCCTCCATGCAATTTATGCCCAATTATAGTAACAACCACATTTGGCTAAAAACAAATAAAAAGGGAAACAAGACAAGGAAAGATGCAAAGCAATACAAAAATTTGCTGTCACTCACTGAAGCCTTTCCCTGTAAGGTAGAGAGTTGTATTATGTCATTTTACAGGTGACAAAACTGAGACTCAGAGATGCTTTTTAATTTAAGTGATTGAACTGGAACTCTTACCCCATTTTCTGAATGCTCATTCCAGCACTGGTAGCTTTCAGGACCACATCTTAAATTCCTTACTCTAGTAAGCCTCCAGGAAAAAGCAACAGGGTCACCTCACATATCATTAGTGTGTGCTTGGGCAGAACTCCAGGGGCTCTTACTGTTTATGAGTGAGACAGCTACCAGCCCCACTTATGTTGAGACCATTTCCTTTCCTCCAAGAGTTGACTTTCTGCCTTGGGTCTTCTCAGTGGGGAAAATGGTGCTATGTCAACTGTACGTTTAGCAAGGGTCCCTCAGAGCAAGGGCTAGGGTGCTTGTAGGCTTGCAGAAGGGCTCGCAAGCTGAAATCTGTTTTTTTCCTCTTTGACAGCCATCTCTTCTTTGACAAAGAGATTAGCAAGCTGTCCTTTGTTGCTTGCTTCTCTTCTTCCTTGATCACCCCATTGACTTCTGATCATTTTGCCATCAGCTGTAGGCAAGAAAGGAAAGGTGCCACTCTAGTCAGCCTGTTTGCTATTGATAGATGTTGCAGGTAAAGATTTCACGAGGGAGAGATGCTCGCATTGCATGGGGGTTTCTTTAACCCAGTGCTACTCAACAGTTGGCTCCAAACTAGCAGCATCAGCAGCATCTGGGCATTTGTTTAAAATGCAGAATCTCAGGTCCCTCCTCTGACCCTGCAGACCAAAATCTCTGCTGGAGGAGCCCAGGGGTCTGTGCTTTAACAATCTCTCTGGGTGACACACATCTTCAATGAAGGTTAAGAATCTTTAAATGATTTTCTTCCTCTCCCCCTAAGTACAGGTATTGAGCATTGGCTAAATTACCAAAGGGGCTTCATATGACAATTGGAGAGGCAGCATGTGGAGGAGAGAATGATGGGCTTTTGAATTTGGCAGAGTAGATTTCATTTTCTATACTCCACTTGCATTGTGATCATGAACTAACCTTTCTGAGCCTCAGATTCCTTAATAATGACATAGAAGTAATTATTACTGCTTTTTAGGGTTATCATAAGGATTATATGAGATATTAATTTGATAAGCCTTTGCTGCATGGTAGGAGCTCAATAAATTGTTGCCAAAGTAGTGATAGTAATCATCATGTCATCGTCGTCATCTTTAGTAGTGAATTTGGGGTGTGCTGTAAACACTTGATGTGCCTTCTGGCTTCATGGTTAACTTCATGGTTAACAACACCACTGTTAACTTTGGGAAATAACCAGCTGTGATGGTTGGGTTTGTGTGTCCACTAGGCCAGGCTATAGTACCCAGTTATTCAATCAAACACTACCCCAGCTGTTGCTGTGGAGGAATTCTGCAGACGTTGTTCATATCTACAGTTACATAGAGGAGATCCTCTTGGATCATGTGGATGAGCCTCACCCAACCAGTTGAAAGGCCATAAGAGCAAAACTGAAGTTTCTCTGAGGAAAAACAAATTCCGCTGGGTGCAGTGGCTCACACCTGTAATCCTAGCACTTTGGGAGGCCGAAGCAGGCAGATCACTTGAGGCAGGAGTTTGAGACCAGCCTGACCAACATGGAGAAACCCCATCTCTACTAAAAATACAAAATTAGCCAGGGTGGTGGTGCATGCCTGTAATCCCAGGTACTCAGGAGGCTGAGGCAGGAGAATCACTTGAACCCATGAGGCGGAGGTTGTGGTGAGCCAAGATTGCACCATTGCACTCCTGCCTGGAAAATAAGAGCAAAACTCTGTCTCAAATAAAAAATATTCTGCCTCAGGACTTCAGCATTAACTCCTGCCTGAGTTTTCAGCTTGCTGGACTGCCTTAAGGATTTCAAACATGCCAGCCTCCACAATCTCACAAGCCAATTCCTTGAAATAAATCTCATCTACCAGCTTTATGAATTTCACCTGTTCAGGGTAGAACCCAAAAAACTCAGCTCCCCAGTGTCCTCTGCTGCTGGGACACAGGCCTGTGATCTACAGGCCAATGCTCAGACTTGCCTGTGTGAGATCTGATTTTGGAAATGAGCATCTCAAAGGAGGCTGCATCTAGAACCTTCCACAGGGTGGTGGCAGAGGCATCTGGCTTTCAGGATCAGCAGTGTGTGCAAAGTCACTTCTTGAGAGAGAAGCAGCCTGGGAGAGGAGGGTCCTCTAGAGCCAGAGGTGGCAGCACCCTCATCAATTCAGTTCTGCAGTGTGATTCTGGAAGCTTAGCCTTGAGCGTCTCTAGCCTCACAACACTTCTGTGAGCTGTGGTAATGTGTTCTTAATAAATTCCTTTTCTACCTAGTCAGATTCAGCTTCTCACCATCTGTATTAGTTTGTTCTCACATTGCTGATAAAGACATACCTGAGACTGGGAAGAAAAAGAGATTTAATGGACTTACAGTTCTACATGGCTGGGGAGGCCTCACAATCATGGCGGAAGGTAAAAGGCACATCTCACATGGTGGCAGACAAGAGAAGAGAGCTTGTGCAGGGAAACTCCCATTTTTAAAATCATCCGATCTTGTGAGACTTATCCACTATGACAAGAACAGCAGGGAAAAGACCCACCTCCATGATTCAGTTATCTCCCACTGGGTCCCTCCCACAACACATGGGAATTATGGGAGCTACAAAATGAGATTTGGGTGGGGACACAGCCAAACCATATCAACATCAGACACCTGACAATTCTGAAATTGGGACTAGAAGTCATTGCCAGATCTAGAACCTTGGGGAGGAATGTGGAGTTGGTGATTTGACCCAGGTGGAAGGGACAGGGCTGAAGCTCCAGCTAGCATTAAGGAATGGAACCCCAGCTGTCCAAGGCATAAGTCTCAAAAACTGAATTCAGCTGTTTCCCAGGGTCACCTGGGATGAAGTGCTCATTGAAGGCAAAGCTTAGGGAGATTTAATGGTGCTGCCACTGAATACATAAGTGTGAGAAATTCCAGACCTGTGAGGATAAATTGTTCCCAGCGGCATTGGACAGCTTAATGAGAGACACCTTGCCCCCACCAATCCGCTTTTGTCAGAACAGTATCCCCTCCTTCCCTGTTTGAAGAGGCTCTGCCTGCCTTGCTTGAGGCTCTCAAATGTCACACTTACAGAAGTTGCTTAGCTTGGAAAAGTCAAATCTCTACAGGTTCGCCTCACCCCTGCCACCATCACTGTCTTTCAACCTATAAGCAAAATCAGACCTCAGCAGTTACAGGAGCCAAATACAAAGTCTATCCTGGGAAGAAAGGGCATCTATATTAAAAGAATTGCAAGAACTTGCAATTTTGTGCCAGAAAGAAGCATAGAAGAATGTATGTTTAATGTGTTTAAAATGGATTCTAAAGATTCTAGACCAAGGAGAAGGGAACATAATTTAGTTAGGGCTGAATTTATCAGTAGAAGAAATGCTCTGGCCAGAGAGATTCTGTGTTTAATATGCTATCTTGAGCTGATGGTTGCAGTTCTAATTACTCTTTCTAATTGATTAGTTGACTTAATCCTGAATCCAGTGGAAACCAACATAAAATGAAGTTTCAGAAATTCCATGATGTAATGTAAAACAGTGGGTCTCAAACCTAGCTACACATTAGAATCACCTAAGCTTTTCAAAATACTGATGCCAAGGTCTAGCCCCAGAACAATTAAATCAGAATATCCATGGACAGGGCCTGAGCATTGGTATCTTTTCAAAACTACCCAGGTGATTAAAATGTGTATCCAATGGGTAATGCAGAGGAATGAGATAAATGTAGAACTAGATTAATTCTATGAGATCCACTTACCCTGCCCTAACTATGTCTCTGGAAAGGGCTCTGAAGACAGTCTCTTTGCCAAAATATTGAGAATTACATTGATAGGGAAAGAAACAATCTTTGAGAGGTGCTATTGTAGCTCTCACATGCAGGTGGGGTGTGCTAGTGGGAGAGACTGCATTAAAATGGGTTCCTTGACATGGGAGCAGGGCAGGAGGAAGGGGTGAAAGGATACAGAGATGGCTGTGCCAAGAGGTGGTACCCAGCTTCCAGAAGATGCTTCAGGGTCACAGCAATCAGCAGGGAAGCTGGGGCGGCACTCAGAATACCCTAACCCAGAGCTTTTTGGAGTAGCTAATTGAGCACGGGGTTCTTAGGACTAAAGTAGATTGGCATCTACCTATGGTCCTACTTGATCCTTATAACCATAAAACTCTAGTTTGGTGAGTTAGAGCTTGAGCACCAGAACAGTTCCCAGATCTGAGTTATTTAAAAGACCCAAGGCCCCTTGATAATATGATAATATCAGAAGTATGTACATTAAATCTTACACATAGCCTGAGAGAAACTGCCTTCTTCCAATGGCAGTGGAAGCTCAGTGAGAGAGCTGCCAAGCCCCATAATCCTTTGATCATGCAGTCAGCCTCTACTAAGGCTGACTCTTCTTCCCTTGCTGGAGGCCCTGTAATGATATCACCCAGAGAGGTTACTTTTATGGGAAAATCCAAATCTCTTCAAGCTCCCCTCAAGCCCCACCATCACTAAATTCCCAAAATGACTTGTAGCCACAGATCAGGGTAACTGTGTTTTAGGGAAAGGAAGATAATCAGATCATTTGAGAAGAATTGAACATCTTTTCTGAGAGACACAGCAGTCCACTGTGGTCTTTTGGGACAGAAAGAATTAGTCCACCTTAGTCAGCCCGCTGACATCTTAAACACTTATATCCTAGCACATAGTGCCTCACTTCTCAGTTCCTGAGTATATAGCTGGACTAGATATATTCAACAAGAAGCAGAACCTTGACTCTGACTGTATAGTAGAACACTGACTCTATGACCTCAGACTAAAGGCAATTATAGTAGAAAGAGCCATGAGGGAGCCCCTGGAGCTTCTCTTCCATTCCAAAACTGTAAACCAAAAACATGCATCCATGAGGAAATTGGTTAATATTAATTAAAAATTAATATTTAAGATATTCAAAGATGTGGAAGATATAGGAGTATTGAGCTCAATCATATTCCCCCATTTAATCAATTTTAACCAGTGAAGATAAAAGATGGGTCTTGGATAATAAAAACAAATTATCATAAACTTAATTAAGGGAGGACCACAACTGTAATTTAATTAGTTTAAATATAGATCTTTATTTCAGCAAATAAACATAGTCTCTGGAACTGTGGCTATTCATCTGTAAAAAAAATTCTTTATTCTACTAAGCAGAGAAAAACTGGAAGCAGTTTGTTTTCACTTGACAGGAATAGTAGCATACCTTCACCATTTTAACTTTGGGCTATGTCAGCTCTCACTCTGATCCAAAATTTGTTCTACAAGAATCTAGTTAATTTCAACATCCCACAAGACATCATATGTTACATTGATGATATCATGCTTACAGAATCCAAACAGCAGGCAGTAGCAGGCATCCTAGAGTCCTTGGCAAGACACATGGATGCCAGAAGGTGAGAAATAAATCCCATGAAGATACTAACTCTTGACACCTTGGTGAAGTTTCTGGGTATACAGTAATCTGGGAAATAACGTAATGATTCCTTTAAAATGAAAGACAAGGTAGTTGTACCCAATAGCAAGAAAAGGACACAATAAGCCATGTGCGGTGGCTCACACCTGCAATTCCAGCATTTTGGGAGGTTGAGGTGGGCAGATCACTTAAGCCCAGGAGTTTAAGACCAGCCTAGGCAACATAGTGAAACCCCATCTCTAAAAAAAAAAATACAAAAAATTAGTCAGGCATGGTGGCACATGCCTATAGTTCCAGCTACCCAGGATGCTGAGATGGGAGGATCACCTGAGCCCAGGAGATCGAGGCTACACTGAGCTGTGAATTGAGCTACTACTACATTTCAGCCTGGGTGACAGAGCAAGACCCAGTTTCAAAAAACAAACAAACAAACAAACAAAAAACCGGGGGTGAGGATGCACAATGCTCATTTGGCTGTTCTGTTTTTAGGAGGAAACACATGCTACAATTGAATGTGTTGTTCCAACTTATTCACCAAGTCACTCAAAAGACTACCAGCTTTGCATAGGGCCCAGGATAAGAGACAGCTCTCCAGCTAGACCAGGTTGTGGTGCAAGACGCTCTTCCTCTTGGAGATAATAACCCAGAAGATTCATTGGTGTTCACACTGTGTATGGCAGACTGAGATGCTATGTGAGGCATATAGTAAGCACCCATAGGATAATTACAGTGCACACTCAAGAATTTACAAGAAGAACCAAGTCATCTTCATAAACAGCTATTTTCTTTTTGAGAAAAAAAACTCTTGTTTTGCTTCTGAGCTTTAGTAGAGGCTGACTGCATAATCAAAGGATACCAAGTGGCCATGAGATCTAAACTTCCTATGAATAACTGGATATTATCTGATATGCCAAGCCATAAAATCAGGCAAAGTGGAAGTAGTACATATGGGATGGGTGTGGGCAGCTCTGAAACCACTGATGAGTTGCATGAGTAGAATGTTCACATTCTCCAGTGCAACTTCTCTAGTTGAGCGGCCACCTGTCCTTCAACCCACACCCTTGACCTCATAGGAAGTTCCTGTGACCACTGACTGAAGAGATAGATGGTCAAGTGTAGCTTATAGATGGCTTTCCACTTTCTGTAATTTTATATAAACTCATTCGGATGTGACTTTAAAAGGCAGTAAGAAGGGGAAAACTGCCAGAGGGAAGAACTTTGAGTTATCTACTTTTTCTGGAAGGAAAGATGGCCAGAGGAATGGATCTATTATGATTCATGGGCTATGGCTAATGGTTTGGCTAATTGGTCAGAAATTTGGATCCAACAATATTGGAGGATTGGCATCAGAAAATCTGAGGAAGAGGTATGTGAATAGGTCTCTTAGAATGGGTACAAAGTGTGTGATAATATGGTATCCCATGTGACTATTCAGAAAGAGGACTCTTCTGTGGAGTATCCCTTAAAAAATGAGATGGACAATCTGACAATGGATGTTAATTATCTCTGTCATTCCATTGGGCTCTTGAACAAAATGGCAATAGTAGCACATACAGAGATTATACATGGGCTCAGTAACAGGGACTCCCGTCACCATGCTGATCTGCCATAACTGTTTCCCCAGTTTGCCAGCAGCAAAGATCATTGTTGAGCACCTCTATGGCACCTACATCAGGAGAATAGCAATTACCTGGTGGCAGACTGTTTACATATTTTCAGAGTATATGTGATAATTTAATACATTCATATAATTTTTGAAGATCAAATCAGTGTAATTGGGATATCCATCACCTTAAATATTTGTCTTTTATTTATTTGAGTGTTTAAAAAATTGAATTATTCTTTTCTAGCTATTTTGAAATATACAAATTATTGTAAGCTATAGTCACCCTACTGATCTATCAAATACTAGGTCTTATTTCTTCTACCAAACTGTATATTTGTGCCCATTAATCAACCTCTCTTCATTCCCCCCTCCCCCATATTCTTCCTGGCCTCTGGTAGCCATGGATCTACTCTGTCTTCATGGGATCCACCTTTTTAGCTCCCACATGTGTGGGAACATGCAATATTTGTCTTTATGTGCTTGGCTTACTTCACTTAACATAATGATCTCCAGTTCTATCCGTGTTGCTGCAAATGACAGGATTTCATTCATTTTTATGGCTCAACATATTCCATT
Organism: Homo sapiens; assembly: GCF_000001405.40. NCBI lineage: Eukaryota > Metazoa > Chordata > Mammalia > Primates > Hominidae > Homo > Homo sapiens. The sequence goes on along the minus strand of NC_000003.12, from coordinate 45,282,502 downwards.
GTGTATATATTCCACATTTTCTTTATCCATTCATCCATTGATGAGCACTTAGGTTGATTCTATATTTTGGCTATTGTGAATAGGACTGCAATAAGCATGGGAGTGCAGATTTCTCTTTGATATACTGATTTACATTCTTTTGGATTCACACCCTGTAGTAGAGTTGCTGGATAATATGATAGTTCTATTTTTAGTTTTTAAAGGAACTTCCATACAATTTTCCATAGTGGCTGTATTAATTTATAATACATCCCAATCAACAGCACACAAGGGTTCCCTTTTCTCTACATTCTTGCCAGTATTTCTTATTCCCTGTGTTTTGATAAAGACCGTTTTAACTAAGGTGAAATGATATCTCATTGTGGTTTTTATTTGCATTTCCCCGATGATTAGTGATGTTAAGCATTTTTTTCAAATACCTGTTGGCCATTTGTATGTTTTATTTTGAGAAATGTCTGTTCAGATCTTTTGCCCATTTTTAAATAAAAAAAAAATTTTGGCCAGGCGCGGTGGCTCATGCCTGTAATCCCAGCACTTTGGGAGGCCAAGGTGGGTGGATCACGAGGTCAAGAGATCGAGACCATCCTGGCCAACATGGTGAAACCCTGTTTCTACTAAAAATACAAAAAATTAGCCAGGCATTGTGGCACATGCTTGTAGTCCCAGCTACTTAGGAGGCTGAGGCAGGAGAATCGCTTGAACCCAGGAGGTGGAGGTTGCAGTGAGCCGAGATCGCATCACTGCACTCTAGCCTGGGCAAAAAGAGCGAAACTCCGTCTCAAAAAAAAAAAAATTTTTTTTTGGCTACTGAGTTGCTTGAGCTCCTATATTCTGGTTATTAATATCTTGTCAGATGAATACTTGCAAATATTTTCTTCTATTTTAAGGATTGTCTCTTGACTTTGTTGATTGTTTCATTTGCTGTGAAGAAGCTTTTCAGCTCAATGTAATCCCATTTGTCTATTTTTGTTTTGGTTGCCTATGCTTTTGAGGTTTTACACAAAACGTCTTTGCTAATACCAGTGTCCTGGAATGTTTCCCCCAATGTTTTGCTTTAGTAGTTTTATAGTTTCAAGTCTTAGATTTAAGTCTTTAATCCATTTGGAAATGATTTTTGTATATGGTGAGGGATAAGGGCCTAGTTTTATTCTTCTACATATGGATATCCAGTTTTTTCCAGCACCAATTCTTGAAGAGACTGCCCTTCCCTTGTTGGATGTTCTTGGTGCCTGTATCAAAAATGAGTTGGCTGTAAATATGTGGACTTATATCTGGGCTTTTTATTCTGTTTCATTGGTGTATGTGTCTGTTTTTATAGCAGTACCATGCTGATTTGTTTACTGTAGCTTTGTAATATAATTTGAAGTCAGATAGTGTGATGCCTTCAGCTCTGCTCTTTTTGCTCAGGATTACTTTGACTATTCAAGATCTTTGGTCATTCCATATAAATTTTAGGATTTTTTTTCATTTCTGTGAAGAATGTCATTGGTATTTTGATAGGTATTTCATTAAATCTATAAATTGCTTTGGGTAGTATTGTCATTTTAACAACATTAATTATTCCAATCCATGAACATGGAATGTCTTTCCATTTTCGGTGTCCTTTTCTGTATTTTTCATCAGCATTTTACAGTTTTCCTTGTATAGAACTTTTATTTCTTTGGTTAAATTTATTCCTAGGCATTTTATATTATTTGCATTTATATATTATTATAAATGGAATTGCTTTCTTGATTTCTTTTTCATATTGTTTCTTGTTGGTGTATGTAAATACTACTGATTTTTGTATGTTGATTTTGTATCCTGCAAATTTACTGAATTTATTTATCAGTTCTAACAGTTTTTTTGGTGGAATATTTAGGTTTTTCTGAATATAAGATCATGTCATCCGTGAACAAGGCTAATCTGACTTCTTCCTTAGCAATTTATATGCCCTTTATTTCTTCCTCTTGCCTAATTGCTCTTGCCAGGACTTCCAGTATTATGTTGAATAAAAGTGATGAGAATGATCATCCTTGTCTTATTTCAGATCTTAGAGAAAAGGCTTTCAGTTTTTCCCTGTTGAGCATGACATTATGACTCATGGGTTTGTCATAAATGGCCTTTTTTGAGGTATGTTCCCTTTGATGAGAACTTTTATCATAAAGAGATATTGAATATTATCAAATGTTTTTTCAGCATCTATTGAAATAATCATATCATTTTTGTTCTTGATTCTGCTAATGTGATGTATCAATTTATTGACTTGCATGTGTTGAACTATCCCTGAATCTCTGAGATGAATCCCACTTGATCATGGTGAATGATATTTTTAATGCGTCATTCAACTCTATTTTGTTGAGGATTTTGGCAACTATGTTCATCAGGAATATTGCCCTGTAGTTTTCTTTTTTTGTCATGTCCTTGCCTGGTTTCGATGTCAGGGTAATGCTGTCCTCATAGGAAAAGTTTGGGAGTATCTCTCATCTTCAATTTTTTTTGAAGAGATTGAGTAGAATTGGTATTACTTCTTGAAATGTTTGGTAGAATTCAACAGTGAAGCCATCAGGTAGGTCCTGAGCTTTTCTATGATGGGAGACTTTTTCTCATGGCTTTGATCTTGTTTCTCATTGTTGGTTTGTTGAGGTTTTCTGTTTCTTCATGGTTCAATCTTGGTTGGTTGTATGTGTCCAGGAATTTATCCATTTCTTCTAGGTTTTTCCATTTGTTGGTATATAGTTGTTCGTAATAGTCTGTAATGAGTCTTCGTATATCTGTGGTCTCATTTTTTATGTTTCCTTTTTCACTTCTGATTTTCTTTATTTGGGTCTTATCTTTTTTTCTTAGTTATTCTAGCTAAAGTTTCGTCAATTTTGTTTTTTTTTTTTTCAAAAACCCAACTTTTCATTTTGTTGATCTCCCATATTTTTTAGTCTCAATTTCATTTATTTTTGCTCTGATCTTAACTATTTATTTCCTTCTGCTAATTCTGGGTTTAGTTTGTTCTTGCTTTTCTAGTTCCTTGAGGTGTATCATTAGATTGCTTATTTGAAGTCTTTCTACCTTTTTGATATAGGCACTTAAACTTACCTATTAGTACTGCTTTTGTTGTATCCTATAGATTTTGGTATGTTATACTTCCATTTTCATTTGTGTCAATATTTGTTTTCATTTCCTTCTTAATTTCTTAATTGACCCATTTGTCACTCAGGAGCATGCTGTTTAACTTCCATTTTTGTGTAGTTGCTAATGTTACTCTTATTATTGATTTCTAGTTTTATTCCATTGTGGTCAGAAAAGATACTTCACATAATTTCTGCTTTTCCTAATTTGTTCAGGCTTGTTTTGTGGCCTAAGATGGAGGCTATTCTGGAGAATGTACCATGTGTTGATGAAAAGAATTTGTATTCTGTAGCAGTTAGATGGAATGTTCTGTAAATGTCAATTAGGCCTATTAGGTCTAGTGTACAGGTTGACACTGGTGGCTTTTTGTTGTTTTTCTGTCTCAATGATCTGTTCATTATCGAGAGTGGGGTTTTAAAGTCCTCTACTCATATTGCATTGCAGTCTCTCTCCTTTTAGATCTCCCTTTAGATTAGTGTTTGCTTTATATTTTTGGGAGTGAGAGATCAGTCAGTGAGAGAATATAACAAGTGTTGGGTGCATAGATATTTACACTTGTTATATTCTCTCACTGACTGATCCTTTTATCATCATATAGTGACCTTATTTGTCTCTTTTTACAGTCTTTGGTTTGTAGTCTAACTTTATCTAATTATAGCTACTCCTGCTCTTTTTTTGTTTCCAGTTGCATGGAATATATTTTTCCACTCCTTCACTTTCAGTCCATGAATACCTTTATAGATGAAGTGAGTGTTTTGTAGGCAGCATATAGTTGGATCTTGTTTATTTATCCATTTGGCTAGTGTATGCCTTTTAATTGGAGAATTGAGGCCACTTACATTCAGTGTTATTACTGACAAGTAAGGACTTACTACTGCCATTTTGTTGCTTGTTTTCTGGTTGTTTTGTAACTCTCCTCCTTTCTTACTGTCTTCCTTTGTGGTTAAGTGATTTGCTCTGGTAGTATGTTTCATTGCTTTTTTTTCTTTTTTTCTCTCCTCCTCCCTAATTCATTGCTTTTTATTTTTAGTAAATCCTTTACAGGTTTTTGCATTGTGGCTTACAAAAAAATCTTATAACAAGTTATTTTAGAGGGATAATGACTTATTTTAGGTCATAAAGAAAAGAATATAAATTAACAAAGAAAAATGGGGAAAAACTACACTTTAACTCCATCCCACTTTTTTACTCTATGTTGTCTCAATTTACATACTTTTATACTATCCGTCTCTTAGGTTGCCATAGGTATTATTGTCTTAGATAGATTTGTCTTTTGGGCTTCATAGTAGAGTTATGAGCAAATTGTATACCATAATTACAGCATTGGAGTATTCTGGGTTTTTCCATGGACTTAATTTTGTTATTGGGCTTTATGCCTTCAAATGTTTTCTTTTGGTACATTAGTATGTTTTCCTTTCAGATTGAAGAACTTCCTTTAGCATTGCTTGTAAGACAGGTCTGGTGGTGGTGAATTCTCTCAGCTTCTGTTTGTCTAAGAAAGATGTTATCTCTCCTACATATTTGAAGGATAGCTTTGCTGGATACAGTATTCTTGGAGAGCAGAGTTTGTTTTTTTCTTTCCAGGACTTTGAAAATGTCATTCCACTCCCTGCTGGCCTGTATGGTTTCTGTTGAGAAGTCTGTTGCCAGGTGAATTGGAGTTCCTTTATATGTTATTTGCCTCTTTCTATTGCTACTCTTAGGATCTTCCCTTTGTCCTTGACCTTTGAGAGTTTAAATATTATATGTTTGGGTTAGTTTTATTTGGGTCAAATCTATTTAATGTTCTCTGACCTTCCTGTACCTGGATATTTTTATCTTTTTCAAGTTTTGGAAACTTTTTCTTTGAATAAGCTTTATACCCCTTTCTTTTGCTCAGTGTCCTCTTGAACACCAATAATTTTTACATTTGGTCTTTTGAGTCATTTTCTGTATCTGTCAATCTTCATCCTTTTTCATTCTTTTTTCATTTTTGCTCTCTGACTAGGTATTTTCCAATAGCCTGTCTTCAAGCTCACTGATTCTTTCCTCTGCTTGATCCATTCTGCTATCAAGAGCTCTAATGAATTTCTCAGTTTTGCAAATGTATTTCTCAGTTCCAAGATTTCTATTTGATGCTTTCGTTATTTCAATATTTTTGTTAAATTTCTATGATAAATTTCTGAATTGCTTTTCTCTGTTATCTTAGAGATTACTGAGTTTCCTTAAAATGTCTATTTTGAATTCTTGGTCAGATAATTTGCATATTGCCATCTTGTTAGCATCAGTCACTGGTTCCTTGCTTTGTCTGTTGAGGAGGTCACAGTTTGCTGTGTGCTGTTGTTTCTTGTGGATGTATATCTATTCTTTGGGTTGAAGGATTAGTTATTTATTGTAGTCTTATCTGTCTGACTTGCTTTGGATTTTATCAGATATGTTTGCTTAAAGAGTCTTTGTAATTTACCTGTGGATTTTCTTTTTTACTGCTAGGTTGCTGCCTCCTTTTTGATACTAGATGGCACGTTAAGCCTAGATTTGCCTAGGTTCTAGTAAACAATCAGAGTGATGCCTGTCCCAAATGGGGATAACTCCGTAGTGTGGGAAGGCTGCTTAGGGTTTTGTGCCTAGAGGACCTGTGGAATGAACCTTCTACAGCATGGTGCTGCTGAACAGTCAGTCTGATTTGGCATCCTCTTTGGCCACATTACAAAGGGTTTCCAGGGCTGGAGATGGTAGTCCTGTCCCCCTACTTCATCTCCAGCTATTTCAGGGATATTTCTCCCTTCAGGCAGTGGTGATGCTTCTCATGGGTTGAGGCAGGGACAGGTCTACTCCCAGGGAACCCAAGATAGTGGAGAAACTGGGATCCACCTTGATGTCACTTTTTCCAGCGTAGAAACCATGAGTGAAGGGGCAATGTTTTATGTGCTTGGTACTGAGCAGATTAGGGTAAGAAGCATCACAGATATGGAAGACTAAATCTCTTACGGTCTACTGGGAGTTTTTTCACTTCTCTCTGGCCCCAGAAACTGTCTTATCCTTATATTTGAGTTCTGGGATATTATTGGTGATAAGCTTGGTGCTATATATTTGTTTTTTTGGTTTTATATGGAGGAGTAAAGCCAGCTTGCTTCTACACCACCATTTTGGAACGAAAAGTTGAAAGGTTTTCTCCCCTTCCATCTTGAAGGGAGCAAGGATTCGTCCTCAGGTAATAATAATCCACTCTGGATGTGAATTTGCCTTCTATGGCTGTCACATTTCTTCCAGTAACATCTCCAGTAGACTTACTGAATGCTTTACTTCACCATAATAATACCCCATGCCACATTGCATCTCAGCAAGAACTTATTTTAGAATAAAAGAAGTGAGGAAATGAGATGAAAAAATATGGCATTCACAGGTCTTACAGAAGGTTAGAATATTTAATGAAGACTCAGTAACAGCATTCACTGAGAGAAAACGTCTTGTGAGGTTGGGCTGCTATCCTATACAATGAGCCCATGCTTTGAATTAGAAACTAGTGTATGGCTCTGGGTCTCCCACAGGCCAAATACACCAGTCTGGGGAACCAGTAGGTAGAAGTGAGATGGTATCTCTCACTAGTACACATTAGCACTTGCAAATGCTTCATTTCCTATTTGTATTGGTTATTCCATACATGTTCTCCCACATCCATTCTTCCACTTTTCTATTCTGCTATATCTCTGAAGACTGTCTCACTTGGGCTGCCACGCTGACTCGCTTCTCTTTGGATCAGCCAATGACATTACCAGCAGGTAAGCAGAGAGCAGAGGAGAGAGAGAGCTCAGGGTATTTCCTCTCCATTTCCTCCCTGCTTCAGCATTGCATCTTTGTCAAGGGCCACCTTTTTCCATAGCTCTAGCTGCCGCTGGGCAATTTCACCCCAGCTCTGCTCTCACTAGACTCAGGTCACACTATTTCCTCTCCTACTCCTAGACATGGTAATGGCTTCCTGCTGTTTATTAGCCTCTGGGTGCCTCGACATCCATTGTTAGTGTCTTTAACCCTGCCTGCATCTCTTAGAGGTCCCTCAGTAAAGTCTCTTCATTTAAATAAAATGAATTGAATTCTATTTCCAGCTAGGATACATTATTTCTGCAACTCTGTGTTTTGCTGGCTTCAAGTGCCAGTACCCAAGAGAGGAGACAAAAGAATAGTTTTATTGTATTGAAAACTGAGGCTGCCATCTGTCCACTTCAATACTTTCATGCCAAACAGGCTAGAGGTAGGCTGCAGTGACAGGTGCTATTTTATAATAGGGCCTGGGAGCGATTCCACCTACACCACAGGGAGATAACACCTGGTAGTGTTAGGTCTAGTGTTTAAAAAACATACACTAATGGAAGACTTTACTAATCCCATTCAAGGAGGACCACCAAGAACTTAGATTTTTCAAAAATCAGGTTGGGGTAGCTCACTGGGTAAAGAACTCTGTTCAGCTGAGGTGCCCCTAAAGAGAAGGGGGATATGGAATAGATTTTAGAACAAGGATGTCATAAGTCACACATCAACTAAGGCTATGTGAATGTGTTGGGCAGAAACAAAGGCTGAAGTAGCTATTCATATTTTCTACCATGTATGTATTTTAGTTCTTTTTGTTCCTTTACCTATTCCCCTACTGTTTTTATGATTTATTCCCCAGGTAATAGACTACCAGAATGGGATTACAATGGACTCAGAGGAGAAATATGTATCACCCGGACGTAATCTGGCTTTAGAGCCTGATGCAGTACCTGATGATAGTTTGAACTGACTACCTGACCTCTAGACTCCCTGTTATATAGAATATGATTCTTCCTTATTCTTTAAGCTACCTGAACTCAGAGAGTTACTGATGGCCAAACACATCTTAACTGATACACGTATGCTCCACTAAGTAAATGAAGTTAAGTCAATTACACTTGGGACAGTGCTTGGCACATGGGATCCTTCTCACTGTGAATTCTGGGATATGGTTGCAACTGTCTATTCCGCAGTGGGAGAAGTCAGTGGGGGCTTCAGTGCTCAGGGAGGTTTCATGGAGGAGGAGGTCAGGTGTGATGTTCAGCCTGGTTATGCTGAACATCATGCTCAGCATGATGGGAAGAGTCATGCTGTTGGGCAGACCTCTGATTAGAGCCATGGCAATTGTACAACAAAGGCAGACTGACCTGAACGAAGGACAAGGCAGCAATCTTGAGCATGTGCCTCTATGAGAGGGGCTGTGGGTAGTGCAAGCTCAATGTGGAAGGAGAAAGAAGGAATTAGTCAAGTTTATGCCTTTGCTTCTTCATTAGTCATGAGGAATGCTCCCTGCATAGAAGAATCAGAAGTAAAGCAAGAATGAGTTGCTACCATATGTGGTTTCCCTCTGCCCTTGGGATACATAGAAAATAATGTTTTGCTATGAACTAATGACTTGACCATTTTGGCCTTCAAGAGATAGTGGCAGCAGTAGATACAGTTGCTGTCTCATCAGTATCTCTTTACCAGGCCACCACACCCATCCCCCATCTGCAGTGCATGCTGACTGCTAATGACACAGCTGTTTCTTTCTCCAGAGACTTCCTTCTCCAGAGCCACCTCATCCTGAAAAGCCTGAGAGGTTACGTCCTCCCCTAAGGGGAGCCCACAGCCAGTGATGACTGACATGGGGACCTAAAGGCCAAAGGGCTTCCCTGCAGTTGGGACAACTGCATGTGAGCTCCCCACGGGATCAGGCTGAGTTAGACTTCAGCTGAAGCTATATGTTTGCCCAGCTTCTTCTCTGCCCCATTCTAACTCCTCAGTCCCTTACAGGTTTTATCTGGGAGCAGTCCCCCAGTCAATCCTTTTCTCAAGCTCCATTTCTGAGGAAACTAACCCAAGGCACTGCCTCTGGGGCTGTCGAAGGAGGTGATTTCTGCAGAAGAGAGTAATGGAGCTGGCTTTCTGCTTCTTGACCCCTTGCTAATCCCAACACTTTACTGTTTCTGTCGGGCCAGCTCTGTGGGCATTTGAGAAGACTCCGGGGACTACATCAGTTTGATAACCAGGCCTCAGGCCAAGAGGAAATTCAGCATACATCTGCCCACTGCCAGGCTCAACCCACACTACTGCAAGCCTTTGGAGGAGCAGGTGAGCTCATTAAATCCATCTGTGCTGCCTTCCAGCACAGCAGGTATTTTTAACTACATGGCAACTACTGTATCCCTGGGCACCTTGAGTGAGGGCCCGTGACTCACCTGCAAGATTGGCAAGATGTGCCAAAGGGCATCCTTGTTATATTTAGCTAGGACTGTTTTCAGAAGATTTAGGGTTGGGATAAAAAAAAAGTTTCTTGGTTCCAGCTTGTGCTGAGCAACGCACTGAGCCTGAAGCCCAGGGCTGGAGTGGCCTGGCTGAGGCTATTCCTGTTCTCCACTGGCTCCACCGAGGACACCAGGGCAAGTGAAAGGGGGAGGCTGAGTAGCTCAGCAGTACTTCCTAAGGGGTCATGGAGAGTCCCCAAAGGGCAGAGAATGCCCCCAGCATGATCACTGGATGTTGGGGGCTCTAGGAGCACAGACGAGCCTGGTGACCATCATTCAGGTTCTAGTTTTTACTTTTACCAACGTTTCCTTGAGCCAGTTACTCTCCCTGTTTCCACCTGTTTTTCCTTTTCTGTAAAATAAAAATAATACCCAGCTCACAAGGTCTCTGGGGAGTGCCATGTAAGGAATGTGTGAAAAGGCTTTGTAAACTGTGAAGTGCTTGTCAGGCAGCCATTATTAGGGGGAGACTAAAAGAGAGTCCTCAGAGTCTCCAGTATTTGCCCTCCCACCTAGGTGGGGCTGGATGACCTAAGCCAGGCAGACACCTGCGGTGCCCTGGGAGAGGAACCACCTCATAGGAAGCAGCTTTTCATTCATGACTTCAGTCACCATATCACTTTGTTCTCACAACTTTTCTGTGGAAAGGTTTTTCTTTAGGGGTGTTTAATTGAGGCCGCCTGTTTTTGTGTGGGCAGCTACATATCCAGACACGACGGGTTAAAGGTGGCCTATGTTTTGATCAGAAAAAAGATGAATTCTGGGCCTGCTCTGCTGTCAAATATCCTCCTCTGTGACCACTAAGGACTCACAGATACACTGTGTTCCAGCAAAGCCCAGATGCCAGTCGGTGTCTGCAGTGCAGGAGGCTGGCTGGGGAGCTGCAGTTTGGTTCACACTGCTCTTCCCAAAGACAGCTATTTAAGGAGAAATTTTTGCCTCTCTGCATATAGTCAGTAAAAGGAAATGTATTTGCATTTCTCGTAAGTCCTGTGAACCAGGAAGATAGGCTCAAGCAATTTTTTCTTTTGGTGAGTTCCCAAAGAAAAGACCTTGTTTTCATTAGCAAGCAAATGTTCAGCCTCTTCTGGGTGTCCAGCCTTATGCTTGGATGTAAGCAGTGTTTAAATAGATGGCAGCACCCTGGTTCTTGATTTACAAACCACTAGAGGAATCAGTACTGGATTTGGAGCTAAAAGACCCTGGCCAAGTTACTCAACCTGTCTGGGACTTGCTTTCCTCATCTTTAAAATGGGAACTGAAAAGATTGTTATGAGGATGAAATACGCTAAGGGGCACTAAGTTAACATAGAGTTTTAAAGCACTCACTTTGATAACTGACAAACTGGACTACATGTTTCTTTATATCTAGGGCCCCAAGATGGCATATGGGATGGGGCTGGTGTTCAGGAAAGTTTGTTTCATGAGTAAATGAATGAATAAATAAATGAATAAAATATAGACAACGAAACCGAGATTCAGATTGGAGAGGTGACTGTCCAAGATTGTTCAGTACTTGTTAAAAAGAGAGGACTCAAACCACATCTTTTAACTTCTATTCATTTTAGAGAATTTTACCAAGATCTTTATTGTCACAAGATTAAGATTAAGCATTACTACTAAAGAATAAACTACAAGCATCCACAAAGCAGGGTATCTTATCTTCTTCGGTACTGTGTGCTAGTTTATTCAATAAATATTGAGAGGCATACTAGTTACTATGGGAGTTGTGACTACTTAAAAGGAGGAAGCATTCTTCCTTTGCAAATTGGTTTGTGGTAGCAAATGATTACCCCCCTCCCAAAAAGCATAAAAGATAGAATTCTAGTAACAGAGTGAGGAATGAATGAAACCAAAAACCTAGAATGCAGTGAGCTGCTTTTGAGAAATAAAACACAAATCTTAATTTCTTGGCAGCCAAAGAAAAGAAGGAAACAGATTACATTAGTGCCCACTTGACTAATATAAGGAGGGACTGCAGGATATCAGTAGGCAAATTCTCTTATCCCTGAGAGGAATCTGTACTGTGTGCTGGTTTATTTGGAGAAGAATTTGTCCAAAAGTATCTGTATAAGGACATTGAATAACTGGGTAGACAGTGTCTTCTACGATAGTGCCAAGACGTTTCTTCCGTGATCCTTTAGCATTTCAATTCTCAAGAAAAGCCAAAGGGGCTTTGGGTTCAAGTTGAAGGCCAAGACATGGTCCCCTCCTCAGCTCCTTTACCTCAACGTTTTTTTTCTTTACTTTATTTATTTATTTATTTATTGAGATAGATTCTCGCTCTGTCACCCAGGCTGGAGTGCAGTGGTGCGCTCTCAGCTCACTGCAACCTCCACCCCCAGGGTTCTAGCAATTCTCCTGCCTCAGCCTCCTGAGTAGCTAGGATTACAGACACCCGCCACCACGCCTGGCTAATTTTTTTGTATTTGTAGTAGAGATGGGGTTTTGCCATATTGGCCAGGCTGGTCTCAAACTCTTGACCTCAGGAGATCCACCTGCCTCGGCCTCACAAAGTGTTGGGATTACGGGTGTGAGCCACCGCGCCAGGCTCCCTCAACATTTCATGGAAAAGTCAGAAGACATGTGTGTGCCTGTGGAATTGTTGGTTTGTGTTTAAGGAATAAAACTATAAAGGTGCTGGAAAACAAGAATGGTAGCCTGTATCGGGCAGAATGTTCCAGAGAATTCTGGAAGATAGAACACACATGAGTTGCAGTTGAGTTGGCAAAGTGAAATAGGCCTGCAGAAGCTTTCTCCCTCAACTCCTATGGAAATGTCAAAAATAGTAAAAAAAATAATAATAATAAATGAGAAAAATATACCAGTAAGAGTCAGACAAGAGCATAATCTAGTGGCATAAGAACTTAAGTGATGACAGAGGAAAAAATAACTCAGAAGATGATGGAGTGCAGTGTACATACCTCCTACATGTGGCTCTGGTGAGTCAGCAGAATCATGACAATTCTACTCATAGCCCACCCCACCTTTCTGGAGAGAAGCGACATTTTCTTTTCCTCTTTCTATTTGGGGTGGGGAGTGGGAGAGAGAGTAAGAGTGGTGGCAGCAGCCACTGAGAAGATAAGGTAAAACTGGGGAGATAATTTCGCAGGTCAAAAGCAAGGGCTTCAGGACTCCACAGTGAATTAGAAGAGTAATCATCCCTGCTCCAGGCTCTCAGGTTACAGAGAAGTAGATAGAACAAAAAGTACTTGTAGGGAAATTGCTCATGGAATATAGACTGCGGTTATAGCTGTCCACATTCAACATGACCAAGTTAACAGGAACAGCATGGTAACAATGAAAACACTTTACAATAAACAAAAGGAAAGACAAGAACAAAACATGCAAAGGATAGTTGAAGATCATATTCTAAAAGAAAACACAACTCAAAAAACAGAAAAGATTCCTCATGAGTGCTATTTCTAACGAGACCATGAATTTAATAAGAGAAGAACTGAGGCTGGGTGCAGTGGTTCACGCCTATAATCCCAGCACTTTGGGAGGCCGAGGCGGGCGGATCATGAGGTCAGGAGTTCGAGACCAGCCTGACCAGCATGGTGAAACCCCATCTCTACTAAAAATACAAAAATTACATGAGCATGGTGGCATGCACCTGTAATCCCAGCTACTTAGCAGGCTGAGGCAGGAGAATCGCTTGAACCGGGAAGGCAAATGTTACAGTGAGCCAGGATTGCACCACTGCACTCCAGCCTGGGTGACAGAGTGAGACTCCGTCTCAAAAATGAATAAATAAATAAAAATTGCCTAATGATTTTTTTTAAAAAAAGAAGAACTGAAAGGTGACTTGATAAGTTGATAGACTGAAATTCAAATAGATCTTTCAGAACTAAGAAAACAAATTGAGGACCAAAACAATACCATTAAGGAATTAATAAAAATATTACAAACAGTAAGAAACAGGAAATAGAAGGCTCAAAATCAAATTGCCATCATAAAGGAAAAACTTGTAACAATCATGGTATGCAAAAAATAAATACAAAGATATTAATGCAATTAGAGAGAAGATAATAAATATGTACAAAGATAAGCCAGTGCAAAGAAAATTGGAATGCCCGTAGAAGTCAACAATTTGAACATCCTAAAATCTTCCTTCTACATGAAAAATATTCTAATGTGCTAAACACACAGGTGCATATCCAGTTGGCTCTCCGTATTCCTGGGTTCCACATCCTTGGATTCAACCAACGGCAGAGTGAAAATATTTGGGAAAAAATACCCCAATACAACAAGAATAATACAAATTCAAGAAGACAATACAGTGTAACAACTATTTATATAGCATTCACATTGTATTAGGTATTATAAATAATCTAGAGATGACTTAAAGTATATGAGACTCCTCTATAAAGTAGGTATATATTTTTAAAAGTATATGGGAGGATGTGTGTAGGTTATATGCAAATACTACCCCATTTTATAGAAGGGACTTGAGCATCCTCGGATTTTGGTATCTGCGATGAGTCCTGGTCAATCCCCCATGGATACCAAGGAACAACTGTGTGCATTGGTTATACACATACCTATATGCATGTGTATATGTACATATATAACCAATCCCCTGAGGATATGGAGGAGATATATGGATAGATAGATATAGATATAGGTATAGGTATATGCAAAATCTTCATAGCAATGAAATGGTCTGCAACAAAGCAAAGTAAGAGAATCACCTGTGATTCAGAAAAGCAGGAGGAACCTGAGCCTTTGAAGGTAAACAAAGACCAAGCCAAAAAGCACTTCACAGCTTGAGATCATCTTTAGGGAAAAGTAGCCTAGGATTTTTTTCATAGGGAAGCAGATAGTAAGGGGAAGAGGTAGGAATGAACAGTAAACCAAGCCTTAGACCTGAGCAGTAATAGATCCAGAGCCACAAAATTTTGCACAAATCCAAGCCTCGGAGGGGGTTACACTTTCAGGAAAGGGTGAAGTTAAGGGTATCCTACCTAGCAGAGGCTGACTTCAAGAAACAGTGACTCAGAATCAGTTCTGGCAGAGGAGGAAAAATGAAAACTTCTCCTGAGATTTGAAGGCAAGTGGCCAACCCTCCTCTAGGTGTGATGTCTGAATGTACACTGAAATATACCAAAATATCCCAAGATAAGAATTTAGAAGAACCTAGGTCCACAGTGCCCAAAGCTCCTGACGGAGGCAATCATGTACGCACAACACAGCCCTCATAAAATTCCTACTGGAAAAGTCCCATCATAAATGAGCTCATAATGTAAAATCAGAAAAGGCCCAAGTAAGCAAGCCATCATGAGTAAGAGTCAAAAGAAAAAAAATTAGAATTATTAAATATAAACTATGATTTTAATACGATTAAGTAAATAACAGAGATAATTTGAAAGTAAGTAAGAAGCAGGAGCTTATAAAAATAAGCAGACATATTAAAAAGAACCAAACAAAGCTTCTGGAAATAAAGAATGTAATAGAAATTAAAATATCTGTAGAAGAGTTGAAAAGCAAAATAGACACAACTGCAGAGAGAACCTGTAATTTCAAACGTAGATCCAAAGAAAATACACAGAATGCAGCTCAGAGACAAAAAGATATGGAAAAGTCTGGTTAAGAAAATTAAATGATGGAGTGAAAAGGTCCAATATAGATCTAATCAGGGCTCCAAAAATAGATAATAGAGAGTGCGATAAGAGGTAATTTTCAAAGATATAAGAGCTGAGGGTTTTGCAGAATTGAGTAAAGACATAAATCCCCATATTTAGAAAGTTTTTGAAACTCCCAGACAGGATAAGTCATAAGGTGGACATACTCAGACACATCGTAGTGAAACTACAGAATGTCAAAGACAAAGGGATGATCTTAAAAGAAACCTGAAGAAAAAAAAGACAGATTACTCACAAAGGAGCCAAGATAGATCAAATTTGACTTCTCAACATCAAACATAGAAGCCAGAAGAGAGTGGAATAATGTCTTCAAAGTGGTGATAGAAATAATTGTCAACTAGATTTATAAGCCTAGCAAAACCATGTTTCTAGAATGAGTAAAATAGAGACATCTTCAGTAACGTAAACAGTAAGAGAGTTTGCCACTGACAAATCCTCACTAAAGAAACATCTAAGTGATGTACTCCAGGAAGAAGTAAAATATCCTAGAATGAAAATCTAGGATCCAAGAAGAATAAGCTGACAGGTGAAAGTGATTTTTCCCACTCCACCAGACCCTCCCTGAATCATTACTTCCTTCCTTCTGCTTTGGAGCAGATTGCCCTTCACTTCCTTGCCCACCTGGAAAATACCTACTCTTCTCCTAGGAATCACTTTTTCTGTGAATCCCTCTCTGGATCCTCACCTAGAACTGATGCCTCTTCCCCTTGAACCTCCACTGAACTTTTGGGATTTTTTGTTTGTTTGTTTTTTGAAACAGGGCCCCACTCTGTCGCCCAGGCTGGAGTGCAATGGCGCGACCTCGGCTCACTGCAGCCTCCACCTCCTGGGCTCAGGTGACCCTCCCACCTCAGCCTCCCGAGTAGCTGGGACTATGGGCACACACCACCATGCCCGATTATAATTTTTGTATTTTTTGTGGAGACAGGGTTTTGCTGTGTTGCCCAAGCTGAGTCTTGAACTCCTGAGTTTGAGCAGTCTGCCCACCTCACCCTCCCAATCCACTGAACTTTCTATGAAGTTTTAGAATACTTTCCTTCACTTATTTATCTATCTTTTTCCCTTCCTACACTGTGATCTTCTTGAGGGAAAACTTTAAGATGAATCTCTATATCCTCGGCTTAGATTATCACTATTAACAATGACTATTTCTTGGTAACGGGAATTTTACATCAACAAGCTCATTATTCTCTAGAGAAAGAAAAAAATCAAATAGGATTCTAAGGCTGATGAAGGATGGAAAAAAAAAACAAAACAGATGACTGCAGCGGGGAACCAAAAGAGGAGTGGAAAATTGGGAACTCTTAGACGTGGTGATACCCGGGGAATGAAACTGGGCACAGGAGAGGAGTGGTGGCAGATGAGTTTTCATTTTAGGCCTTTCTAGTGGTTCAACTTTGTCTCGATCAAGTGTATATGTTTCTTTAATAACCACAACAATAAAAATTTAGCAAATTGTGTAAAACCAATTTAGAGGACATCCTCATGAAGCGGGACCTGTTAAGTAAATTGTAATTTACCCACGCTGTGTATACTGTGCAGCATTGAGAAAGGGAAGGTAGCCTGTACAGAAATGGAAAGAGATCCATGATGTTATGTAAGTGAAGACATTTTAAAAACTAAGTTGATGACCAGTATGGATGTTATGATGCCAATTGTGGTTTTTTAAATCTCTATGAATATGTATATCATCCGACTCAGATCATTTTTTCTTACAAGTGGCAGAGACTCAGCTTTTAAACAAGAAAAGGACATGAATTGGTTCCTACAATTATAAAGTCTGGGGGAAGATCTGGAGCTTTAACTGTAACTCGATCTAGGGGCTCAAAGAGCTCTAGGCTCAGGAAGACAGCACGTTGCCTCCAGAGTACCCCAACAGTTCTGGGATGGAGAGGGTGGCCCAGCTTGCATATGGGCTGGGGGAGGGGGATGCTCTTGGGACCAGGCCTGGGCCATATCCCAACCCTTGTCCCAGGAGGTGGGGTCGGTCTCCCTCAGTTGAGTCTCACAGACTAAGCAAAAATGTGAGCTGGATGGGTGGTGGTCCCCAAAGAAATTGGGTTATTGTTTCCAGGGGAAGGTAGAATCGATTTTGGATGGATTAACTCAACTGATGTCTACCATATACACATACGTCACTTTATCTTATATGACTGGGAAAAGCTCTGGAAGGAGACACTTAAGCTTGGATTAGTGGAGAGGAGCAAGTCCCCTTTTTGAGAGGCTTACACAAACCCAGGGAATTACACATTACTGTACCCCTGAC
The DNA here is from genome assembly GCF_000001405.40 of Homo sapiens. Taxonomy (NCBI): domain Eukaryota; kingdom Metazoa; phylum Chordata; class Mammalia; order Primates; family Hominidae; genus Homo; species Homo sapiens. Next base: position 45,265,217 of record NC_000003.12, on the reverse strand, counting down.
ACTGTTCCTTTCCAGGGTCAGTTGTCACAAAACTATCTTGTTCAAAAATTTGGGGCTGTAAGTGGCAAAAACCCACTCAGATGGGCTTAGGCAGAAGGTAGGGGAAAGTTGCTAAAAGAATCCAAGGGTCCCACAAAATGCTCAGACTGTAGAAGAGAATCAGACACCATTCTCCCCAGCTGCTGGCGGGAAAGACAGAGGCCGTGAATGACTGCCACTCTTTCCTCTTTTAATTTTTTTAAGTTGACTTTATTGAGGTATAATTTACATACAATCAAATGCACTTTTTCTTTCCTTTTTTTTTTTTTTTTGAGATGGAGTGTTGCTGTGTCACCCAGGCTGGAGTGCAATGGCATGATCTCGGCTCACTGCAATCTCCACCTCCAGGGTTCAAGCAATTCTCCTGCCTCAGCCTCTTGAGTAGCTGGGATTACAGGCATGTGCCACCACGCCTGGCTAATTTTTGTATTTTTAGTAGAGACAGGATTTCACCATTCTGGTCAGGCTGGTCTCGAACTCCTGACCTCAAGCAATCCACCTGCCTCGGCCTCCCAAAGTGCTGGGATTACAGGTGTGAGCTACTGTGCCCGGCCCAAATGCACATATTTTAAGTGTATAGAAGGGTGAGTTTTGACAAATGCTTACACCCATGTAATCACTACACCCCCTCAGAGTTCCCTCAGGCCCCTTGCTGTCCAACTCCCCTCACACCCTGCCCCAGGAAGCCATTGTTCTGATTTCTACCACCTTAGATTTGTTTTGTCTTTTCTAGATCGTTGTAAAAATGAAACCATACAGCATGTCCTCTTTTGCGTCTCTCAGATGCTCTTTTTGGATATCACAGGGTCCCTGGGCTCTGCATCTCTCTGCAGGTCTTTGCTGTTCTCTCTTTGCTCACTTCCTATCTGTATATGCCCATGCATGGGGCCAAAGGGGGACACCCCTAAATCCCTTTGTCCTTGTCATGTGACCAAGAGTGACCTACCTCATTTCTCAATGACAATCTAAATTTCTGAAAGGTAAGATTTAAGGGTCCAGCTCAGGCCATGTCAGGCTGTGTGCCCACCAGCTCTGGCCAGAGGAGCAGGGTCAGAGCAGACACAGGAGACCACAGGGCCCATCCTGTCGGTGCAGAGGTGGCTTCAGGTCTTGGAGAATGAGGAACGGTGAGCAGATACCCCTGAAAGAGTCCACCACACTGAAAATTGCTTCACTGTAAGTGTCTGGTGGACAGATGTCCTCTACTGCTAACTAGAAAGGTGGTTTAGAAGCTATAATCAGAAACCATGTTGATGGAAAAGTTGAGGCTTTGCTGAAAATAAAAAGCCTGATGTGTCTTCTTGGGCAGCTCCAGGGCCCTTTCATTTGGGCAGGAGAACAAGAAAACCACTAGTTACTAGTAAGTACTTGGCATAGGCTGACTCATTACTCCTCATGTGAGTTATATGAAGTGGGCACTAGTACCCCATTTCATATATGGTAAAAGAGGGGCTCAGAGCAAGCCACTTCGCTATTCACAGTGCTGTCTTTTCCAGGGAGCAGGCCACAGGAGTGCCCATGAGCAATCCTCAGACTGTCCTTAAAAAAAAAAAGGGAAAAGAAAAAAAGCAGGCCTGAATCAGCTTCAATAATTAAATGATACTTGTTAGCATCACAGAGTTCTGCCCCTAAGACAGGGCAGAGGGGCCCCTGGAAGATGCTGAGAGTAGGACATTCCCATCACCCACCTCGACCGTGGAAGCCTCTGATTGTTGGGTTGACCTTGAGCCATGCAGTGGCCCACCAGAATCACTGGAGTGAATGAGCCACTTCTAGAATGTATTTCAACGGCAAACTAGCTGACCTCTGGAATACAGTCCTTTCAAACCCTCCAGATGCTGCGGAGGGCCTGCTGGAGGCGGCCAGGTAGGGTCTGGCCTCACTGGCGTGGATGCTCTGGCTGGCAGCAATAGGCCAGCACAGCAGCCTTTCACCTGAGGCCCCCTCTGGGGCTCCCTCCTGCCCTACCCTTGTATGTTAAGCTGTGCCTAGGACAACTTAGTAGAAGGGAATACACAAAACAGTTTAGTGGTAGTACTAAGGGAATGGGATTTTGAGTTACTTAAAAACTTTTCTGTGATAGGATTATTATTTTTATAGCTAATTTGAATTTCCCCAGCCCTTACTAAACTAGAGAAACAGGTTGAGGGTCAAACTAGAAGTAATAAGTTGCACTGGTTTGGACGCCTAACAGATCGATGGATTTATAAGTGGTTGCTTAGACAGCTATATTGTAATGTATTTGAAGCCCCATTGAAGCTCAGAGGCACAGAACACTGAAATCAATTAATAATTTCTGCCAGGGCAGTAACAGTATATGAATTTTGTATTTGTCATTCCAGACTTAGAGACTCCAGTTTGCCTGGCCTATTATTATTATTATTATTTTTTTTTTTTTTTTCAGACAAAGTCTCACTCTGTCGCCCAGGCTGGAGTGCAGTGGCGCGATCTCGCCTCACTGCAAGCTCCGCCTCCCAGGTTCATGCCATTCTCCTGCCTCAGCCTCCCGAGTAGCTGGGACTACAGGCACCTGCCACCATGTCTGGCTAATTTTTTGTATTTTCAGTAGAGACAGGGTTTCACTGTATTATCCAGGATGGTCTCGATCTCCTAACCTAGTGCCACCTCAGCCTCCCAATATGCCGATTATTTTTTAAAATTGAGGTATAATTAGCACACAGCAAAGTGCAATGATAGGCATTCAGCTTGATGGATTTTGACAAACGTCTACACCCCTGGAACTACCACCTGAAACAAGATAAAGAACATTTTCACCAGCCGGAAAAGTTCCCTTATATCCCTCTTAGTTAGTGGGCCCCAGCCACATTCTGATTCCTATCACCCTAAGTTTTGACTGTTCTTGGATTGCGTAGAAATGAATATGGACTCTTGTATCTGGCTTCTTTCATTCAGTATGATGCCTGTGAGATTCATTCATCTGATTGCTTATATTGTTAGTTCTGTCTTGTAAGTTGCTGAATGCATTTCACTCTATGGAAAATGTATTTATCCTTTCTCCTGTTGATAGACATTTGGGTTGTTTTCAGTTTGGGGCTATTATGAATAAAGTTGCCTTTGAACACTGAGATACACATCATTTTGTGGGCATGTGTTTTCATTTCTCTTGAGTGAACATCTAAGAATGAAATTACGGGATTGTAAGGCAGACATATATATGTTTAGTTTTGTAAGAAACCTTCAGGAAATAGTTTCCCAAAGTGAATTTACTGGTTTGCATTTCCACCAGCAGTTGCCCCACATGTTCACCATGTGGGTGTCACTGCAATTGCAGCCATACTGGTGGCATGAATGGTATTTCACGACAGCTTTAATTTTCATTTCCCTGGTGACTAAAAACGTTGAGGCCTGTTTCATATGTTTAGTGGCTACTTGTATAGCTTCTTTTGTTAAGTGTTCCTATGTGTTATTGATTATTAAGATAGTTTTATCCTTAAAAGGAAGTGTATGGGAAGCTCCTCCGTGGAGTGGGATCTGGCTTCCATATCAAGTTTATTTCATTGTCGTTTTGTTGCTGCTGAACTCAGACTCCCATGTCTGACTGCCTGGATCTCTCGCCTCTGGTAACTGGGTGCCTTCACTTCCTGTGCCTCTGGCCCTGTGAGCTCCCTGCTGCTGGAGCTCTCCCTCACTTTGCCTTGAGAGGCCACTGTCTTGAATTTTGCTTCCATCCTGCCACAAGCTCCTGATGGCCCTGCCCTTCAGAGCTGCTGTGCCTGCCACTTGGTGACCACCTCACAGTCCCAGCTCTGGCTTGTCCAGCCCTGCCTCACCTCCTGGCTCCCCTGCCAGAGCCAGGCTTTAGGAAGTGGCCACTCTGGGAAGTCTGTGGGTTCAAAGGCATTGATTCGGCCCCCTTTAATAGCAGCTGCTAAAGTAACATGGTGATCAGTAGTCTGGTTGTTGGGCTTGGGCTTTTTCCCTAAGTACGTAGCTGGTACTTTTTCCCTAATGAAAAATAAAAATATAAACTATTTGTCACGATTTTCAGCAGAGGAAGAAAAATGTCTGCAACCTGAGCAGATAAAAGTGCCATCTTCTCTTCTCACAAAGCCTATCGTTGCCAAGTTCACCGCCTCTTTCCCCAGCACTCTCCCCATGCATTATTTCTTAATTAAGATCACTATTTTAGTTGTGGAGGATCCGTAATGATGGGAATAGAGCTTGCATCTCTGGTTTGTCTCACTGAGATGCGTTAATGGCACATTCTCCTGCTATGTGCTTCACAGGGAAATGAATAAAATCAATTAATAACCAGGGCTTTTCCTGCCATGCATCCAGCAGCCTGGCATGTCCAGGCTGGAAAGACAGTGGACACAACTATCAGAGTACCAAGGACCAAAGCCATGAGGGGTGGGGGCGGGGGACAGTGCCGTAAATTTGCTTGGCGACCTGTTTCCAGGATGCACAAAGGTGTTGGATGGTGGTGTGACCTGGGCTTAGGTTCAGCTGTGTCATAAACTGACCATGATCAGGCCAACTCTTACTCTCCTCCACCCTGTTTTCACCTCTGTAAAATGGGGATAATGATGCTTGCCTTGTCCATTCATGCATTCAACAAATAAACATATTGAGCCCTGTGCCAGGTGGGGATAGCACTCAAACAGCACAGACACCATCTCTGGTTTCGTGGAGTGGGCACTCTGGGTGGGGAGTCAGACATTAGAATCAGGAAGATAGTACCACGTGAGGAGTGTTACGATGGGGAATATGAGGAGCTATGGGAGCCTAGAGGAAGGGCACTGTGTCAGTCCATTGTGCGTCACTGTAAGGGAATACCTGAGGCTGGGTAGTTTATAAAGAAAAGAGGCTTCATTGGCTCATGTTTCTGCAGGCTGTACAGGAAGCATGGCACTGGCATCTACTCGGCTTCTGATGAGGCCTCAGGGAGCTTCTGCTCATGGCAGAAGGTGAAGCGGGAGCAGCACATCATCACATGGTAAGAGAGGGAGCAAGACAGAGTGGGAGGTGCCAGGATCCTTTTTCAACAACCAGATCTCATACGAACTTATTGCTGTGGGAAGGGCACCGAGCCATTTGTGAGGGATCCATCCTCCGACTCAAACACCTGGATGGCCTTTTGGTGCTGCCAGGCCCTACCTCCAACACTGGGGATTGCATTTCAACAGGAGATTTGGAAGGGACAAATATCAGACCATATCAGGCACAAAGCCAGGCATGGAGGGCCGGGGAGGACTTCCAGGGAAGGTGGCATCTGAGAATTAGTTAGGCAAAGAGATGTGAGAAGAGCATTCTGGACTGGAGAAAGCATGCATGGAGGGAGGGCTTCAGTAAGAGAAAATGCAGAGTGTGTTAGGGAAAAGCTAAAGGACTTACAGAAGACTGGGTGTGGGAGACATAGTGGGTAGAGAGAAAGGAGGACTGGAGAAAGCTAAGCAGACACCAGGTTTGGGGGCTGTTCTGAATACCTGGGGAGATAATGCATGTGAGAAATCCTTATAAACCGTGGAATGCTGTGCAAACATAAGGAGTTATGACAGCCAGCCTCCCAGAAGGGGCTCCAGGGGGCCTTACCACCTCCCAGTATTCAACCTTATGTAGTCCCCTTCAATTCTGAACCAGGGTTAGTCCCATGGAATTGCTAGAATTTGCGGTGGGAGCAGAAGAGTATGATTTTTGAGGCTAGGTCATAGAACCTACCTTGGTCTCACAGACCCCTCACTCTGGGGAAAGCTGAACTCCATGTGATGGGGTCACCCAAGCAATCCTGCAGAGAGGCATATGTGAAAAGGAACTGAGACTCCCACCAATACCCAGTACCAGTTGGCTCCTATGATCACAGCCTTCAGATGTCCTCAGCCCCAGCTGACTGCTTGACTGCAACCTCATGAGAGACATTGAGCCATAACCATCTGACCAAGCTGTTCTCCCAATTCCTGATTCACAAAAGCCATTAGAGATTGTCTTGGGGGAAAGGTACTTACCCCCAGAGCTGTGTGCTGTGACAGGCCAGGCCACCCAGACATTCAACTTGCTTATCCTTGACTCAAAAGCAAGAAGAGACTGACTAGTTTCTCAGACCCACATTGAAATTCCTCACTGAGAGAAAAGATGAATTCTGCAGCTCCTGGTGCAATCAACTGTGACTGTTGGAGATGTACCTCACTCCCAACACAAACATGGCTGCCACCCCTGTGGACATGAAGAGAAGGGAGTTCTCAGAAAAGCAGAGTTCCTAGGCTGTGCTAATAGCCCTGAAGGGTCTATTACAGAAGCCAAGAACATGGAAAAACTTGGAACTTCTCTCCAATTTTCCAGAGCCATGGAGCAACACATAAAAACCTCCTCTCTTATTTAAAGCTCCTCTGACTTACAGTTAAGAAGACAATTTGCCCAGAACATTCTAGCTGTTAAGACAGGATGTCTCACTCATTTTTGCTTTTTGACTCCTAATTTAATGTCCCCAGTGAGCTAGCTCTGGAATGAAAAACTTCCGCAATCCTGTTTTTAGGGCTTTCTGGGTTCCTGAGGATGTTTTAACATTAATAACATCAGCTTGTAGAAATGAACTTTGGTTCTAAGTCTAATAGGGCTGCCCCTCACTGAGTGCAGCAACCAAGGTCACCGCTGGAGGAGAACCCAATCCCCACAGCCCTTCTTGCTCAAGATTCCTGATGCAACGCATCCCCTGCTTCTGCAGAGTTTCTTACACTTCCTCTCTGAAAAACTGCCCACCCCTTCCCTCCTTTTCATTATCATCCCAAAGCATTTACCAAGTGCCTGCTGTGTGTATACTCTGGGTAAGAGAAAAAAAAAAAAAACACCTCACATTCTGCTTGCAGGAACTAAAAGGAAAAAACAAAACAAAACAAAACTCAGAGTTCTAAGGTCAATAACAAAAAGAGCCATGGACAGTGTACAGAAGTAGAAGAGATAGGGCACCAAAAGGCCGTGGAGTACCAAAGCTGGGATGGAAGCTTTCTAAGCCTTCTCATGATCTCAGAGGCAACATAGGATTCTATGTAAGTATCATCCCTAATAGCTGGTCCCTCATTCATACCCTCCCAAGGCACGTGTTAAGGCACATGGGTCCCTCCACTGCTGTGACAATTCATGGTCAATCTGCAGGGTATAAGGAGAACTTTGCCCCTCCAATCTAGCTCTGTCAGCACCTCACAAGGTGACTAGGGAGAGACAGTTGCTTCATTAGTATTTCCAAGAGCAGACATTGTAGGGCACAACCATGGAGGTATGCAGCAGACTATATTTTCCAAAAGTGGCTGCAGCAATATTTTCAGGACCATATGCTCTTCCAGAACCTTGCCACTCCCCCATCAAGTGTAGAGTCTCTTTCTTTCCTCTCACCTTAAACTTGGGATGGGCTTTCAGTTGGCCTTGATGAAGAGAAGGGGCTGAAAGTGACACTTTCTGACCGCTGAGGCTGGGTTAGAAAAGGCCTCCACCTGGCCTTCTCTCATGGGATGCTTGGCCCCAGCCAAGATATTATGAAGAAGCTCAGGCCATATGAGAGGCCATGTGTAGGTGTTCTGGCCAATAGCTCCAGCTAAGGTCTCAGCCAATAGCATTAACCACCACACTCATGAGTTAACAGGCTTTCAGATGTCAGCTTTCACGGTCAGGTCACTCCCAGCCTTTGAGTCTTCCAGCTGAGCCTCTAAGACAGTGTGGAGCTGAGGTTGCTTGTGCTCACTGTGTCCTGTTCAAATTCCCGACCTAATGAATCCATGAGCCTAATAAGGAATGATTGTTGTGTTCCATTATGTTTTGGGGTAATTTGTTACACAGCAATAGGAACAAGGTACATAAGTTATTTTATTGAAGTTCAGGTGGATTTAAATAGAGCAATGGAATGGCAATGTTTACAAAACTGTGCCATCCTTCCTCCCCTGTGTCCCTGGCATCTGGCATTCATAGTGGTATCCCAAAGGGATATCATTCTTTTTTTTTTTTTTTTTAATGGAGTCTCACTCTGTCACCCAGGCTGGAGTGCAGTAGCACAATCTTGGCTCATTGCAACCTCCGCCTCCCTGGTTCAAGCAATTCTCCTGCCTCAGCCTCCTGAGTAGCTAGGATTAGAGGCGCGCGTCACCATGCCCAGCTAATTTTTGTAATTTTAGTAGAGACGGGTTTCATCATGTTGGTCAGGCTTGTCTCGAACTCCTGACCCTGTGATCTGCCTGCCACGGCCTCCCAAAGTGCTGGGATTACAGGCGTGAGCCACCGGGCCCGGCCTCACCGAAGGGATATCATTCTTAAAGAAGCATAGTGCAGACAAGAATTTTAATCTTAATTCATGTTTCTTTCAAAAATTTAAGGGAGTCCAACTTAGGCCATAACAACTCATTAAAGTTTCTTGTTCTCTATTCTCAAGCACCCTAAAGCTCCTAAATCTGTTTCACCCTTCTGCTCCAACACCACTCTCTCATCCATGCTGTCTTTCCCCACCATCTTGGTTCCTTGAACTTTTTTCTGCTAATGCATTTCTACATAACACACTCCTTTGAAGGTGCACAGTCCTAGTATGCTCAGCAGCTTTGGGCACCCCTGTTATGCCATGATGGCCTTACAATAGATAATCCGCCCATATATATTTTTTCTTTTGGTCTTTAAAGCTAGAGAAGGAAAAAAAAGTGACCTAAGAAAAAAAACGAAATCTAAATAGCCTTGTATCTATAAAAGGATTGAATTTACGAATTTTTAAAAAGCTACCACAAAGAAAACTCCAGGCTCACTGGTGAATTCTACCAAAAATTTAAAGAGAGCCAGCGTGGTGATTCATGCCTGTAATCCCAGCACTTTGGAAGGCTGAGGCAGGAGGATCACTTGAGGCCAGGATTGTGAGACCAGCCTGGGCTAAACATAACAAGACCTTGTCTTTACAAAAAAGGTTTTTTTTGTTTTTTTTTTTTAATTAGCGGTGTGTAGTGGTATGTATCTGCAGTTCTAGATACTTGAAAGGTTGAGGCTAGAGGACTGCTTAAGCCCAGGAGGCTGAGGCTGCAGTGAGCCACGAACATGCCACTGCACTCCAATCTGGGTGACAGAGCAAGACCCTGTCTCAAGAAAAAAAAAAAAAAGTAGGGAAGCAATAATGTGAATCTTACATAAACTCTTTCAAAAAATAGAGGAGAAGGGATTTCATTGTATGAGGCTAGTATATCCCCAACATCAAAACCTGACAGAGACATTAAAAAAAATGCAGACTGATAGCCATCATGAACCTAGACAGAAAATCCTTTTTAAAAAATTGGTATATCAGCTGGGTGCAGTGGCTCACGCCTGTAATCCCAGCACTTCGGGAGGCCAAGGTGGGTGGATCACCTGAGGTCAGAAGTTCAAGACCAGCCTGGCCAACATGGTGAAACCCCCTCTCTACTAGAAATACAAAAAATTAGCCAGGTGTGGTGGCAGGTGCCTGTAATCCCAGCTACTCCAGAGGCTGAGGCAGGAGAATCACTTGAACCCAGGAGGTAGAGGTTGCAGTGAGCCAAGATAGCGCCACTTCTCTCCAGCCTGGGCAACAAGAACAAAACTCCGCCCCCCTGCCCACCACCACAAAATTGTATACTTTCAGGGATCATTCCATAGGTTGTTACTAGAGAAGTTTTTTTAGATGTGTAGAACACTGGAAACCACGAGGAGGAGGCGCAGCATTCTCTCTTGACCATGAAGCCGGCTCTTGGTGTTGTTTCATTGCAACTGTCATTTGCCATTGATGATCGTTCTCTTCCTCTGGGAGAGTAAGAGGGAGAGGACACAGTTTGAGTGGTTCCCATTTTATTTAAAAAAAAAAGAAAAGATTTTTTTAAAAAATTGGTAAATCAAATATAACAATGTGTAAAAGGATAACATATCATGGCCAAGTGCAAGATTTATTTCACGTGAAAAAGTTAACCAATGTACTTATTAGTTATCTATTGCCATATAAAGGAATCATCTTCAAAATTTGGCATCCTAAAGCAATAAACATTTATTGTCTCACTGTTTCTGTGGGCAAGAAATCCAAGTGATATTTAACTGGGTTATCCGGCACAGGGTCTGTCATGAGGCTGCCAAGTGTAAGCTGAGGTGGTGGTCTCGTCTGAAGACTACACTGTGGGAGGGTCGGCTTCCAAGATCACTGCATCTTGCTGTTGGCAAGATCCAGTTCCTTGTGGCTGTTGGACTGAAGCCCTCAGTTCTTTTCTGGTTTCTGGCCAAAGGCCTCCCTCAATTCCACGCCACGTGGACCTCTCCACAGTGCAGCTCACGACATGGTGGCTGACTCTTCTCAGAGCAAATGAGTAAAGGAAATCACACAAAATGGAAGCCACAGTCTTTTTATAACTTAAATCTCAAGAGTGACATGCCACCATCCCAGCCACATTGTATTTGTTATAAATGGGTCAGTAAATTCAGGTCATTCTCAAGGAGAGGGAATTACACAGAGGCATGAATACCAGGAGGAGGGGATTACAGGAGACCATCTTGGGGGTGGCCAGCTACGTAGTAATGCATCCCATTCACAGAGGAAAGGAGGAAACACGATCAGATCATGAATGAAGAAAAAGTATTTGACAAATTCAACACTCATTCATAGTAAAAACTTCTGGTAAATTATGACTAGAAGGCAACTTTCTTAACCTTATAAAGAGCACCTATGAAACACTTAAAGCTAACATTATATGTAATGATGAAAGAATGAATGCTTTCCCCTAAGAGCAGGAAAAAGGCAGGGATGTCTGCTCTTACCACTTTTATTCACCATTTCCCTAGAGGTCATAGCAAGTTCAACAAAGTAAGAAAAATAAATAAAACCTAAAAATATTGGACAGAAAGTAGTAAAACCATCTCTATTTGTAGACAATATAATTGTGTATACAGAAAATCTTGAGGATTTTTTAAAAATGACTAAAACTAGTAGCTGAATTTAGCAGTCACAGAATACAAAATCATATACAAAAATCACTTTTATTCAACTATACTGTTATAGACAATTAGAAAAATTTTTAAATATATACTGTTTATAAAAGCATCAAAAACATTAAATATTTAGGAATAAATTTAATGAAAGATATGCAAGGACTCCCACTGAAAAACTATAAAAAATGCAGAACAAGGCCAGGCACAGTGGCTCACGCCTGTAATTTCTACACTTTGGGAGGCCGAGGCAGGCAGATCACCTGAGGTCGGGAGTTTGAGACCAGCCTGACCAAAATGGAGAAACCACGTCTCTACTAAAAATACAAAATTAGCTGGGCGTTGTGGTGCATGCCTGTAATCCCAGCTACTTGGAGGCTGAGTCAGGAGAATCTCTTGAACCCGGTCGGTGGAGGTTGCAGTGAGCCGAGATCACGCCATTGCACTCCAGACCAGGCAACAAGAGTGAAACTCTGACTCAAAAAAAAAAAAAAATTTCTGAACAAATTAAAGATTAATGAACTAAAGAAGAAAAGTAATCACATGATCATTTCAATAAAGGCAAAAAGTCATTTAACCAATGTCAACAATTTTTTATGATTAAAAATCTAGTTTAGAAAACTGGAATAAAAAGGAATCCCTTTAAATATAGCTGCCAAAAACATACAGTAAATGTTCATTTGTTTATGTCTGGATGAGAAACCATCCCACAATGTAGTGGCTTAACACCACAACAATTTACATTCTTTATGATTCTGTGGGTCATGAATTTGGAGTGTTACAAGCTGGGCAGTTTTTGTGTTTCACATGGCGTTGGCTGGGGGTCACTCACTCACCCGCACTTAGACAGTGGCTGGCTGAGGGGGTGCTTCAGAGGCTTTGCTCCTAAGTCTGGCCCCTCGAGCTCCTGCACATGGCCTCTCCCTTCTCCACTGGCCTCTCAGCATCCAATAGTGTAGCTCAAGCTTGTTTACAGCATGGTGCAACCTCCCCAAGGCTGGGCCTGGAACCCGTGTAGCATCCCTTCCACCACATTCTAGGGGTCAAAGCAAGTCACCGGCCAGTGCAGAGTCAAGTAGAGGGGAAAATAAGCCCCAGCTCTTGATGAGAGGAATGGCAGGCATGTATGGGAGGGCGGGAATTGACGGCCATCTTTGAAAGCTCTCTACCACAATTAATGGGTGAAGAGATGAATGAGTAAATAAGTAATCACCTTCCTTCCAATTCCCATGCTGGCTGAAGAAATGAGGAAATGAAACCACACATTTCTGCTTCCTTTTAGCCTGTCTTTCCTTTAAGCAGAGCATAACTGGTAACAAACTTTTTGTGTATTTCCTGATCTTATAAGCTCCGGTATGGTATTAGCGTAATATAAAGTGGCTGACAATCTTTAGCATCTTCCTTTAGTGTGCTTTTGGGTCCTCCTGCCTCCTCCTAGCATCTTCTCCCATTCAATTTCTTATTATCCTCTTTTCTCAAATCAAGCTTAAGACTAGAACCTCTCATTTGTGGGTAAAAGAAGCTATTTCCACTCTGCCTGACTTATAGACCCCAAAGAAATGAACCTCTAATAATAAAAGGTCACAGGAGTGAGGGAATTGTTTTTGAGAACTGGGACCTTCCCACAGAGCCCTAAAGTTTAACCCCACTGACACCTCAAGTCCTCCGTTTGGCAGGCAAGCCGTGGCCAAACCCAATTATTATCTGGATTGCTGGTCCTTGGGCCTCCATGGGTATTTTGACTTTGACTTGACTACCCTGGTCATCCTTTCACAGCTCTGCAGCTAAAATAGAATAGAGATTTTATGCTATCCAATAAGCCAAAAGCCCCTTTCTGACTGTAAGTCACGATCACACAGTGTAAACAGTCTAAGAAGACGGGTGTCCAGGAGAGTAGAAAGGTCCTTTCTTTTATACTGAAAGAACACAGCCCACTCCAGGAAGCCAGGGGCACAAAACCATTGCAGAAACGTAATACGGGGGTTTCCATCTCTGTGTAGGCCTTTCCTTGTTTAAAATGCAGTGTATAAGAAGGAAAAACCTGAAATTCGGAGCTCGGACAATGCTTCCCTTTGTCTTTATTCTGGGGATTCTGGAGACAGAATTAGCTGGATCCTTAGTACTGCATAAAAGGAGAGAGCACCAAGCGCCTCCAGATTGCCACAGCACGTTGGCAGGTGCTAAAGAGTGGCAACATATTCCACTCTTTACAGATTTTATTGAAGAGAGCTTGTGTGTGTACCTTCAGGCCCAGGGCTTTACCAATGCCCTCATTCCTTCCTCTTTTAGAAGAGAGAAATAATACAGCATTTGAGAGCTGGAGGAGATGTTTGAGATAATAGTCCCTCTTTGACAAATGAATAAATAGAGGCCCAGAGAATTAGAGTGACTCCCTTGACTGGAAACAGGGAAACAACTATAAGGCAGGTCTCCAGTCTTGTAGCGGTAGATTTTGTGCGCCATCTAAAGAGAGGTGGTCGCTTGCTAACACAGTACTGTGTCCTTGGTTACGGGGAATTTGATTAAAAATGAGCTCAAACATCAAGGTTGTAGAAGTATGCTTTCCAACGCAGTAGTAGCCACTGGTCAAAATGTGGCTTCTGAGAACTCAAAATATGGCTAGTGTGACCGAGGAAATGACTATTTAATTTTAATCTTAATTAGCTTAAATGTAAATGTAAAAAACTACTACTTGGCCAGGCATGGTGGCTCATGCCTGTAATCCCAGCACTTTGGGAGGCTGAGGAGGGCGAATCACGAGGTCAAGAGATCGAGACCATCCTGGCCAACATGGTGAAACCCTGTCTGTACTAAAAAATACAAAAATTAGCTGGGTGTGGTGGTGCACACCTATAGTCCCAGCTACTCAGGAGGCTGAGGCAGGAGAATTGCTTGAACCCGGGAGGTGGATTTCAAAGATTTAGTATGAAAAAATGTAAAATATCTCATTAACAACTTGAATATTGATCACATGTGCAAAAATCTTATGGATATATTCAGTTAAATATATTAATTTCACCTGCTTCCTTTTGCTTTTTAAACGTGGCTGCCAAAAAATTAAAATTCCACATATGGCTTGCACTATATTTCTATGGGACAGTCTAGAGTCAGACTGTCCACACTTAAATCCTGGCTCCACTATTTTACCAGTTCTGTGACCTTAGGTACATTATTGGGTAGCTTTGAAGAGAGATTATGTTCTCTGAAAAATAAAAGAGAGAAAAGAGGATTTTTTCCTCCTTTCTTTTCTTGCCCTGGACCTCATGGTGTGATGACATGATGCTTGGGGCAATGGCAGCCTCCTTTAGGTGATGAGTAGAAATGTGGCCAATATACAAAGCATGGCAAGGAATACACAAGGAAGGAAAGGGCCAGGGTCCTTGATACAGGATGGGGCAGGTGAACTAGCCCTGGAAGTACTAACTTCTGGACTTCTCATTAAGAGAAGAGACAAATTCCCTAATTATTTAAACCACTGTTGTCTAGATGAAAGCGTCCTTATACGACAGCTGAGAAATATCACCATGAAATACTACATCCTAGGATGAGATAAATGCATGAAGACACTACAGTGATGTACAAAGCAAAGATGGGCCAATTCTGCATGGGTTAGAACAATTGAAAATTGGAATATATGATGCTTAGGCTGAAAAAAGGTATGAGACAGGCATTTCAGCAGACATGGCAGAGGCAGTGAGATCACAGAGATTTGAAATCTGGGAGACAGCCAGGACCTCAGCTTCTGTCCAAATGTGGGACTCGTGCTTGGTTTCAGTGGGGACGTGAAAGCTCTGTCTGTGCTATAGGCCAGGGATTATTATTGGCTTTGTTTTATTAACTGGCCAGAGCAAGAATGAGATGCAAACTTTCAGTTCAATGATGGTATATCCTATGATTAATTTCAGGAAAGTAAAACTGTCACTCTGGGACAGAGGAACGCAGAGAGCTGAACAAGGTGTGGAGAAGTAAAGGTTTCAGTCTATTCTCTACTGCTTACTGTCTGGGTGACGTAAGCAATTCACTTAACCCCTGAATCCCAGAATACTCTAAAGCATGTAGGATGCTTTGGGCCACAAGTAACAGAAAACTCCAAGCAATCCAGAAAATTATGCCTTCACATACCCGGAGGTCCAGAGGTTGGGTGGCATTCAGTATACTCCGTAGCTTAAATGGTCATCGAGGATCCAGGTTCTTTCCATTGCTCCACTCTGTTTTTCTCAACTGGTTTTATTACCAGGTTACTAGCAAAGTCATAGAAGTAGTTCCAGGAGTCACTTTCAGACACAGAAATTTCCAGGCCGACTCTTTCTTAGGCGCAAAGACAACTTTCTTGGAGACATCCAACAAACTTCCTCTCACTTCTCACTGGCCTAATTTGAGTCACAAATCCATGTCTAAATGTCCATGTCTAATCATTGGGAAGGGTTGGAGTTATCAAATCAGGATCTACCCTTCGAGCTGGAGATAAGGTTACCTTCTGAGTCACATGAGGCAGAAATAGATATGGAAGCAAAACTGAGGTTTTGTTCAAAAGGAAAAAAGAAAAAACATGAATGTGTGTTCTACAATATGGCTATTAAATAGGAACAGTACTACTCTGGACGCCACATACAGGGCACCTCTGACTATCAAATGAAAGGATTGGTTATTCTTTTAAAATCCTGCAAAATGTAAACACTATGAGATGAACAAACACAGTCTCAAAGGAAATGGTTTTGGGACATCATCCAGCTAATATTGGACATCAGCCTATTGGTCATGTCATCAGCTGATGCCTGCCATTTGGTTGGGTTTAAATTTTCCTTCCACATTACAGCCTGGAGTGTCACTGGGTAACCTTGACTTCCCTATTAAACTATCTTTATCCTTGATCTACCTTACCTGGAGTTCATCAAAATTCAAGAAAATGGAGTGCTTGGAGCCGTGGTTATTTAAATTTTCAGCTGTTGGGAAATTTTTCTTCTTCTTTTCTCAGTTTTACAAAATCCCGAGTTCTGGCTCAAATCTATTACATTTCATGATATTGACAAAAGAGAACTATAATTTTTCTTGGGAACAATTCCTCTGCCTCTGATTTTCAAGCCTTGAGCAGGCCAGCATGGAGTCATCCAACATTTCCTCTTCCCTTACCCTGTGTTTTCAAGCAGACCTAGACCTAGTTTGCAAGATGCTCTCACCATTACAACCTGTTAGTCTTAGGAACTTGTTTTTATAATCATGGCCCCTGGAATCGTTTTCAGAAAAGAGAGGCCCTTCTGGCTCAAAACATATTGGGTGATGTCACTTGCTACTTCTCTGGCCAAGCTCAAATGGGCACATTTTAATTGAGGATTATAAAAGTCACAAATACTTCTTCTGTGACAACCTCTAACGATGGTGATAATGATGATGATCATGAGATTTTGTCGAGCACTTACAATGTGCCCACTGCTGTGCTAAATGGCTTACATTCTTCTTCTCATTTATACTCCTGGAAAACCTATGGATTTGGTATTATTATTGTCCCCAGTTTTATAGATTAAAAAATTGAGGCCTTAATTGTTTGGGGAATATTAAACAACTTTCCCAAGGCCACACACTTTCCTTCCATTTGATCCTTCTTCTCTTCCTCATCCCCACCCCCATCATCACCCTAACAATTTCAGGTCCAGTGGGGCCTGGGCTGTCATCAGAGAGATTAGAGAAGTGATGTTTGCCCTGGATCTGGGCATGACTCAACATCTCGGTAGCAAGTGCATCATTTGGTTTCTCCTTCTTAACAGCACCAACGAGGCCTCTCTAATGCCAGAAACTTCTCTACCTGGTTACATAATCCTGCAGGTGAACTCTAAGGCCAGGAAGGCCAAAATGATTTAAGTCAAACCATCAGAACCTCGAAGGGTGGGAATCCCCCAGCCCCTCCAATCAGTATTCTTTAAGGCTCCCCAGGAGATGCCCATGTGCAGCCAAGGCTGTGAACCAGTGATCTAAAACAAAAGAATATGCAAGATGGTCCTGTTTAATGGAAACTCAGTGCTAGGGTTGGTGATTCCTCCCAGCTGCTCTGCCTTCAATGTGGGTAAATTTCCAGTAGCCCAAATGACTCCCTAGTCCCGAAAGATGTTTTAAGAGAACTTCATATGCACAAAGGCTGGGTCCAGGGACAGTTAATCCAATTACAAAAGACTTTACCAAAACATTCCGTTAAATAATGAGTATCCCAGACAGTAAACTTCTGATCTGCATTACAAGGGCTGTTTCCAATTACCCTTTCAAAATGTGTCTGTGTATTCGTCCATTTTCTGTTGCTGTAAAGGAATACCTGAGGCTGGGTAATTTATAAAGAAAAGGCATTTATTTCGTTCATGGTTCTGCAGGCTGTGCAAGAAGAAAGGTAACAGCATCTGCTTCTGGGGAGGCCTCAGATACTTTTAGTCATGGCAGAAGGGAAATGGAGCTGGTGTGTCACAGGGTGAGAGAGAGCAAGAGAAAGGTGGGAGGTCCCAGACTCTTTTTAACAATCAGATCTCACATGAAGTAATAGAATGAGAACTCACTCATTTCCTCAGGGAGGGGACCAAGCTATCCATGAGGGGTCCACCCTCACGACCCAAACACCTCCCACTAGGCCTCAACTCCAACACTGGGCATCACATTTCAGCATGAGATTTGGAGGAGATAAACATCCAACCTCTATCAGTCTGTATGATTCCTTTTATAGAATGCACAAAAGCAGGCAAAGCTGACCTCTGTTGTTAAAAGTCAGGAGTGGGTTGCCCTGGTAGGGGAGCAGCTGGAAGGAGGCAGGAGGAGACTTACTGGGGGGCTGGTCATATTCTGTTTTCTTTATCTGGGTGCTGGTTGCATGGGTGTGTAAAGTTCTGAGAATGTTAGCTTTAATGAAAAGCTTAAAATTTGTGTCAGTAGGCCAGGCGTGGTGGCTCACACCTGTAATCCCAACACTTTGGGAGGCTGAGGTGGGTGGATCACCTGAGGTCAGGAGTTGGAGATCAGCCTGGCCAACATAGTGAAACCCCATCTCTACTAAAAATACAAAAATTAGCTGGGCTTGGTGGTGCACGCCTGTAATTCCAGCTACTTGGGAGGCTGAGGTGGGAGAATTGCTTGAACCCGGGAGGTGGAGGTTGCCAGGCTGCACTCCAGCCTTGCAACAAGAGTGAAATTCTGTCTCAAAAAGTTATAAAATAAAATAAAATAAAATAAAATAAAATAAAATAAAATTGTGTCAGTCATGTAAATCAAAGTTCTCTGTAATGTGTTCTTCTCAAACATGGGGGATGCTTCCATCTCTCCCTCAGCTGGACATATGATAAGGCCTTTCCCTGCCAGCCATGGGAGGATATCTGGGGAAGGCCTCAGACTCCTTGTCAAGTATCCCTTAGGTCCAGGCCCACCATGGGCTCTGAAATGTCTTTTGATGCGCCCATCTTTTCACTGATGTCAGTTCCTCCTGCAACATCCTGGACAGGCATTTCTCCAAAGAAGATGTAGCATTTCAAACTCCTATGAACACTTCCTAGGGTGGAAAGACCTAGTGCCTGCATAATACATTTTATCCAGCTGAGAAGCAGGCAGGAATTCGAACACGAACACACACACACACACACACACACACACACACACACACACACTCCTTCATCTGTGCCTTCACCCTTGGCCCACACAAACAGAACCTCTACGCAACCTGTCTTTGGTTGCTGCATTCTTCAGAGCCTCAGAATACAGACAGCGATAAAAATAATTTCTTTAAACATGGTAATGTATTGCCACAACCAGCTTCTCAGCATTGTTTGCCAAATTACCCTTTCAGAAACCACTAGCAACAGAACTGGCAGAACCCAGCCCTCTCTCTATGGAGTTGGGCCAGGGAGGAGGCCACGGCAATCTGCACAACCCAGAGGCCTGGATCCAGGTCTGGATTTTTCTACCTTCTTGCCAAAGGACATTAAGTGACCCCCAAGAAACCTAAAAATTTTACCTGACCTTGCCCCACACATTTTCCAAGACAGTCTTTCAAAATGTGTCTGGGCAAGACACAGTCTGGGCAATTGCTGGGATGGTGCCTCGAGATAGAAGGCCCAGGGCAATGGATTTCAACCTAGGGATGAGATTGGGACTCAGATGGACCCAGATTCAAATCCCAGTTTCTTGGCCCTGGCTGGGTGACTCTCTGCACCTCTGCTTCCTCGCCTGCAACCTAAGAAGGAAAATGGCTCCGGGGTTGCTTGGAACAAAGCCATTATCACATGGATGAGGCTGGTGTGGTGTTAGCCCTTGACGATGACGCTCTTTTAATTAACTAGCAGCTGTGAGATGCATAGGCAGCGTGGGAAATCTAAAGGCCCTGGGTTCCAAGGCTCACCACCTCTTTCTATCTGTGTGACTGGGGGCAAGTTACTTAACCTCTCTGAACTTGATGCCCTTGTCTGCAAAGCACAGATGCACCTACTTTGCAGATCAATGTTGAGGGTCCGGGATTCCATGTGGCCAGCAGACACTCTGGTGCCCTGCCCAGATGCCCTCAGGTGGCTTTTGCTATTTCTGCATACCCCTCCCCGCCTTCAGTGGGCTTTTGCTTCCAATAACCACACTTGCCAGTCTTTTTGGGAGATGAACATGGGAGGACCATTCTCAAGCCACATACTCTGAGACCTTGAAGTGCCTGCTAATTTCCTCCCCATCCTTACCCAGGGCAGCCCCAGGCTCATAACAGACAGGAGTGGGAGTAGGACAGCCGAGTCCCCTGGCTTAGAGTGGGGACAAATTCCGAGGTGTAACTTCCATCCAGTGCTCCCTGTGGAATCAGGATGAAGCCACCCTCTACAGGGCTGCTGAGGTCTCACTCTGCTTGGCTTCCTCCCCTTCCTGGTCCTGCTTTCCCCACTCCCTTCTAGGTTTCTCCTGGGAGCACTTCCATCATAAAATACTTACATTCAAATAAAATACTTGCTTTTGGAGAATGTGACCCAAGGCAGTGTGAGGCGTCATATATCTTGGATATGGCTTCTTGGATACCCTCCAGCTCCTCACACCAAATGTGTCCAAAATAAAATTGCTCTCTCACTTGCTTTCTTCCCATGGTCCAATGTCCACCTCCCAAGCTCCAAACCTGCTAATCATACAGGATTCCTCTTCACCATCACCCTCCACAACTGACTGATCAGAGAGTCCTACTACTCTGAGATCCTAAATAACTTCCCGATGATTTCCACCTCCTTGTCTCTCCCACTATTGCTTGGTCTAAGCCCTCCTGCCTGGCTTCTTTGCCCCACCTGGACCTGCTCCAGCCCATGGACCATGTTGCAGTCTGAGAGCTTCCAGAAGCATCTCCTTATCTCATTATTCTCCTGCTTACATGCTCACTTTTCAGGATGAAGCTCCACCTTCCCAGCTCCATGCTGATCCCCTAATGATCCAGCCCCTGTATCTCACCAACCCCCTCTCCCCTCATTTCCCCTACCTGGTGCATGCACTCCTCCCAGCACCATGCTGATCCACTTAATATGCCAGGCAGCCTACAACGCCTTTCCCCTTATTTATTTTTTAAATTTATTTTTATTTTTTATTTTTTCCTTTCCCCTTGTTTAATTTAACATCTCCTACTTATCCTTCAAAACACAGCTCAGGCATCGCCACCTCCAGGAAGCTTTCTGGATGCCCCAGTGTGATTTAG
This sequence comes from Homo sapiens, assembly GCF_000001405.40. Taxonomy (NCBI): domain Eukaryota; kingdom Metazoa; phylum Chordata; class Mammalia; order Primates; family Hominidae; genus Homo; species Homo sapiens. The sequence goes on along the minus strand of NC_000003.12, from coordinate 45,244,606 downwards.
ACAGATGGTCTGTGCATGCCCCACAGCATCCTGTACTTGTCATCGTGTTTGTGTCCCGACTCATCTGAGAGTTCCGGTGGGGTGCACAGCTTTTCATTTATCTCACTATCCCTATTACCATTCTGGACACACAGCAGCCACGGAGTAAGTGCTAATTGAACACATGACATATGTAAAACTTCCTGGCCTGCAGTTGGGGTTTAAGAATTCGCCATTCTCCCCTCTTGCCCCTGTGGCCCCCACACCTTAAATGCACTTTACCAATTATCTCTATTAGCCTGCTTCTAAGAGACACATCTGAGCAGACTCAATCCAGGGCAGAGTCACATGTGTTATTTGCATATGATTTGCCTGACATATGCATATAATTGGCTTATGCCTGCAGAATCTTATCTCTGGCTATTTGATTTTAATGCTGAAGCCATAACATTGAGAAACACAGAGGGGTGAAATATCCCCCTGCAATTGATTTCCCCGCTGTCTCTCAACCTGGAGGTCTTGGCACTGGCAGTGTTGCCCTGGCGGGTGGAGTCTCAGAGGTCTCTGAGGGGTGAGGAGATGCTGGATGAGGAGGGGAATTGGGCCAGGAGTGGGATGTATGCTGCTTTTTTTTTTTTTTTTTTTGATGGAGTCTCGCTCTATCACCAGGCTGGAGTGCAGTGGCATGATCTCGGCTCACTGCAACCTCTGCATCCCAGGTTCAAGCGATTCCCCTGCCTCAGCCTCCAAGTGGCTGGGGACTACAGGGCGCACCACCATGCCTGGCTAATTTTCTTTCTTTTTTTTTTTTTGTATTTTAGTAGAGATGGGGTTTCACCATGTTGGCCAGGATGGTCTCGATCTCCTAACCTCGTGATCTGCCCACCTCAGCCTCCCAAAGTGCTGGGATTACAGGCGTGAGCCACTGCGCCCAGCCATGCTTCACTTTTAAAGCACAAGGAGTAGCATGAGTGTGTAAAGGATCCGGCCCAGGATGAGGTCAAAGACATCCTTGTGAGGTCTCCAGGCTCTGAATTGGGTCTGGAAGTTTGCTCCACCCAAAGCCTTGGGCTGGTGGAACTTTAGGGGTAAGAAAAGACTGGGGCTGAGTCGGTTGGCAGGCTAGTCTGTGGGAAAATACAGCGGCATACGGCGGAGACTGGGGGCCCAGCAGCAGCAGGAGCCATGGCCAGAGGCAGTCAAGAGAGATGTGAGTGCCCAGAATACCCAGAGATACATGAGAGATATTTGTGTGTCTATCAGCCAAGGGACAGATTTTTGAGGTGATTTTAATAAAATCTAAAAGGACAAGTTGAGACCAGCACATTGAAAGACTTAGGTGGGGCCCCCAGGTTGATCCATGAGAGAGTCCCAAGAATAGATTCCCATCTAGCTGGTGACACCTTCCTACCTAGCACTGCCTCCTGCCCATCACCCTTGCCCCCTCTAGGGCCGCCCAGCACCTACCTTTCCCACCATGGATGTAGGGAAAGGCATCCTCCGGCTGCATGGCCCACCCTCCAGGGGTCAGGCAGACAATCTAGGGTGGGGTGTGCAGTTTGGACCAGCCCACCTGGGCCCACACAGCATGCTTGGTCTCATGCACAAATGGACACAGCGACATTTTAGCAAGTCATACCCAGATAGCAGGACATCCTAGGTGGAGTTTGCTACTTCCAAATATGAAACACCACTAACTGCTGGCTGCTTCACACCTTGTTTCCAGCCTACACAGTGCCAGACAGATGATCGCACGACATGAAAGATGGTCACCACGAGTCCAAACACTCCTGTACTTGGCTTACGTTTCCTGTCTGGCATCTAGGAAAGGCACCTTGCAAATTAGCCCTCTTGGAGGTAACATAGCTGAAGGCCCAGAAGTGACATTTTAAAGCAGTTGTGCTCTGAAGTAGCTTTGAATATGGGAAAAAAAAAAAAAACCTCACTAAAAGTATTTTCAGCTTCCTATAGTTCCCAAACACCCTCGTTCTAAAATGGCACAAAAATCACCCTGAAAATTTTTTGTTTTTTGAGACGGAGTTTCGCTTTTGTTGCCCAAGCTGGAGTGCAATGGTGTGATCTCAGCTCACTGCAACATCCACCTCCCGGGTTCAAGCGATTCTCCTGCCTCAGCCTCCCAAGTAGCTGGGATTCCAGGTGCATGCCACCACACCCGGATAATTTTTTGTATTTTTAGTAGAAACGGGGTTTCACCATGTTAGTCAGGCTGGTCTCGAATTCCTGACCTCAGATGATCCGCCCACCTCGGCCTCCCAAAGTGCTGGGATTACAGGCGTGAGCCACTGTGCCCGGCCTGCTAGTTATTTTTAAATGTGGATGCCAGGTCTCTGTCCCCAGAGATTCTGATTCCATATGTCTTGAGTGAGTCTTGACATCTGTGTTACTAAGAAGCTTCCCAGGTGATTCTGACATGCAGCTACAAATGAAACCCACTGACTTAGCCACTGGCAGAAAGATAAAGATCTGCACTTGAGTCTGTTGCTACCCAGAGATCCCTTGCAAGTGGACAAGGATCTCTGAAAACAAGGTTTCCAGGTAGGGAAGGCTTGTATATCCATTCAAACAACACTCAGGTTTGTCATGATGCAACTACTAATGTTAAAGTTTCACTAAAGTGGTTTCTTCTACGGGTTGCAATTTAACAGTCTGCCTATTGGAAACAACCCTTTGTTATCTTCCTTCGTGTAGAATTTTTGGTAGAAGGAAAGTTTACCTGCCCACCCAACCCCAGCCATTCAGGCATTTGATTTGCAGTTATATCACCTCATTAACTTTAATTGGTAAAATTAATTATGAAGACTGTGGTGCAGAATGATTTGTTTATGTTTATTCTTGCCAAAATAAGTACCAGGCATTTGAAGACCTAGAATTGCGGTCAAATTCCTCATTAAAGTGTGAGAGGAGCAATAAAGTCCATACATTTTGTGTTTCATCTAAAACTGTCAGACCTCCTCACCACTGCATGGGTTGTTACAATGCTCGGATTAGAAGGTTACCTATCCCGCTGATGCTCAACCCAGCTTCATGAACACCTACTCTTTGAATCCCCAACATCACTTTAAACTGGCTACTCTTTGCTCAGATAGACTCTTACACCTGTCTCAGCAATTCTGGGAGAGAGGCTTTGAAGTGCCTTTTCAAATCTCCTGTTAATGATCTGGTAAGTATTGTGGTGACTTTTCAATGAGGTGTGAAGTGCTCAGGTAGTTATCAGCCAAGAGAATCCCAAGGTACTGGGGAACGGGGACACAGCCAAGGAAAAAGGGAAAAAACCCTCAGCGTGGGCCTGCCTCTCAAGTCACAAGGGCAGCACCATCTGACCAGAGAGGGGGCCCTGCCCAAGGCTGGCATGGCCACCAAGAGCTCCTGTTGGCAGATGAGACCTCTCTGATGTCCTGGGACCAGTCCGACTATAGAATCTGGGGAAACTGCAGAAATGACCCCCAAATTCCCACCAATACTATAGCAGGCAATGGCAAGTCCCACAGCTGGCTCCAAGGAGGAGCCACACTCTTGTACACAGACTGCAATATTGTCCCCAGTCCAGTCCCAATTGAGTCCCTCCCTTCATGATCCACAGCCATTTTAAATGGTCTGGTCTGGTCTGCCATCCATAGAGTGGCCTAAGCGAGAGCCATTGATGCTTTTTCTCCCAGCACTCCTGTTTTCAGATGTACCACACAGCCAGCTGGGGTCAACCCAGGTCAGCTGTGCTGGGCACCCCCAACATCTGGAGTGAAGCATGCCCCTATCTCCACACCTGTGCTCCCCCAACACCTGTGTCCACCTGTCAAAATAAAAGCACCACAGGGATCAGGCACAGGGTGGAGAGTCTCTAGCAGTCTGAGCCTCATGACAAAGGAGGCTGCAAAACACACCAAGGTGTTATAACTGTCCCAAGTTCTCGCAACATTTGAGCAGGTCCATCCAGCCCTGCTCCCCCAAAAGAAAATCCTAATAGAGAAGTGAAATGCCAGCCCTGAGGGTCCATTTGGCTGTGGAGTCTTATGGAACAGAGGTCATCATCTGGTGCGAGCCCCTTGTTTTATCAATGACACATCTGGGAAGGTAATGTGACATGCTCCAGATCAAAGCTTCGCTAACTAATGTCCCTCATGGGACTAGAAGCATATCCCCTGGGACTTTTCTACCACCCACGGCTTTTCCACCGTGAGTTCAAGGTGCCTGCATATTTGCACATGCTGGCTTGACCAGTGTCCTCAACAGACAGCAAGGCCTTGGGGGCAGGGACAGCTAGGCCAGCTGTGCCCTTGGCCATCTCCAACATGCCCTAGCACAGAGGTAACTGAATATAGCTGCCATTGTGCTGACTGGTCTACCTCTCTCACCTGGCTCCTGGGGCCCCAGACTCCAGCCCCATGCAGGCCTAAATCTGCTCCCAACACTGGTATCTTCTCTGGGTTGGTGACCATGGGTATGGCTCTAGTTAAGTGCTAGAAATTCACTTTCCAAGCTATGGGTCCTGATCTGCATCTCTTTGGTTAAACAAACCCAGCAGATGGCTGGTCTGTGATCCTTTTTTCTGTTGGTCTGGAGAGACTGAGAAGCAGACACTCCAGGCACGAGCATTTTTAGGTCAGTTTTTTACCCTCTAACAATGATAATACTATGTGACAAGATGGAAAAAACACTCTTCACCAAAATTCCTCTTAGGGAGAGTCTTGTTTGTGTGGAGAAGAAATACTCCAAGCCAGTGGTTCTCAAAGTGTGATCCCCAGACTGGCAGAATCAACATCACTTGGGAATCACCTGGAACCTTGTTCGAGATGCAAATTCTCAGGTCCCACCCAGATGTGCTGAATCAGAAACGCTGGGGCAGCGCCCAGCACCTGTGCTTTCTGGAACCCTCCAAGGATTCTGGTGCAGTTAGGTCTGAGAAGCCCTCCTGGCCATTTGCAATGGAGGTAGGAACCTCAGAGGACGGGCTCCAGTGGCAAAAATCAGGGCTCAACTGCCTCATAAGGAGAAAGAATCTAGCTACTTGAATGGCTCTGGTGGGGGCGGTGGGTGGGGAGGGAGTGTCCCAGGATGAATTGGGAGGGAGGAGCTAGGAGAGATTTAGATTGCTCTTTGTGACTGACAGGAAAGGCTTTTGAGTTTCCTTAAAGCAAATCAAGACAGGAGGAGAGTGAAGACAGGCTAGGTGCTGCATGAGAAAGACACAAGAGACTGAGACCCCACAACGGGACTATTGCAGGGGATGTGGACAACAAAAGAGTATAGCAAAGAATTGACAGTGGAATTGCACGCCCCAGTGCAATGTGACCTCTCCCTCAACTACAGAAAGTGTCAGTAAAGATTATACGAACAATCACTTGCACTCAGTGGTTCAATGCTCCTCGTGAACACCACGAGAGGGCTAAATTCTGCATAGTGCTTTCAATGCCACGCTAAGCAGGAAACTCTGTAAATACCATTGTAATGGCTGCATACTATTTCATAATGTGAACATGGCTACATTGACTTAACTATCCCCTTATTTATAGACATTAAGTTTCTTCCAGTTTTTTGCTATCATAAACAATGTATAATACACATCTTGGAGCTAAAAATTTTCTTTATTCATGATTATGACCTTGAAACAGACTCACAGAAGTTGAAGGATTTGGTTCAAATGCTCAGCCCTACAGAGCAGCGGTCCCCAACTTTTTTGGCACCAGGAACTGGTTTCATGGAAGACAATTTTTCCACACATGGGGTAGGGGATGGTTTCAGGATGATTCAAGTGCATTACACTTATTGTGCAGTTTATTTCTATTATTATTACATTGTAATATGTAATAATTTTGTAACTCACCATAATATAGAATCCGTGGGAGCCCTGAGCTTGTTTTCCTACAACTAGACAGTCCCATCTGGGGGTGATGGGAGACAGTGACAGATCATCAGGCATTAGCTTCTCATAAGGAGCACACAACCTAGATCCCTCGCATGTGCGGTTCACAATAGGGTTCGTGCTCCTGTGAGAATCTAATGCCGCGCTGATAGGAGGCAGAGCTCAGGTGGTAATGCGAGCAGTAGGGTGTAGCTATAAATACATATGAAGCTTTGCTCCCTGGGCTTTCCTGCCACTCACCTCCTGCTGTGCAGCCAGGTCCATGGCCTGGAGGTTGGGGACCCCTGCTATAGGAACAAAAATTTCTCCTGAGATTGAGCAGGGGGAAGAAGAGTTACCCATAGCACTTATGAATATAATTAAGAGGAGAAAAAAGTACTCTTCTTGCTTTTAGAGGGTTCTAAGACTAGAGCCAGGCAACCTCTGGGGGTGTGAAGAGAGGAAGTGAAGGGGCTTCCCAGTTAAACTTAAAACCCTGTTAGGACTGAAGTTGTCTTGAGTGACAACAAGAGGGTTGACAGATATTTCCTGCATGTATTTGGTTGCAGTGTAGGAGACCCAGTTTAAGCTAGCTTAAGTTTTTAAGCCCACAATCTGATCACAGTAGGGATAGCAGGCTTCAAGTCCAGCTGGATCTAGGGTCTCAGATGACAATGTCAGGCCTTTCTGCATCTGCCACCTCCTGCCATTAGCCTTATTCCTTCTTACTGCAAACAGGCTGTATTAGTCTGTTCTTGAGCTACTATAAAGAACTATCTGAGACCAGGCGCGGTGGCTCACGTCTGTAATCCCAGCACTTTGGGAGGCCGAGGCAGGCGGATCACGAGATCAGGAGATCGAGACCATCCTGGCTAACACGGTGAAACCCTATCTCTACTAAACATACAAAAAATTAGCCGGGCATGGTGGCACGTGCCTATAGTCCCAGCTACTCAGGAGGCTGAGGCAGGAGAATTGCTTGAACCCGGGAGGCAGAGGTTGCAGTGAGCCGAGATCGTGCCACTGCACTCCAGCCTGGGCCACAGAGCGAGACTCCATCCCAAAAAAAAAAAAAAAAAAAGAACTATCTGAGCCTGGGTAATGTTTAAAGAAAAGAGGTTTCATTGGCTTATGGTTCTGTGGGCTGTACGGGCTTCTACTTCTGGGGAGGTCTCAGAAAACTTACATTCCTGGTGGAAGGTGAGGGGAAGCAGGTACGTCTTCACATGGCCATGGGAGTGGGGAGTGCTACACGCTTTTAAACAGACCTTGGGAGAACTCTGTCACAAGAAAAGCAAGGGGGAAGTCCACCCCCATGATTCAATCACCTCCCACCAGGACCCCCTTCCAACATTGGGAATTACAATTCAACATGAGATTTGGGTGGGGACACAGAGCAGAACCCTATTATAGGCTTTCTGTGTGCCGGGAGAAGGGAAAGGGGCATGGAGTGGAGGGAGACGTGGGCAGAGCTGCATACTGCTCCAGTCTCACTTCCTCCAGCCAGTGATTCCAGAGGAAAGAGCAGCCTTCCTTTCTGGCTTTATGTCAAGGAAGATCTCTGATTGGCTGGCTTGGGTCACATGCTTGTTCCCTGGACAAATCACTGTGGCTATGTGGTTGGGGCATCATGATTGGCTAGGCCTGGGTCACATGTCCATCACTGAACCAGCAAGCAAGGTACTGTAATTGGTATCCTCACTGGAACCACACAGAGTTAATAAGCAGCAGGTACCCAAAAGAGAGGGATGCCCTTTCCAGAAGAAAGTGGAGAAGGGATGTAGGGCAGATAAACCACAGATATTCACTACAGTCTGCGTTTCTCATAACCCTGGCCAATAACTGCTGAGTACTGAGTACATCACATTTTCTCCCTGAGCCCTCTTATGGCCCTGGCATACTTTTAGTTTTTTACAGGTTTATTGAGGAATAATTGGTATACAAATAACTGCATACATTTAATATGTACAATTTGATGAGTTTGGCCATATGAATACTTTTTTTTTTGAGACGGAGTTTCACTCTTGTTGCCCAGGCTGGAGTGCAATGGTGCAATCTTGGCTCACTGCAACCTCTGCCTCCTGGGTTCAAGTGATTCTCCTGCCTCAGCCTCCCGAGTAGCTGGGGTTACAGGCATGCACCACCATGTCTGGCTAATTTTGTATTTTTAGTAGACACAGGGTTTCTCCATGTTGGTCAGGCTGGTCTCAAACTCCTGACCTCAGATGATCCGCCTACCTTGGCCTCCCAAAGTGCTGGGATTACAGGCGTGAGCCATTATGCCAGGCCTATGAATACATTTGTGAAACCACCACAGTCAAGTTAATAAACACATCTGCACCTCCAAAAGTTTGTGTCCCTTTTGGGGGTGTGTGTGTGGTAAAAACACTTAACATAAGATCATAAGATTTATCCTCTTAACAAAGTTTTAAGCACACCATACCATATTGTTAACCATAGGCACTATGTTGTATGGCAGACCTCTAGAACTTATTCATCTCGTGTATTTGTCCGTTCCCGCACTGCTATGAAGAAATACCTGAGACTGGGTAATTTATAAAGAAAAGAGGTTTAATTGGCTCACAGTTCTGCAGGCTATACAGGAAGCATGGCAGCATCTGCTTCTGGGGAGGCCTCAGGGAGTTTTTACTCATGGTGGAAGGCAAAGCAGGAGCAGGCATCTTATATGGCAGGAACAGGACCAAGAGAGAGACGGGGAAGGTGCCACACACTTTTAAACAACCAGATCTCACAAGAATTCACTATCACCACAATAGCACCAAGGGGGATGGTGTTAAACCATGAGAAGCCGTCCCCATGATCCAATCACCTCCAACCACCAGGCCCCACCTCCAACTTTGGGGATTACAATTTGACATGAGATTTGAGCGGGGACACAGATCCAAACCATATCATCTCATATAACTGAAACTTTATACCCATTGAACAACAACTCCCCATTTCCCCTTTCCCCTATCCCCTGCCAACCACTATTCTATTTTCTGCTTCTAAAAGTTTGAGTATTTTAGATCCATCATATTAGTGGAATCATGCAGTATTTGTCCTGTGACTGCCTCATTTCACTTACTGTAATGCTTTCCAGGTCCATCCATGTTGTTGCAAATAGTAAGATTTTCTTCTTTTTTAAGGCTGTATAATATTTCATTGTATGCACATACCACATTTGCTTTGTCCATTCATCTGTCTTTGGAACATTTCGGTTGCTTCCACCTCTTGGCTATCGTGAATAATGCTGCAATGAACCTGAGAGTGCAGATATCTCTTAAAACTCCTGATTTCAATTCTTTGGATGTATATCCAGGAGTAAGATTGCTGGATCATATGTTAATTCTATTTTTAATTTTTTGAGAAACTTCCATACTGTGCAGCTGCACCATTTTACATTCCCACTAACAGTGCAGTATTTCAATTTCTCAGGGTCCTTCTTAACATAGCACTCCAACAACCACTCCTAGACAATCCAAGTTAGGCTACAAAATAAAAGTGATTTGCCATTTTGGAGCTTAAAACAAGACGCCAGATTATCAATGAGCAAGGAACTAAAATAGACAAGATTTAAGAAAAGTTTAGGCCACAGGGGCATAGAAGAAAAGTTTAGGCCACATGGGTCCTCCCTGGGAGATGTCCCTTCTTGGGACAGAGGTCACTGAGGATATGGGTTTTGGTGGGCAGAGAGATGGCTGGGCCTTTGGTGGATTGTGGGACATTGTGAGCCTCTTTGGTTTGCCTCTAGAAGGGTAAATAATGTGTTTTCTTGCCATACTGTCACTCACAATTGAGTGACAAGTGGGCAGCTCAGATCTCTAGGCTTCATTGGTCTAGATTTCCACAGGAGTTTGGTTACAGAAGAGGTCTGATTCCTTTCTCCTGCGCACTCCATCTCTTGCTCAGCAGCCAGCCAAAAGGCATGAGCCATGCCAGGTGAGGTGGGTAGAGCAGGCCAGGACCACAGGCCCAGCTGCAGGGCAGCACTGGACTCTTCTGGAGAAGCTCATGGCACACATCTCCAAAGTCCAGAGGGCAGAACAAACCCAGATACAATCAAGATGGAGGCTGCCCTCGAGGTGCCACCTGGGCAGCAGGGAAAGGGCACAGGAGGCCCTGAGTGACCATGGCATAAAGCTTCAAGCAGGCAGTCCCATGGGGATTCTGCTACTGTGTGAAGGACTGCAGGAGTCTGCTCAGCAGCCCAGGTAACAGGAAGCATGACCCAGGACTGGATCCAAGTGATGGCAGGAACAAGCAGAAGGAAGAGAGAAAGAGACATTAGCCCCACCCTCCCCAACCAGGATGTGGTGTGGAGACAGGTTCAGTCACACCAGAGGGGGAGTATGAGCAAGTGGCAGGCTCTAAGTCCAGGTGGCCAGAGGCAAAGTCATCAGCTTAAAGTTTCCACAGTCTCCAGGCATATAGTTCATGTCTTTATTTACTCATTTATTTAATAGTTTTTGAACACTTACTACATATCAGGTACGGTCCCATGTAATTTTAAAATGTTAGTTCTTTTAGTCCTCACTACAACCCCGTGAAGCAAGTGCTCCATTATTATTCTCATTTTACAGTTGAGAAAACTAAGGCTCAGAGTGGTAAGCATTATGCCCAAGACTGTACAGTTCATAGATGATTCAAACCCCAAGACAACCTGGTATCCTTCCAGACCTGGTCTTCACTGGTCCAGGGCCTAGTTAGAGAAGGTCAAGAAGGCTCCACCTACAAATTACCCAGAATCTTCTGGAGTCTGTAGCTGGAATGCTCTTTCAGTTAGTCTCCTCTGCTCAGCCTAGTGATGACCCAACAGCCCCACTTAGAACATGGGCTCCAAGTTTTTGCCTATTTCCACGGATTTATTCAAACTTAAGGCCAGGGCTGGTGCAGCCTGGGCTTCCATCTCACACCTGAGTCTCCTGGAATCTCACCCAGGTCCTCAGCAGAGCTGGAAGGAGCAAGCCTTAATTGCATCAGAACGGAAGCTTGCTGAATACACCGGCACTCTTGGTGCATGCAATCAATCCTCCACCCTGTAAATCTAGTTAGAAGTGTGATTCCAGCAATTATAAAGGCCATCATTTTCCTCTTCTTTCCTAAGTAAATTAGAAAGGCTCATTGCTCTCACTTTGCAACTGGACCTCATTTTTAAAGTGCAGCTATGAAAGCACTGCAAAGGAGTATACTTAGAGAGGCGCTGTGCCTGATGCTCAGTTGGCCAAGGGGCTTGGCTTCTAGCCCTGGTTTTGTTATCAACCAGATTGTGATCTTTGGTACAGCCAGGACCCCTCTCTGTGCCTTGGTTTCCACATGTATAAAATCAGGAGTTTGGATTAGGTGGCCTCTAGGATCTCTTCTAACTGTCATGGCCACTGGATTTGCTTGATTGCCAAGGATGGCCCCATGTAGATAGAAATTTAGCTTCTTTTAAGCTGGGAGCTTGCCCTCCCTATTTTCCACATACAGTGATGAATCCATGCAGGTGGAAATATACCAGTTTCCACATTAGGGTAAGGACAGAGAAGAAGCCACATGCCAGTGTTCCAAAAAGCAGTACTTTCTGGAACTAAAAGTGCTAGCTAGCTGGACTCACTGAATACTTACCCTGTGCAGGCACTGAACTGGCTGTTTTATAACAATAAACTCATTTAACCCTCACAATAGAGCAGCTATTAGGCCCATTTCATAGACATGAAAACTGAGACACAACAAGACAAAATGGTGTATCCAAGCCAGGTTTGCTAGGCTCCGTGGTCATAGTCACAACTCTCTCAAATCCCCAAATCTGAGGACTTTAGTAGAAAAAGAGAGAACAGACTGACCAAGAGGCAATCTCAACGTGAAGAGACTGTCAGGCAGAACATCTGCCTGAATGAGCACATCCAAGCAAACTTCAGCTGTCCCACAAGCATGTAGGAGCCCATAGATCCAGCAAGAAGGACTGAGGTTAGAAGGCATGAAAGGCCATGATAAATGTGTTCCAATGTTCCTGACTCTCTCAAAATGGGCTTTTGCTTCCCCCATCTCTTCTGCATCTCTGTAAATGGAATGCCAATTATTTCCTTTGAAGGGAATGTTAGTGCTGTTTTGAAGCAGCATGAAGTAAATTTTTATGACACTTTTAGTGGCTGATGGGGAACATCCAGCTGCCTTGACTTTGATGGTGCAGCTTTGTCTCTCAGGTTTGCAACATTGAAATCCTCAGAATTTACAATTATGAATGCTAAATGTCATCTTAATTTGTTATAAGGTGGATACACAAACCACAAAATATCACTTGCTTTAAGGGCTGTCTCTCCCAAAAAAATTACTTTAAGTGGCACACAAATTTATAGAAATGCATGTTACCATATTACAAAACATTTTGTTTTCAAGGAATAGATTCTGTTAGGTTCATGTGATGGACATTAACCCCAGAAATAAGTGTTTCACAGCAGTCGTTTCACAGAAACCACTTTTCTGTCCCTATCAATGTGTGTTAGTTTCCCTGGACTTTTTCCCCTCTCTCTTCCGTACCTCTCCAAGTAATTTGTTTAAAAATCCACCAATGTCATACGTGAAGGCTCCTAAGTAAATTGGGAGCTGCAGGCTGGGTGTCTGTCAAGCTGTATCCCAGGTTCCCGACCAGCACTAACTGAGCACCTACTCTGTACCAGGTGCCATGCTGAGCATTAAAGACACCAGTGGAGGAGACACACTTGATAGCAGGAAAACCACAAGCCAGAGCTTCATCAGTAAGGATGCATCAGACTGGGAAAACATCCTTAAGTATTTCAGTATTGGCAGAATTTATGAATTGAGACTGGATGCAGGGTATATTCCTGGAAGGCTGAAGAGCCAATGAGTCGGTCCTTGTCCAATGCCCAGCCTTCCTGCACCTGTTTTCTCATCAGTAAAATGGGAAGATAACCTCCAACTCGCAAGGTTGTTAGTGATGATGGAGGCCATTCAGCAGGGCTGCAGTGAAAAACAAGGTTGTCAGACAAGGCTTGAATCTCGGCTCCACCGTTGTATGACTGTAAAAGTCACTTTATCCTTCTGAGCCTCAGTTTACTTCATCTGTAAAATGGCACAGAAATCTCTTCCTCATGGAACAATGGTAAGGATGCATTTCAAGCTCTTAGCACAGCGCCTGGCACAAGTAACTGCCAGTTAAGGGACAGCTATCATCTGGTAAAGGTGCCAACGTCAGGCTAAGCCCAGGAGAGGTGCTCTCTCAGCAGGCATTTCTCTCGTTTTCATTGACAAGAAAACTGAAGGGCACCACATGTACCACATGGGCACCACTTTCCTCCCAGTGCTCTTTTAGACACTCTCCATCTCTCCAGAAGAGCAGAAGCTTCTTACTTCCTCAAAATGTCTTTGCTGAAATCTTACCAGATGAACAGCATGACTACAGAAAAGAAATACAGGCAGCAGTCCCTGCCTACCATGCACACAAGGTATCCACATGCAAACATTTAATGTGCAAGACAGAATTAAGTCTAAGTAACAATGTAGGCTGGCAACAGTCGGCTTGTCCCAAGGCGGCCCATGATTACCAAATGAACTGTGCAGGCTGTAACTGCAGCCAGAATTCTGCAGAGGCAACCCTCCCTTCTGACCATGGTGGTCAGGAAGGATAAATGTCCACACCCTGGAGATTGGGTAGAGACATGGGGGGGGCAGGGGGGCGGGGAATCGAAATGCTTCATGCAAGCAGAGGGCAAGAGACTGTCAGGGTCTAAATCAGCTGAACACTGGGGGCTTCCAGACTTCCATTCCAGCGGCCCCTGGCAGATGCCCAGATCTTCAGCTGCTCCTGCAAACCAGTCCTCGAGCCTCCCATATGAGAAATGGGATGTATCAGGAGGACACCCATGAAAAGCATTATTTTCTTCACTTCCCAGTCCTCCCCAAAACACACACTCAACACAAGTACGACAACCTCCTATGACTTTGATATAGCTGAACCACTGGCTTCTAGCTGCTGCTTTTTTCCGTCCTGTTGTTATGATTCTTTTGTGGTTCTTGCTTATTTCTCAGTCTACAACATATGGTAATCATATCTTAATTCCACCCACATAATAAAAGAGAACCAATGAATTGCTGTACCTGCCACACTCTGAGGTCACTGGATGAAAGGAATTCAAATAACTCAGAGAGATCTTTTTTTAAAGTTATTACTTCAATAGGCAGTATAAGGAAAAATTAGCTAATACTGGGGAGGAACATAGGAAATGAACAGAATGAAATTACCATGCATCATTCCTAATAATTTTCTTTGATGTCCTCAATTATTGTGTTCTAACAATACAGTCCATGGAGAAAAATGTGCTGTCCTCGTTTTATGGACAATCAGAAATTTATCAAAGCCTTCCATTCATTTTATAAATATTACAGGATTTGGGGAAATGGAAGGGATCTCATCTGCCTTTCTTCCTTAAACCTGATATAAGGACTGTCTAGGTGGTTCTGTCCATCTCCACTCCCTAAGATGCCACTCATGTCTTGCTGGGTTGACTCAGTCTATTGAATTCACTCACTCATTCCTCAACTATTTATTGAATCCCTACTGTGTGCCATGTACTGTTCCATTGAACAAAACAGGTAGTTTTGCTTTGAGGGAGCAGACATGCAAATAAAGGAAGATACATTAAACAAAGAAAAACACAACCGTGTGTCAGCTGATGAGAAGTACTGAAAGAAGTGGGACAATGCATAAGAGGCTGGAGAGTGATGGGGAGGCCGGGTGCGGTGGCTCACGCCTGTAATCCCAGCACTTTGGGAGGCCGAGGCAGGTGGATTACTTGCGGTCAGGAGTTTGAGGGCAGTCTGGCCAACACGGAGAAACCCCATCTCTACTAAAACTACAAAAATTACCCTGGTGCCATGGGGGGCAACTGTAATCCCAGCTGCTGGGGAGGCTGAGGCAGGAGAATCACTTGAACCCAGGAGGCAGAGGTTGCAGTGAGCCAAGATTGTGCCATTGCACTCCAGCCTGGGTGACAGACTGAGACTCTGTCTCAAAAAAAGAGGAGTGATGGGGATGGTGGGAATGGGCATTGTTTATAGAGATTGGTCAGAACAGGCATCTCTGAGGAGCCGACATCTGAGCAGAGATCTACAGGAAGAGAGGGAGCAAGCAAGACAGGTATCAGAACACTGTCTCAGGCAGAGGAAAAAGCATGGGCAAAGGCCTTGAGTCGAGTTTTCTTGGTGTGTTCATGAAACAGCAGGGAAGTCAGGATGTCTGGAACAGAGCAGGTGAAGAGAAGAAGGGAAAGTAGGAGAAGATGGATCAGAGAGGTGGCCAGAACCACAGCTTATGAACAGGTGTCAGCCGATAGCTCAGGCAGAGTTCTTTACCAGTAGGCAGACTCACTCAGTCAGCCAACACGAGCATGGACCACCCTTTGCCCTGGCTGGCCCTCCAGGTCCCTGCCGAGCTGGAGGGAGGACCACAAAGAGATCATGGTTGAGAAAGGTGGTGAGACTTCAAATTTTCCTCTTTTTTTTTTTTTGGTAGAAGTAACATTTGCACATTTTAGATAATATGAAAAAAATGCAGAAAAGAATAATGATGCAGAGGCAGAAAAGTAAAGACATCAGGTAGCTGGGATTAGAATTGTTTCCTCCCTGCTTTCCAACCTTTGTATAAGGCTGTTATATTTATAAAAAATACATCTTTAAAAAGGAACTCAACTGAAAGTTTATTTTATCAAAATAAAATAGAATTGTACCACATACTTGTTTAACTTATGCACAGACCTTGATGCCTACTGCCATGAGATGAGATGCCTCTAGTTCTTTATTTAAAAAAAAAATGAACTTTTCAGATGAGGGAGACTGTACTGATATCCTGGCTTTGCCACTAACTGCTGTGGGACCTCAGGTAGGTGATTCACCTTCTCTGAGCCTCAGTTTTC
Organism: Homo sapiens; assembly: GCF_000001405.40. NCBI lineage: Eukaryota > Metazoa > Chordata > Mammalia > Primates > Hominidae > Homo > Homo sapiens. The sequence continues at coordinate 45,228,856 of NC_000003.12, read as the reverse complement.
TCATGGTAAAATAGGCATCACATCCATGGGATTGTTGTGAAGATTAGAGATGATGTGTGTGTATGTGTCAAACACCTGGCACGTGGAAAGTACTAAACAAGCGGAAGCTAGTCAGAGGTAGGCAAATTTGTTCAATCAAGAAGTATTGGCCGGCCACGGTGGCTCATACCTGTAATCCCAGCACTTTGGGAGGCCAAGGCAGGCGGATCACTTGAAGTCAGGAGTTTGAGACCAGCCTGGCCAACATGGTGAAACCCCGTCTCTACTAAAAATACAAAAATTAGCCAGACGTGGTGGCGCATGCTTGTAGTCCCAGCTACTCAGGACGCTGAGGCAGGAGAATGGCTTGATCCTGAGAGGCGGAGGTTGTAGTGAGCCGAGATCGAACCACTGCAGTCCAGCTTGGGTGACACAGCAAGACTCTATCTCAAAAAAACAAACAAACAAAAATGTATTTACTGAGCCTCTACCCTGAGCTAGGTGCTTTTCCCGTTGCTGGGAACAGTAGTAAACAAGATAGAAAATAACTTCCTCGCTATCTTCTGTTCTCAAATTCCAAAAAGATAGCAAATCAATCTAGAAAGTAGGATCTGTGTTACTATTTGAAGGGTAATTACATTCTGAATGAGGGCGAGGTGACGGAGTCCTCAGGACGGCACCTGCTGGAAAAGTGGGCAGAATGCAGGTTGCTAGGATGCAGAGCTTCAGTGGCGCAACTTTGCAGGGAACTGCTTGGCTCCCCAAATAGATCTCTTGTCTTTTCCCTTTGCTGCTGCCTTCCCCCCTGCACAGACAAAGCCAGGAGTGTCTCAGGAAAGCTCAGGAAGCCTCTGCCTCTGACTGAAACCCCAGAGAATGTCATCTGCAGTCACAGGCAACAGCCTGGCTCAAAACGCACCCCTTGAAGATTAGGCCTCCCTCAGCCCTCAGGATCACTTGATATTCCTGTTCTTCAGGGTTCACCAGACACATGGCTTAAATTAAAACTGTTCTGCCACATCACTGAGCAGCTTCTGTTCCTGATATGCAAAGGTTGAAAGGAGAAGTCATTTTTATTAAAAGCAGGAAAATTCACATTGTTCTCCCTGGTAGCACCACTTCCAAGCACAAAAGTGATGGAGGCTGAAACGAAAAGGGAGTCCCATCCCCTTGGGGAAATGAACCATTTCTGTAGAAACCAAGGACCACTCTAGGCAGCCAACTTGGGCAGCACTGTTAGTAACCACATCACAGCAACCACCATGTGGGAACATCTGGGGACAGATAGACACTGGGTTGGGAGTATTATCACAGCAGCCCTGTGAGGAGGTACCACCCACCCCCCAACTCAGATGGGGAAACCAAGGCTAAGTCAGAATAATGGCTTGCTTAGATGGCAAGAGGTGGAATAAGTTGGGGAGCTTTATTTTGAGGCGTTTTTGCAACTTTCTCAGTCCCATTTTACTCATTGTTAGAAAACAATGGACAAAAGCTTCCAGAAAAGTAATCAGCCAGGATGCCTAGCAATGTAGCTGGACTCTTGGCAGACCTCTCAGGATTAGCTGGTTTAGAAGGAAGGCGGTTTTGTTGAGGCCTTTCTCTGCTCCCTCCACCCCTCCCCTCTCCGAATCAGGAATACTTGGTGCTCATGGAGTACAAGGGCTTCCAACTAAAATAAAATAGATAATAATTCAACATAAATGTCCCCTAAAGAACGATGGGAATGATGAAGGGTCGTTGAAGTTTGTTTCCAAGTGTGAGGGGCCGAACTACTAAGAAAGTGCTTTTCAATATAAATGTGATAAATCTGATCTCTTGACACGTTATTCTTGGTAGCCCTCCTCCCGTATAATATCCCAAAGGGGATGAACTGCCCCTTTGACGTGGGTTCTAACCTACAACTGTTTCATGAACACGCGCTCACTCGACCTGTCAGGACCTGTGTCCTCGGGACCCCCAGGCGGCACAGCTTCAGGGCTCACATTCCCCCCAGCCAGTCACTCTCCACTCGAAACTCCACAGAGTTCTTGGAATTTTCCTCGCTTGCTGCGAGGAGAATCCCAAGTGAGTCTGCTGTGTTGGAGCCATTAAAAAGCAGCCAAACTCTACAGATTTGAGGTAAGAGACACCGTAAAAAGGCAGAAAGAGCTAGTGGCGCGGACTTGTTTCTGGCTCATGAGTTGGCCTAGCGAGGCCCTTTCCCCTCTCTCGACCTCAGTTTCCCCTTCTGTAAAACAAAGGAGGTTCGGTAGCACTAAGGCGAGACAGCGAAGCTCCCCTCAGGCCTGACAAAAGGATGGTCTCCGGGCCCTGGAGCCTCCCTCTGAGAACGCGATTCACCCGGAGCGCGGGGGCGCCCGGGCGCGTCCGCAGGCTTCCCCGCCCGCCCGCACGCACCCCGGGCGATCCGCTCTCCGCCGCGCCCCCGCACCCAGCCCCGCCCCGGCGATTCCTCTCCCAGCCCCGGCGCGTGGAACCCCGCCCTCCCCTGAGTCCCCGAGCCTGGCGAGCGGAGGGCGGGGCGGGGCGGGGCACGCGGGAGGCGGAGCCGAGCCGGGGAATCCTGCTCTGGGATAGCACCCGGCCCCGCAGAGCAGCGCGGCAGCCCAAGGGCCCCGGCGCCGGGGGCGGCGGGGAACCCCAAACGCAACCGGGTCTGGAGGGATCCCCGCGCCGAGCCAGCCGCCGTCACCGCCTCCGCGCCGCCCCTGCGGGCTTGGCAGGCGCCCGGCGCGCCCGCACTGCGCCCGGCCGCCGGCTCCCGCGGTCCCACCGTGAGCTCGCCGGCCCGTCGCCCGCTCGCCATGCAACCGCCGCCGGCCTCGCGCGCGTAGGCGCCCGCCGCAGGCCATGCTGCCCCTGCTCGCCGCGCTCCTGGCCGCCGCCTGCCCGCTGCCGCCCGTCCGCGGCGGGGCCGCGGACGCGCCCGGCCTCCTCGGGGTGCCCTCCAATGCTTCAGTCAACGCGTCCTCCGCGGACGAGCCCATCGCCCCGCGGCTGCTGGCCTCGGCGGCCCCCGGGCCCCCCGAGCGCCCGGGCCCGGAGGAGGCGGCGGCGGCGGCGGCGCCGTGCAACATCAGCGTGCAGCGGCAGATGCTGAGCTCGCTGCTCGTGCGCTGGGGCCGCCCGCGGGGCTTCCAGTGCGACCTACTGCTCTTCTCCACCAACGCGCACGGCCGCGCTTTCTTCGCCGCCGCCTTCCACCGCGTCGGGCCGCCGCTGCTCATCGAGCACCTGGGGCTGGCGGCGGGCGGCGCGCAGCAGGACCTGCGCCTCTGCGTGGGCTGCGGCTGGGTGCGCGGTCGCCGCACCGGCCGCCTCCGGCCCGCCGCCGCCCCCAGCGCCGCCGCCGCCACCGCCGGGGCGCCCACCGCGCTGCCAGCCTACCCCGCGGCCGAGCCGCCCGGGCCGCTGTGGCTGCAGGGCGAGCCGCTGCATTTCTGCTGCCTAGACTTCAGCCTGGAGGAGCTGCAGGGCGAGCCGGGCTGGCGGCTGAACCGTAAGCCCATTGAGTCCACGCTGGTGGCCTGCTTCATGACCCTGGTCATCGTGGTGTGGAGCGTGGCCGCCCTCATCTGGCCGGTGCCCATCATCGCCGGCTTCCTGCCCAACGGCATGGAACAGCGCCGGACCACCGCCAGCACCACCGCAGCCACCCCCGCCGCAGTGCCCGCAGGGACCACCGCAGCCGCCGCCGCCGCCGCCGCTGCCGCCGCCGCCGCGGCCGTCACTTCGGGGGTGGCGACCAAGTGACCCGCTCCGCTCCTCCCTGTGTCCGTCCTGTGTCCGCGCGCGCGGGTGCCTTTCCCGCCGGAGACTCGGCCGGTGTGCTTCGTGCTGTAGTTATCGTTAGTTCCTCTTCCCGAGATGGGGCCGCCGAGAGACCCCAGCGCCTTTGAAAAGCAAGGTTTGTGCTGCGCTTCCAGTTCCGAAAAGCAGATGTTTAAGCCCTTGGACTGAGGGTGGGATCGCAGCTCCGAAGACGGAGAGGAGGGAAATGGGGCCCTTTCCCCTCTATTGCATCCCCCTGCCCGACTCCTTCCCCGCACCCACGTGCCCTAGATTCATGGCAGAAAATGACCAAATCCTGTGTATTTGTTTTATATATTTAATAACTGTTTTAAATGAAAGTTTTAGTAAAAAAAATACAAAACAAAAAGATTAAATTGCTATTGCTGTAGTAAGAGAAGCTCTTTGTATCTGAACATAGTTGTATTTGAAATTTGTGGTTTTTTAATTTATTTAAAATTGGGGGGAGGGCATGGGAAGGATTTAACACCGATATATTGTTACCGCTGAAAATGAACTTTATGAACCTTTTCCAAGTTGATCTATCCAGTGACGTGGCCTGGTGGGCGTTTCTTCTTGTACTTATGTGGTTTTTTGGCTTTTAATACAGACATTTTCCTCCAGAGATGTGTATGTAGCTTTTTCTTTATTTGATTTGGGAAAGGGAATCCCAGAATTGCAAGACGTTACCCTAAAACCTGAGCAAGGGAATCTCGGAAAAGTTAGAGAAGGGCTACTTCTGTCTCCTTTACCTGGCTGTGAGAGATAGATGGAAACAGTATTATTTGCCCTGATGGCGATTGTCTTGCATCTCACCACACTGACCCTCAGTTCCCATCCACCCCCCACCTGTCACGGTGGCAAACACAGTTTTATATGATTTAACTTTTTGCTCATTGTTCTAAGCTCTGCAAAACACCCAGGCAAGCATCAAAATGGTAAAATCAATAGTTCCTCTGAGCTGGATGGCTTTCACGAAAATGACTCACTTTAAAAGGCATGTAGATTTCTTTTCATATGCATGAACTTTAGCAGATAAGCACATTCCAAAAGCTGGTATTAAAACCTGAGATATTATTTTGGCATTTAGATTTTTTAAAAAGATAAACTCTTGGGGGATAAATAGTTAATGATCACAAGATTTTCCTCACTCTTGGTTTCCATGTTACAGTGTCTGCTGTGTAGTAGTTTCAAATTCTTCCAGGTTTTCAGAAGAATAAGTAAAAAGTCCTTAAAGAGACTTAATATTAAAAATTATTTTAAAAGCGTTTTTAAGAGACTTTGAAAGCTGCTTTCCCTTGCTCCATCTCGTCCTCATTTTGCAAGCATATCTGAGATTGGTCTAGAGCTATAGTTCTCAAAGCCTGGTCCCTGGACCAGCAACATCAGCATCACCTGGGAACTTGGAGATGCAAAACTTGGGCTCCACCCAGGACCTATAGAATCCGAAACTCTGGGATAAAGCCTAGCAATCTGTGTTCTCACATGCCCTCCAAGGCATTCCTATGCATTACCAGTTTGAGAACTGCTCTGCTGTGTTCTAGTGGAATGGAACCCTCAAATGTAGGTTGTCTCCTTTTATCTTGAGATGTCTATTATATCAAATAAATGGGATGCTTATTTTCCCAGCAATCTGGCTGAAGGAGAGGCTGGGTCATTGCCCTGCAGCTTCAGCTGCCCCTTTGACTCTTTGAGGTCCTGAGATATCTGTAGCAGGTACCAGCCCCTGAGAGGGGAGAGGGTGGAGTATTGATCTTTGTAGGTTGTAAGCATCACCATTTTTTAACCCTGTGGTAACTGGCAGGAGAAAAGTCAATAATTTTGCTAACCTTGATCAATTTAATGTAATCATAGCATTTATAACTCTGGAGACACATTATGTATTCTTTGTACACACATGTAATCACTCTCCCTGCTTTTTTCCAAGATGTATACCATGGCTCAGAGAGATTGAGCATCTTGTCTACAATCACACAGCTACACGAGGCAGAGCTGAGACTAAATCCAGGATTTCTGCCTCCCTGAATGGTATTGTTCGTCACTAGAAACTTCTTTTCCCAGGAAAATTAGGAGCTCACTGCTCAAGGTCCACCGTTTTGTTGACCTACCCTAGCCAATGTCAGATTTTGTGTAGCTACAAACCCCAAAGAACCTGATAGCATTAATTTTAAATGAGACACTCAGGCACTTAATGGAACTTTCTATATATGGGCCCTAACATCTACCTTTTAGGGGTGATTGAAATATCAACATCTATTGACTTTCAGAATTGCCAGTGGAACCTGCATGTGTGCATGTGTGTTCTGGGCTATGTGTGTGTGTGTGTGTGTATCACTGATGGACTAGTTAGTCCCAGAAAGTGAGGACAGAGCCTGTAGGTCCTTTTGATCTTGTTCAGCTGTAGTCGCCCACTGGGTAAAGGAAGTCAGGCCTTGACAAGTTCATCTGTGGGGTCTGTATTTTCTAGTCAGTTTGATTTGCATCATCTCAGTAGTGAAACGCTTCCAAGTACGTAATTTACTAAGGATAAGTCAGGAGTTCTATGACAGGAAAAGACGTGTGCCATTTTAGCCTGTGTACATGTGCACATGGCACCCCCAGATTCCAGCCCATTTATAAAGCTTCGTGGGGCCAGCTTGAGTTGCAAATGATATAGCGGAGTCCCCAGGATAAATCATCATTGTCAGTTATTTTTGCTTCTCCTGAGAGAAAGTTTACTCCTGGGGAGAATGGATACCCCTTGTTTAATATCCAGCTGCTGCCGAAGGCTGCCTTACTGAGTTTTCTGCTTTCATCCAGAGAGCTGCCTCCAGCCCCAGATCTGAACACTTTAGTCTTCTTTGGGTCTTGCCTCAGCGGAAGAGACCACCCTGTCTAAAGCCGCACCTCCTACCTGGGGCACCACATCCAATGACTGATCAACACAGGGGCAGAAAGACCCAGCCCTCTGGCCACAACTGGGGCAGCTCTGAAGGGTCCTCCACTACCCTCCAGCGCCCGCCCCTCTTCCATTCAAGACTGACTTCCCTCAGGGCTGGCTGAGGTGTCCATGGAGATTTCATGGAGTTGAACTACTCCCTCTGTCCACGTCTGCCTCCTCCCATTCCTTCCCTTCCACAGGCCTTAATCCACACTCCCTAATAAGCCTCTTGCACAGTGATCTCTATCTCACAGACTGCTTCTTGAGGAACCCCACCTGTGACAGGCAATTTACCCAACAACGTGCAGAATTGTTCTAGCCATGTGGTCATTAGGCACATATGAGGAGCACATCACAAAAATGCTTCTCATTTGCATTTTTTTTTTTTTGGAGACAGAGTCTCACTCTGTCACCCAGGCTGGAGTGCAGTGGTGCGATCTTGACTCACTGCAAGGTCCACCTCCCGGGTTCACGCCATTCTCCAGCTCCAGCCTCCCAAGTAGCTGGGACTACAGGCGCCTGCCACCACGCCCAGCTAATTTTTTGTATTTTTAGTAGAGACGGGGTTTCACCGTGTAAGCCAGGATGGTCTCGATCTCCTGACCTCATGATCTGCCCGCCTCGGCCTCCCAAAGTGCTGGGATTATAGGCGTGAGCCACCGCGCCCGGCCTCATTTGCATTTCTTTTACACAGATCACACATTTCTACTTTTTCTCTTCCGTCTGGATAGTTCTCTAATAACCAGAATCAAAGGAGGATGCCTTGTTTCTTTCCCCCTCACATCACCTTATCAGTCAGGATACACCAGGTTATGCTCCAGTAATAAGCAATCTCAGCTTCTGGTGGCTTGTGCAAGAAAGGTTTATTCCAGGCCGGGCGCGGTGGCTCACCCCTGTAATCCCAGCACTTTGGGAGGCCAAGGTGGGTGGATCACTTGAGGTCAGGAGTTTGAGACCAGCCTGGCCAACACAGTGAAACTCCATTTCTACTAAAAATACAAAAATTAGCCGGGCATGCACTATAGGCACGCACCTATAGTCCCATCTACTTGGAAGGCTGAGACAGGAGAATCGCTTGAACCCCTGTGAGGTTGCAGTGAGCCGAGATCATACCACTGCATTCCAGCCTGGGCAACAGAGCAAGACTCTGTCTAAAAAAAAAAAAAGGTTTTTTCCTTGCTCATGCTGTCCAAAGGTGGCAGGAGTTCTGCCCTTTGGAATCCTTCAGGGACCCAGATTATGGGGACTCTGGCTCAACAAGGTGGCCGCCATCATCTAGGTAGGAGGAAGCAAATCCTGGAGGGTCTCACACTGGCAATTCAGTATGCTCCAGGCAGGAAGTCACGTCCTTTCTGCTCATTGATGAGAATTGTCATGTGGCCCCACCCATCACAAGGGAGCCAAGGAGTTCACATTTCCCGGTGGCCAAAGGGAGAGGAAAACTGGCATCAGTGAGCAACATTAATGATAACCACGACTTTCAGCACTGCCATACCTGTGTGATCTGTGGCCACCCAGAAGAATTACAGGACTTGGTTTGGTGAGTAGACAAAGGATCATTCTAGAAGTGCTGGCTCTAGACTCTCCTCCTCTGACACCCATGCCACCTGGCCATGCTGGAAGCTACCTGCTGCTCCTGGGGCATTTGACAGACAATGGCGGTATCAGCTTGGTAGCTTTCCAAAAATAGAGGAGGGGATATCCCTAAAGAACTTAATCTGGAAGATTTGCACTCTGGATCCCCACGGTCTAGGAATCTTGAGGGATAGGAGAATAGTTAGAAACAAAATGGGGAGCAAGGAGAGTGTGTCAGAACAAGCATCTCGGCTCTCCTGGCCTAGCCCCTCCTCCAGATTCATTAACATCAGGGGCATGAAGAGGTGGGTCTTCACTCTCCTATTCTCTCCTTTTTCTGGGGGCCAATATCCTCCATTTCCCAGCTAGATTAAGAGGTTTTGAGCTAAAAGGATTGGGAGAGTTAAGAGCAATGTAAATGGCATTCATTTCACAGCTAAGCCTTTTCCTCTGGCCGGAGAAGCCACTAGGAAAAGGAGGGGATAACAGAGGCTAACTGCCCAAATTCACCCAGCTCACTGGGGCTGGCGGCCCTTGTGTGCACCTTGTCATGGGTGCTCAGTGGGGCCTATTCCTGACTACCCTCTGGTCTCTTGCTGGTAGACCTTCTGTTCAGCCCCCGCCCCTTCAACTCCCCACCCCAGGGCAGACTGGCTCTATAGACAGTGCCTTCGCCCTTCCCGGCTCTGCTGCGCCTCTTCTGGGACATCTCTCCCAGTGCAATACAGGGCTCATTCTGGGCTGGGAGTGCCGAACCCCTTCACCATGTGTGGGACTGCTGGGGAACAAACCTTAAACTGGAACACGGCTGCTTACTGCGTCCACTGTGGGCAGGCACTTACCAGACATCACCTTCCCTTCTTGGGTCTTCCTTGCTGGGTCTTTGGTTTTAGGGCAAAACTGCTTTGTGCAGCCTCCACACATGAGGAGACGCCTAAGGTCCGCTGGATTCTCCTCACCAAGGCTCCATTCTGCGGGGATTCTTGTTCTTGGTATTTTCTCTGGTTCTTACCCCAAGTACAAGTTTCCTACTTGCCTCCAGCTCTCAGACATTTTCAAGACGCTCACCCGTCTGGTCTTACCATCTCCCATTAGCTCTAAGTAACTTAATTTTTTTTTTTTTTTTTTTGAGACAGCATCTCACTCTATTGCCCAGGCTGGAGTGCAGTGGCACCATCTTAGCTCACTGCAAACTCTGCCTCCCAGATTCAAGCCATTCTCCTGCCTCAGCCTCCCAAATAGCTGGAACTACAGGCACCTGCCACCACACTCGACTAATTTTATATTTTTAGTAGAGACAGTTTTCCCTATGTTGGGCAGGCTGGTCTCAAACTCTGACCTCAAGGGATCCGCCCACCTTGGCCTCCCAAAGTGCTGGGATTACAGGCATGAGTCACCGTGTCTGGTGAGTAACTTAAATTTACAAATTTTTTGTCCATTCCCCACACAGCAACACTGTCCTCGGTCAGCTCCTGCTGTTTTCTTTACAGCCAAGGTCTCTGCAGACAGCAGGCCCCCATGCTTTCGCCGCAATCTTCTGTTTCTGGTCTTTCTAAGAGGCTGCCTTCTTTTCTGCCCCTCACTTCCAGCTATCAAGATCACATAACCCTCAGCCCAATCGATCCAGCCAGTGCACCATCCCCTCCAAGCCTAGGCATCCTCCAAGCCTGTGCTGACACTGGATGCTTTCTGCCACACCCCGGGATGGGACAAGGCCCAAGGTTATTTTGAGGAGGGTGGGGATTTCCTGTGGTCGTCTGAGGACAGGTGGCATGGCTGTTCACTCAGGACAATTAAAGGCCTTTCTCCTCGTCTCACCCTTAGTATTTTCCTGGCGTTCTTATTGCCTGAGCATTCCCAGGACTGTCTCTCAAAGCACTAGAGTGCTGCCAAAGATGCATTCTTTTGTGTGCTTTCACAGGATCAGTGATAAAAATCAAAATGATTGGCATCTTGATAACATGCCAAGGCCTCATTTTGACTATGGAGACAACATGCCTCCCAGCAAGCTTTTTTGGCACTCTAGAAAATAACCTACCTTCCAGGTGCCCCACCAGGACCCCTTTTGTTCTGTGATTAGAGTCCTTGCTGGGCTACTGGCAGTCCTATCAGACTTCCTGAGGGTCAGTGGGCATGGGACAGAAGGCTGCTGGCCCTATCTCTCCAACCCCCCAAATACCCCAACCCCAATCTAGAGGTCAAGTGGCTGCAGGTTGGAGAAACTTGTTTAGAACCTGACAGAGCCCCCAGAGTCCCCTTGCGATGGCACTCCAGGCCCCTCTGAGCCACCACTGTTACCAATGCACTTTTCTATCCCGGGGGTAACATTTGTGATTTCCAGCCTACCTATAGGGCTGCCTTCTATGGTAGCCACTCTGGACTTAAATCATGATCCACACTGTGTAAGGATCTAGAACTGTGGTCTTGCTATTGTAGTACCTTGGAATCTTATTTCAGAATATTTATGATCCTCAGGAATTCCCTGGCTCAAGTTAATTCCATGTATTATTTGTTCTTGCAAGATAGATGCTGATTTTCTTACCATAGAATTTAACATTACGCCCTATCTTCCCTCCTGTGTTTCTAGATAACTCTGCAGCTGCTGAGGGAGGACTACACTAGAAAATAGTGATAATAATAAATATGATTATTATACAGTAATCATAATAAATATGATTACTAATAACGGTTCCCTTGGACTGGAGAGGGAAGAAGCAGAAGAAATAGAAGGAAAGGCAATAACTAAGAGGAGAGAAGGAAAAGAGAATTGAAACATCAGCTCTAAGAACAGAAAGATGATCCCCTTTCTCATCAGCCCCGCACTCGCACAAAATGAGAGACCCAAATGCTCCCACCGCAAGGCACAGGGGAGAATGGAGTGGGTGCCCTGGAGCTGGAGGCTGAGGCACGGGGAGAATGGAGAGCAGAACATGCACATGGAGGACCCTCCATGGGAAGACTCCAGGCAGGAGGGGCACATGGGCAGGAGCCTGCCTGGTGGCTGGGAGCAGGTTCTGCTGGCTTCTATCCTGCAGAGCTATCCCAAGGGGACTAGCTCCATCCTCTCTCCTTGGATCACTGAGTTCCAGTGTCTCACTCAGCCTGAAAGGCACATACCACCATGCCAGTGCAAGGCCATCACCATGTCCCTGAGAGGGGACCTGTGTTGGTTAACACTGTGCAGGTCCATCAGAGACTGAGAATGGATATTTTACCATACAGCATTGCCTGAAGTCATAGAATACCTTGCTAAGTAAAAAAGAAAGAAAAGACCACACATCTTCCTACTACCCAAAACTAAGCCCTGCAAACATTTTGGTGCATGTAGTTGCAGTTTTGTTTTACACGTGTGTGTGACCATAAGTAATTATTCAAATTAAAAAATGGAAATGGCCAGGCGTGGTGGCTCATGCCCGTAATCCCAGCACTTTGGGAGGCCAAAGCGGGTGGATCACCTGAGGTTAGGAGTTCGAGACCACCCTGGCCAACATGGTGAAACCCCATCTCTACTAAAAATGCAAAAATTAGCCCGGTGTGGTGGCAGGCACCTGTAATCCCAGCTACTCGGGAGGCTGAGGCAGGAGAATTGCTTGAACCCGGGAGGCAGAGGTTGCAGTGAGCTGAGATCACGCCATTGCACTCCAGCCTGGGAGACAAAAGCCAAACTCCATCTCAAAAAAAAAAGGAACTGTGTTGTGCATAACTGCTTTTAAAACTTGTATTTCTTTACTAGACCAGTGTTATATCATAGAAAAATTAGAAAATACCACTCATAAAACAAATGAATCAATATCTCCAATAACCCCCAGCACCCAAAAGTGAGCATGACTGATATTTATTGATGGGTATTCAAATGGATATATTATACATATTTTAACCCCAAACTGGGTACCTGCTTCTTAGCACCCTGCATTCCTGCACTCAGCAGCTCTTAGGCAGTTCCCTCCCTCTGCAGAAGGTCATAGAGGGCTTCTCACGGCAGGTGTGTGAAGGCTGTATTCTTGATGCGTGGGTCAGACATCAGCTGCACAGGATATTGAAATCTATCAAGGCCAAAGACCTAATGGAGATGGGGGAGGGAGGATTGGATCTGCTATATTTCCCTTCCCAAGTTTATCATCTCCAGACACATATCAAAACCAGACCGAACTTTCCGCCCCTCCTGGCAGAAACATCTCTGCTTTTGTGTCTGAGATTTCAGATGAGGCTGATAAGGAACAGAACACAACTTTAGAGGATGAACAACTCAATTCGTCTCAAGTCATAACTGCAAACGGCTTCGTATTTCCTGGGTTTATTTGATGTCTTTGGTCCGAAAATGAATTCTGAGATCCAATTAGCAGGAAGGATATTGCTCCCGTGTAATGCTGCTCCAAGAGCTGTCACAACATATGGCTGAGTTAAAGCTGCAGCCAGAACCCCTCTGAAGTCAGAACATCCAGAGGCTTGCCAGAGAGGAAAAGATCTCACCAGAGGTCGGGGAATCACCAAGGACAGGAACCACCCATGGGTCAAAATGTATTCGGCAGCTCTCACAGTCAGTGGAAAGTGTTAAGGTCTTCCAGAATGGATCGTGACTTAGACTGGGTTCCCTAGAAGCAGAGCCTGAGATGGAGAGTCTCATCCAAGCGATGAATTGGGGCATGCTTTCAGGAGAAGGGGAGTGAGGGAAGCAGAATGGGGCAGGGGAAGTAGCAAAGCAAGCACGTGGTCTCAGCTGATGTGGGCTTCAGCCTGACCCCAGGGGAACCTCTGGAGCAGGCCGTGCACCACAGTTGCTGCACCTTGAGACAAAGGGCTGGTCTTTTGTATTTCCACTTTAACCAATCACGGGTCAAATTCTAGGTAGAGGAGTCAGCACAGCCTCCCTGGCAGCTTCCGTTTAGCTGGGCCCAGCTCTCTAGAAGGGGAGGCAGCTGGGAGAAGTCTGCAGCCTACACTCAGAGCAGCTGTAAGAGGAATGTGGATGGGGTGCCTGCAGCATTCACTGCAGACCTCACAGTGTTCTTCAGTGCCATTCCCATCAATGGTGGAGTGGGGGGTGCCCAGAGGACATGAAGCTTAAATGTGCCCATCAAAGTTTCAACTCCCTCTCCGGCCAACAATGCTGACCACCAGGCCTTGCCAGTCTCGAGGAGATCTGGCTGGGTGGTCTTGTCTCTGGTGTCCTGCACTGGGGCCCACTGAGGTACAGCTGGCTTTGTCATGCCGGCCCTCCCTAATGAGGTCAGAAGTCCCTGCCATCTGTCATTGCGTGCAAAGTCCTGGTTCCCCAGTATGTGCATTATAAGGGAAGCCCCTCAGTATTAGGGAATTTGCTGAGGCCACCAGCAGGCTGGTAATAGCATGGGACAGGACCCCAGGACACCTGCTTGCAGTACCTGCCCTGCCATGCATGAGCTGTTTGGCTGCAGCTTGAGCTTCCGTCTCCTCCTCTACAGAACAAGGGGATTGGGGCAGGTAAGGCCCCAGTCCCTCGCAGGCCTGCAGTTTTGTGTTCAGGCTTTCCCTCCCCATCTTCCAGGCCAAGTCAGACCACATCCACCACAAAGACACTTCCCTCGAGGATTTTTCCAGCAGGTAGACTGAAACAGAGGCCAAGTCCTCTCATTTTTCTGAGTGACTTGAAGGGGAAACATGTACAAGTAAGAAAAGAGGATGCTTAAGATATCAGAATGTATTTTGCCCTGGATTGTCTAAATTGGCTGTTTGCGTGGCTCTAATAATCTATAAAATCATTATGATTTTTGCATTTTTCTATTCAAATGACCAGGGCCATGGAGTAAAGATTTTTTTTCAAGTCAATGAGGTAAACAAGAAAGAAGAAATGTTTCACATTTTAAAAATGATTTCTTTGTCAGTTAGCAATGAATATCATGCTCTAAAGTAAGGAAGAGAAGAAATTAGCATGGGTTGTAGATGCCAGGAACTTGACCTTCCAAATCCTCACAGCAATCTAATGAGGGCTGTGCCTCCAAAGTGCACAGTGGGGCAGCTAGGTTGTCCTCCCTGGGTGTGGGGAGAATCCTGGAATTTTACCATCTTGGTGTCTCAGAGATGTGCCCACACAGGCCTTCAAGAACTCTCTGTTGAATTGCATTATGAGCAAAAATTGTGTGTTCCTGTGGTTTCCTTGCAGGCCTCTTCCAGCCCAGGCTCAGAAAACATTGGGCAGATTTCCTGTGTGGCCTGACTAAACGGGGTTTTAAGCGCCACCAACACCTCTGTGGGAAATGCCATTCCTGTCGCCAAGAGACACCCCCTCCAGATAGGCATCTGCAAGGAAAAAGCAGCTGTTCTGGCGGCTTTGTGAACCTTCACCTCGGTTTAGAGCACCTGAGGGCAGATCGAGATGTGCGTCCCCACCTGGCTGCTAGAGAGCCGGCCCAGAGAAACAGGAGATTCAGGTAGCCATCAGCAATGCCAGAGAAGCCCTCGCTCCACTGCCTTTCACCCAGGATGTCACAGACCCACCTCCTGGCCCACACACGTGCATGCCACCAGCATCAACATGCAGGCAGACACAGCCACTCCCAGATGCACCTCCCCTGGTGCCAAGAAGAGTTTTCAGATACAAGGAGGGAAAGGAACAGGGGTTTGGGCATTGCAGACCTGAGTTTGTTTGCATCTTAGCTCTGCCATTTTACCTTGCTGGGCATTCTCTTCCTCATCTGTAAAACAGAGAAAATAATACCTACCCAGCAGCCAGAGAGTTGGGAAGAGTAATTATGAAGAACCCCTAGGGTGTTCCTTGGCACATAGAAAGTGCTTCATGAGTGAGGTTTACTAATACTGATTATTGAAAATCTTCAGGGCTGTTGTTCTTGATCTTTTGCAAGCATCCCCTCTCCCACCACCTAGAGTCTGGTTCACTCTGGGGCCCTGGGGATGTTGAAGGAAAGGTTTCTCGGGGCCTTCTGCCTCCCCTCTGACCACCCCACTGAAATGGAGAGTCCCAGCACCGCGTAGGGCTGGGGCCACAGGCTCTGCCGCTGCACTGGGGCAAGGACCCTCCATGGTTTCTGATCCTTCAGTGTGGGGAGGGGACTCTCCAGGTTTGCATCCCCTCAAAGAGTCTCTCTCCTGTGCTGAAGCAGCAAACAGATGTGGGGTCCTCCAGGAAGGCCTCGCCACTCCAGGAATGGCCCAGCCCCACTCATACAGCTCCCCAAGTCCCTTTTCAATGCAGATCCATGACTGGCCCGATTCTAGGCTCAAATAAGCCCGTGTTCTTTACAATTCACATCCACTTCATTCCGGAACCCCCATGTCACACTTAATTTGCCAGATGAGATGGCCGAAACCCTGCAGATTCAGCTCAGCCTACCAATTCCCTTCAGAGGGAAGTCAAAGGCCCAACATCGTTAGACATTTTAGCTCATGGAATGATTCCAGCAGAATGGAGTGAGAAGTGGGACCAGCCAGGTGGGGTGGAGGTGGTGCCCAGTGAGGCCAGACTAGTCTATTTCAAATACTAGCCCTGGCACTGGCCAGCTGCTTTCTAGGCCTCAGTTTCCTTTTCTGTAAAATGGGAATAATAACAGTACCTCTCCCATAGGTACTGTTGTCATGATTTTAAAGGAAAACATACCTAAGAGTTTACTTCCTCTCCACACTCCTTTAGAAACACATGTCCCAACTGGAGACCTGGCTCACCCAGGACTATCTTATAGCCTAGTTGGTTCTGTTTGGGATGATAAAAAAGTTTTGAAACCAGAGAGTGGTGGTGGTTTCACAATATTGTGGATGTAATTAATGCCACCAAATCATATCCTTTAAAAGGGTTAAATATTAATTTAATAGCCAGGCGTGGTGGGATTACATGCCTGTAATCCCAATTACTTGGGAGGCTGAGACAGGAGAATTGCTTGAAACCGGAAGGTGGAGGTTGCGGTGAGTCAAGATCGCACCATTGCACTCCAGCCTGGGCAACAAGAGCGAAACTCCATCTCAAAATAAATAAATAAATAGATAAACAAACAAACATAAAAGAATTGCATATTATGTATGTCATACCACAATTTTAGAAAACATTTTTAAAATAATAAGAATAAGGGAAAGGCTTACCTGACTCCAACTGAGAACTGAACATGGGTCATAAAAGATGGGTTTTGTCCCCTTCCCAGTGGAATGATCCAGAAACAGCCTGCGCCCCCTGATGCACGGGCTCCTTGTGGTGGCCCCGCCTACGCCACCCCACTCCTGGGTTTTTCTCCTGCTTGAGTTGCGGAATGGCCTAGTGCAGTACAAAGGAGACAGTTGAGGCTTCTCTCTCTTTCGTCACCAGCACAGACAGATGTGGCAATGGTGTTCAGGAAAGAGAGCTGAGAGCAGACTCGATGCCCCGCCATGAGGCAGGTGATGGAACCCCAGGTTTCTGCTCCCAGTGTACCCAAAGCAGCCCCCCTGGTCCAGCAAACTCCCAAATTCCATACAGGCATGACTGCAGGGAACAAGTGAGAGAGCGTCCCTGCCGCCTTCTATTTCTGCCAATTCCCTCTTCTTTTCTCTCAGGTCTGAGTCGTGCAGGAAAAGAGTGATGAAACCATTCCCTCACTCTCTCCTGCCACTGAGAATTATTCGTTTTGTTCCAAAGAGTCTCGTGGGCTGGAGGCAGCCACAGGGCTTGGATGGAGTTCATTATCGGGCACAGACCCAGGGCAGAACATAAAAGATTCAGCCTTGACATTTTACAGATGGAAACAAATTTCTGCGCTGTCATGGTGGGGCTCAGAGAGAGCACATTTTAACACAGACACAGGATGAAAACTCTTTACAGTCCTGGACTGGTGGGAGCAGCAGCACAGCTCGCAGGAGACCAACATTGGCACGATCGGCCTCATGACCCTCAACAAGGCTCTCATGCTCCATGAGCCTCAGTTCCCCTATATATACAAGAGGGGACACTAAACACCTGCTGTAGGGCTGTTGGTGCCTAGCGCTCCCATGGCACACAGCCTATCTGGACCTACCTCTAGGTTATCAGCTGTGTCACACTTTGCCGGGGACCACGGATGTGTACTATTATAAATAGCTATTGTTTATTGAAATGTTACTATGTTCTGAGAATTTTTAATCATGCATATAGAAGACTTTGGTGGTGCCCCAGCCATCCCCCCTCCCCACTAACCATTTCCATACATGTTGTCCCAACTTCCGAATGCCATCATTTCCGAATCTATCTGAGGATCCTCTCTGGTTGCTGGTGCCCACCGTGCCCACGTGTCAAATAATGAGAGAGCTGAGGCATTAAGGCACCCCAGGAGTGGTCCTCCCACAGTGAATGATGGGAATCTGTGGATAAATACCCCAGCTCCCTTGCCCCTCAGGCAAGGTCCTACTGAGAGGGATGGTGTGCAGGTGCCCTCAGTGGCAAAACACTTGCTGGATAAGTCACTCTTGCCATCTTCTTCCCCACTCCTGGCTCACATCGCCCTCCCCAAGTGGTTTTTCCTGGAGTCACTTCTCAAATAAACTACTTATGTCTGAATCTCTCAGGATCTATTTCTGAGGAATCCAAAGCATAATCTTATTTTTAACAAAGAACCCAAAGAGCTAGGTACTTTGATCTTCCTTTTACTGATAAGAAACAGGCTTAGAGACGTTTAATGTCTAAGGTTGCACAAGCCCTAAGCGCAGAACTTAAATTCTGACATCTGGCCACAGGGCCCCAGCCAAGCCAGCAAATGTCATGTCCAAGGCGGTGGCTTGCCAGGGAAGCCTGAGGCTGCAGAGGGTAAATCCCCTCCCCATCCACTTTACCCTCCACCTAAACACACACACGCGTGCACACACACACACCCCCCCCAACAGAGAGAGAGAGAGAGAGCCCATCCCACAGAGTGCCCGCCACCAGGTGGTGCCCTTGCTGGGAGGTGCAGGCTGGCCCTGCAGAGAATCTACCCGCAGGCCAGTGGTGTCGTCAGGTCTGGCTGAGCTACTTCGAAGAACCGAGCAGTCGGCCTTCAGAAGTGTCTTTCTGAGGAAGGCTGGAGCCCAGTAGGCAGAACTTGGATTGGGAAGTTTTTAAAAGCTCCCAGGACTTCTGAGCTGTTGGAGCAGCACACACACACGCACTTCCCCAGCTGTTAGCAGTGGGAGGACAAGCGTACTTTCTAAACCTGCCTGCAAAGTTGAGGTTCTAGAAACCCTCTCTATGGTCACTCAGGGTAGCAAATTCCATCTTCCTGGTCCAGCTCCCGTACTGTGGGACATAAGGACCCCCACCCACCCACACCCCCACAACCTCTGCCTCCTCCCCACCTTGCCTTGGTGTGAGGATTGGGCTTGGGACTTGGGACGGAAGGATCAGGGGCAACAGGACAGCTCCTTCGGTGGAGCTGCCCCAAGGTTCTGGCCCTGGGCTGACCTGTGTTATTTGCAAGTGCAGCAAGAAGGGACAGAAGCCTGCTCTCCTTTCTCTGGGGTGGTTCCAGCCCCTGCAGGAGACCACTGGGACCTAGCATCAGTCTCCCCAAAAAACACAGAATGACCGTCCGTGATTTAAAGGAGTACCACTCCTGTTTTTCTGCTGTTAAAGTTCTGACTCCAGGTCAGGCACAGTGGCTCATGCCTGTAATCCCAGCACTTTGGGCAGCCTGGGGGACAGAGTGAGACTCTGCCTCAAAAAAAAAAAAAAAAGGTTCTGACTCCAGACTGATATGTCAAGATACATGATTCTGTTTTTTGTTTGTTTACTTAAGCTGTAAAACCCAACTTTAAATTCCTAAATATATCCACAGAGCCTCTTATTTTCTTCATATTTATCTTAACATTTAAAAATGTATCACTGGCTGTCTTAGGTCGGGTTCCCAGAAGCAGACATTGAGATGAGTTTTGTGTGCAAGTGATTTATGAAGGATGTGCTCTCAGAAAAGCCAAGCTAGGGCGTCATCTCAGGCTGAGTCCCAGGGAGAATAGCTTTAGCCTGCCCCACAGGGAACCCCAAGTATAAATAGCCCTCAGAATCCCCCTGCCTCCCACCCCGTGCACCTGGACAAGGCTTACATTCCTACATTCTACCAGTCATTGGTGAAGGGCTGCCCCAGAGGAGTGTAAATTCTCAGGCAATGCCCCCTCCAGCAGCCCAAGACTGGATCTACAAAGAAGAGTTACAGGTGCCAGCTGCTGGGAGTGGTGATGAGGCCACACACTCACGCATCAGTAAAAGCAGATCCAAAGGCTGGGTACGGTGGTTCACGCCTGTAATCCCAGCACTTTGGGAGGCCGAGGTGGGAGGATCGCCTGAGGTCAGGAGTTCAAGACCAGCCTGGCCAACATGGTGAAACCCTATCTGTACTAAAAATACAAAAACAATTAGCCAGGCATGGTGGCGCACGCCTGTAGTCCGAGCTGCTCAGGAGGCTGAGGCAGGAGGATCACTTGAGCCTGGGAAGTCGGGGCTGCAGTGAGCCAAGATTGCACAACTGCACTCCAGCCTGAGAAAAAGGTATGAGACTCCATCTCAAAAAAAAAAAAAAATTAAAGAATCTTGTGAACAAGTAAGATGCACATACAATCACAGTGATACACATACACATGCACATATACATAGAAAAAAGATGGGAAAAAAATAAACCAAGATGTTTACAGTGGTTATCTATGGCTGGTGAAATTACAGAATTATTTTTATTTTCTTCTTTATAGTATTTCCCCCCAAGTTTTCTACAATGAAATCATATATATTACCATCATAATTGAAAAAAAATAAGTATGTAGTTATGGAAGTCATGAGTATCCTGTGGTCAGGGTAGAATTTGCTCAGATATGCAAAACACAACCATCAATAAGATCCCAACCAGCTCTTGAAACCCCATTTCCGCTGCATGCAAGAAAATTTTTGATCTTACTGTTATGGTATCTCAGCCTCCTCTGGTTTAAAATAATCTCTTTTTGAGTAATTACATAGTGTCTGGGTCTCTCCACCAATGCAAGGATTTTCCTTTCTCCGCTTTATTCCAAGATGGCAGCTGGATGCAGGGGAAGCTAACTTAGCTTCAGGTCTTGGCCTTGTGGCACAATCACATGCTGCCTGCAAGGTTAGAGGCTTTACCTTGCTGCCTCAGCCTCATCTGGCTCTCACTGTGACTCCTGATCCCCAAGGGCTGCATGGGAAAGCTATTTGATTGCTGGTTTGAGGAGTCCTTTCTGCAGCTCTTCGTTATAGAGTCACTTTGCCTTCTTTATGGTGATGTTCTGGTGAAATCACCAGCTAGTACCTCAGATACTTTTTGGCCCCCAACCCCTGTTGGCACACAGGAACTCCTGGGCTCCCTCCACAACTCATGCAAGTTCAAATGTTATTTTACTTTTTTTTTTTTTTTTTTTTCTTGACAGCCTCTCCCTCTGTCGCCCAGGCTGGAGTGCAGTGGTTCGATCTCGGCTCACTGCAACTTCTGCCTCCTGGGTTCAAGGGATCCTCCTGCCTCATCTTCCCAAGTAGCTGGGACTACAGGTGTGCTTTTTGTATTTTTAGTAGAGACGGGGCTTCACCATGTTGGCCAGGCCGGTCTCGAACTCCTGACCTCAAGTGATCCACCCGACTTGGCCTCCCAAAGTGCTGGGATTACAGACTTGAGCCACCGCGCCCAGGCAAGCCCATACGTTCTATGTCAGGTGAGTTGTCTCAGGCCCAGGCCACTGAAGTGCCTCCCTCAGCCATTTCTGCTCTGTGACTTGGGCACCATGTTGGATGCAGCGTTAGCCTGATCCAAAGGCTCCCTTGAGAGATTTGAAGACTCCTCAGGCTATACCCAGGGAAGTGGGAGCACCAGCCCTTATGTTCGTGGAGTCTTTAAAACTATCTGAGTGTTTCTATCGTCTCTTACACCTGGAGCTTTGATCCTGATGGGTGGGGCGGGAAAAACCAGCACACTCACAACCTGCCCCTGGCCTGCCTTTTCTTGTCCCATTTCTTAACTCCTTCTCCAAGTCTCAAAGTAGCTGTCCTTCTTCCTGTAGGGTAGAAACTTCCCTTTTGTCATATCTGCATTTTTCTTTCTTCCATGATTCACTCAATGATCACTCAATTTCTCTGAGCTTCGATTTTTTTGATATGTAAAAACCCCAGCCTTGGGGGTTTTAAGAAAACCCTTTCTCTCTCTGCAAAGTCTGGCATTTGAGACTATTGTCTTGCTATCAGATTTTAAGTCTACTTTGAAACTTAAAGCAGAAAAATGAAGCCTTTCATTAATGCTGTCACCACCTTCCTCTTCCTTAGAGAGATTTACCCCTGCTTCCTGGTCCAGGCTTAATGGCACAAAGGCTATAAGAATGAGTGATGAGGCCAGGCGCAGTGGCTCACACCTGTAATCCCAGCACTTTGGGAGGCCAAGGCAGTCGATCACCTGAAATCAGGAATTCGAGACCAGCCTGACCAACATGGTGAAACCGCATCTCTACTAAATACAAAAAATTAGCCGGGCATGCTGGCACATGCCTGTAATCCCAGCTACTCAGGTGGCTGAGGCAGGAGAATCACTTGAATTCGGGAGGTGGAGGTTGCAGTGAGAAGAGATCACGCTGCTGCACTCCAGCCTGGGCAACAGAGCAAGACTCTGTCTCAAAAAAAAAAAAAAAAAAAAAAAAAGGCCTGGCCTCGTGAAGGCAATTTGGAATGTAATTTGGCAAGAGATATCCTACCAAGCCCCTCCAGGTGGGGCAAAAACCCTTTGCAGCGATGGGTGCCCCTGGGAAATAGGACTTTACCCTATCCATTTTCAGGATGAACTCTTAGGAATGTGCTAGGGTTATTCTGTACCACACCTTGCACCTGGTAAGTGGACAGGTATGTAGCCAGTCTCCAAAATACTTGGGGTTGCAGGGCTAGAAGTAGGAGCAATAAACCCCTTCACCCCTCCTATTGGCAGATGGCACCTTGTGCCTGGCAGAGCCCTTGCTCTGTGAGGTTGGCATCACTTGTGGAGCTCTGTCCTCATGGGCATTTGGGGATCTGAGGACCTTTACCTGTGTCTGTAAGTAAGCTGGTGTTGAGGCTACAACAGCTCCATCCTGGAAGTTAATCCACCATGTTAGCTTCTGATTAACCGCTGTTCTGGGAAGTCCTCTAAGATTTCCAGTTTATTGTTCCTTGTTTAGAGCAGGTACTTACCATAAATCCTGCCCTTAGATCAAGCAACCTTGATGTTATCTACTTCAATTGACCTACATGTCCCTTCTAACCCACCCCTCCCTTGTGGTATATAAGCCCAGGGTCTTGGGGGGTGATGGTGCAGGGATCCCCCATCTGGTCTTGCTGCCACTGGAGAAGTAGACATGGCTTCTGTTCCTAAGACCCTATTAAATGTTTCTTTCTAAGAAACCAGATTTGGCTGGGCACAGGGGCTCATGCCTATAATTCCAGCACTTTGGGAGGCTGAGGCAGGTGGATCATTTGAGGTCAGCAGTTCGAGACCAGCCTGACCAACATGGTGAAACCCTGTCTCCACTAAAAATACAAAAAGTAGCCAGGCATGGTGGTGGTGCATGCCTGCATGCCTGTAGTTCCAGCTACTAGGGAGGCTGAGACAGGAGAGAATCTCTTGAACCTGGGAGGCGGAGGTTGCAGTGAGCGAGAGTGCCACTGCACTCCAGCCTGGGTGACACAGCAAGACTCTGTTTAAATATATATATATATATATATATATATATATATATATATATATATATATATATATGGCCGGGCGCGGTAGCTCACGCCTGTAATCCCAGCACTTTGGGAGGCCGAGGCGGGCAGATCATGAGGTCAGGAGATTGAGACCATCCTGGCTAACACGGAGAAACCCCGTCTCTACTAAAAATACAAAAAATTAGCCAGGTGTGGTGGTGGGCGCCTATAGTCCCAGCTACTCGGGGGGCTGTGGCAGGAGAATGGCGTGAACCCAGGAGGCGGAGCTTGCAGTGAGCCAAGATCTCGCCACTGCACTCCAGCCTGAGCGACAGAGCCAGACTCCGTCTCAAAATAAATAAATAAATAAATATAAAAAATAAAATATATATGTGTTTATACATATATGTGTATGTGTATATATGTGTGTGTGTGTATATACGTGTGTGTGTGTGTATATATATATATATATATGAAACCAGATTTGTCAGCCTCTTTCTTTGGCTTCTCAGCTTCCTCAAACTTTGTGGCAGGTTTGCATAGACCTGCCCACTGTGAAACAGCTGGACTGCCTCCTGCTTTCTGTAACCATTTCCACACATTTCCACAGCCTTCATCATTAAAGTGACTCTGCTGATCTACTTCCCCTGCTGATATCTGCTACATCTTTCCACTGGCATGTCATGTCACATCCTGCAGTGATATCCACATTACAATCACTTCTTGCTTGCAACAAGCTCTCTCAGCTGCTCCTGGAAAGGTTGTGTTTCTATAAACATTCAAATAGGTCATCAAGCTCTGGAACTGTAACCATGAGGAAAATATTGAAAACTATCTCTGCAATCAGATAGCTTATACCACTTACCTGACAAATGACTGAATATTTGTTAGCTCTGTAAGGGTTCCCAGAAATACTATATCATCCTCATAAAATATAAGCCAGCACCTGAGGTGATATGTCCTGGCTCTGATGTGTATTTCCTGCTACCATATTACTGTGCCGTATCTAGTTCACCTATTCATTGAGTTAACACCTGCGCATGGACCATCAGTTAAGTGCTCAGTCCTAATCTTTGTGGAATAGGTGCCCAAGTTGAGATCGAGCCTTCTTTTTGACAACCTTGATGATCAGAAGGGGAGTGGGTGAAGAGGTGGGTACTGTTCTTCTAAAACTTAAACACAAGCTGGGCACAGTGGCTCATGCCTGTAATCCCGCACTTTGGAAGGCCAAGGCAGGAGGATCACTTGAACCCAGGAGTTGAAGACCAGCCTGGGTAACATGATGAGACCCCATCTCTACAAGAAATAAAAAATTATCTGGGCACGGTAGTGCATACCTGTAGTCCCAGCTACTTGGGAGGCTGAGGTGGGAGGATTGCTTAAGCCTGGGAGGTGAAGGTTGCAGTGAGCTATGATTGCACCACTGCACTCCAGCCGGGGCAACAGAGAATGACCCTGTCTCAAATAAATAAATAAATACATACATACATAAATGTAAACACATTTTTCTGCCTTCTTAGAGCCAGGAGTTTGAATGTGCCTTTGAAGGAAGTCGGTTTCTTTTGGGAAAAACCTCTAATGGGACTATTAGTCAGGACTCTGTTGATTGTTGAGGGCATAAACCCATTTCAAACCAGCATGGGCCAAAAGGGGAATTTCCTGGATTAAGTAACCAAATCCCAGGAAGCGGGGGACTGCAGCTGGGCTCAGAGAGAGACAAGAGCCAAGACTTACCCGGGACTTTCTCACTCTCCCTCTGTTTCTTGTCTCTGCTGCTCTCAGCTCCTTGGCTTCTTCTATAAGTCTCAGGAAGATGCCTTCAGGAGAAGAAAGGGCCCCATTAGGGAGTGTGCGATCCAAATCAGCTGAAGGGCAAAGTTATGTAAAGGTTTTTTTGTAAATTTTTTATTTAAGGATTAGAAAAGTGCACAAATCAAAAACTCCCAATTTGATGAATTTTCATAGTAGATTAAAGACACTTGTCTAGCCAGCACCCAGATCAAGAATCAGAACTTACCAGCACCCACAGCCCCGCTAATTTCCCTTGCAGTCACTACCCCAGGTCAGTTGTGGACTTTTCTATAGGTATGATGTATGTCAATGAAAGTGTCAAGCAGCATAGAGTAGTTTTGCGTTTTGCCTGTTTTTGAACTTTATGCAATGAATCCAGGCAGTTTGTACTCTTTTCTGGCTGGCTCCTGTGGCTCACTACTATGTTTGTGAGATGCATCCACGCTGTTGCGTGCCATCATGGTTCATGCATTCCCATCACCACGTGGCATCTCATGGTGTAGAGGTGCCACTCTACTGATGACAGACATGTAGGCAGTTTCCAGGTTTTGGTAATTACAAGTAGGGTTACTATGCACATTCTTGTATATTATTATTATTATTATTGAGACAGGGTCTCACTCTATCACCAAGGCTGGAGTGCAGAGGCACCATCATGGCTCACCACTGCCTTGACCTCCCAGGCTCGCATGATCCTCATACCTCAGCTTCCCAAGTAGCTGGGACTACAGGCACATGCCACCATGCCTGGCTAAATTTTGTGTTTTTTATAGAGATGGGTTTTCACTATGTTGCCTAGGCTGGTCTCAAACTCCTAGGCTCAAGCAATCCTCCAACCTCCGCCGCCTGAGTAGCTGGGACTACAGATATGTGCCACCACACCTGGTTAACCTAAAAAAATTTTTGTAGAGATGGGGTCTCCCTGTGTTGCCCAGGCTGGTCTTGAATTTCTGGCCTCAAATGATCCTCCTGCCTCAGCCTCCCAAAGTATTGAGACTACAGGCGGGAGCCACAGTGCCCACCCTTCTTGCACATTATCTTTGGTAAGCACACACATTCATTTGTGTTTACTACATACCCAGGAGTGTGTGTCTATGTCATAGAGTCTCTATGTGTTCTGATTGAGTAGATAGGGAGTTACTGTTGTTCCATGTCCTCTCCAACACTTAGGATGGCCAGCCTTTTAATTTTAGCATTCCAGTAGGTGTGTAGTGGTAATCCATTGTGGTTTTAGATTGAACTGCGTTTCATATCCCTATTAGCCACTTAAATACAGTCATGCACCACATAATGATGTTTTGGTCAATGACAGACTGCACATACAACAATTATATTATATTATATGTTTACAATACCATATTTTTACTATACCTTTTCTATGTTTAGGTGTGTTTTGACACACAAATATTTACTGTGTTACAGCTGTCTACAGTATTCAGTACAGTAACATGCTGAGCATGTTTGTAGCTTCAGAGCAATAAGACTACACCATATAGCCTAGGTGTATAGTAAGCTATACCATCTAGGTTTGTATAAGTACACTGTATGATATTTATACAATGACAGAATCATCCAACCCATTTCTCAGATCATACCCCTGTCATTAAGTGGTGCGTGACTGCATTCTCTGTTGTGAACTGCCAGTTCAGGTCATTTGCCCATTTCCGTACTGAGCTGTTGACATTGCCTATTGGCATGGAGGGGTTCTTTATGTCCTGTGAATCCTCTGTGAGATGTACTTATCAACAAATGCCCTCTCAAGTCTGTGACATCGTTTTCATAGTCTTACCTTCTGATGGTTGGAAGTTCTTAAATTTAGTGTAGCCCAATTTATCAAAATTTCCCCTGATGTTTAATGCCTTTTGAGTTATATTTAAGAAATAGTTGCCTATTGCAGAGACTGAATTTTAAAGATGATTTTAGGTAGAAAGAAATGAAGTTTTAAAGCAAGAATCACTTAGAGAAAAAATTGTAAGCAAAATGTTTATGTACATCCAAGTTGTAATGTGAACATTTCAGCCCTAAAACATATATTTTAGACTTACTTGGACCCTGAAAATAAAGTTTACTGCCTCGGTTGTTTTTCTTTTTTAATTCATCATGGAATATCAGGGTTGCAAAGTCTGAAAAGTCTTTCCTTTCGTTGGTCTGACTCAGGTCAACAAATACTCACTGAGCACCTCTCTGTGCCATGCTCTCCTGGGAATTAGGAATGAGAAATGATGGTGTTGCTCAGGGCCTGGTAGGGAGGATAGTGCGCCCAAGTCATCTTGATCCCAAGCCATCTTGATGATGCTGCAATGGAAGCATGTCCCTGGCATCTGCAGCCTCAAAGGATAAGAGTGCATCTGCTTGAGAGAGAAGGCCTGCAGAAGAAGAGAGATACTTAGGAATTGGGTCTTAAGCAGCTGTATGAGAGCTCTCAGGTGGATACAGATGGAGGGTATGGGTTTTGTTTGTTTGTTTGTTTGTTTATTTGAGACGGAGTTTCGCTCTTTTCACCCAGGCTAGAGTGCAATGGCGTTATCTTGGCTCACTGCAACCTCTGCCTCCAAGATTCAAGTGATTCTCCTGCCTCAGCCTCCTGAGCGGCTGGGATTACAGGCACCTGCCACCACGCCCAGCTAATTTTTGTATTATTAGTAGAGACGAGGTTTCACCATGTTGGCCAGGCTAGTCTTGAACTCCAGACCTCAGGTGATCCACCCGCCTTGGCCTTCCAAAGTGCTGGGATTACAGGCGTGAGCCACTGCGCCTGGCCTGAGGGGTTTTATTCCAGGGAGAAGGAATAGGTGATCTGTGGTTTGTGCTTATAAGGGATTGGGCTTGAATGGGGACATTTGCAGCCTGCCTTCAAGGCTTCTACGTGCCTCATGGACTCAAACTCCAAAATAAAACTTCCAAACATCCCCTTTCTAGACCTGTGGTGGCAACAGGTGACCCATTGGGAAATCTAGGATCCTGGACCCAAGGACCAGAGCCAGGATGTGAGGTGGGCTGTATTGCCCTACTTGGTAGCATCTCATTGCCTACATCTGATCTTTGAAGGAGTTGGTGGCTTTCAACTTGCCAGAAAAAGGACCTCTTACAGAAAAATTGGTTTGGAAGGCCTATACATGAAGAGGAAGCTGTGGAAAAGGGGTGTTCCTTTGCTGAACCTCCTAGAGTAATAATTACTGTGTAGTATGACCAACACTTTATTATGACCAACCTTTATTATAACCATGTTTTATTTTAAATGCCTGGCTTCTAGTGACAATGTACACCTGGAAAAATAAACAAGTTTGAGGCTGGTTACAAAAGGAAAAAAAGATGCTCACTAATGGTGCTGAATAATTAAGAGAGAACAGAAAAAGAACACACTTGATTAAGCATCAATGGGGTCTGAGGCTATTCTAAACATTTTACTCACTGTATCCCATTTTATTATTGTGACACAAAGGTAGGGTGTAATAATCCCCATTTTACAGTTTCCATGAGCAAACAGAGCTCCAGAAAGGTTAAGTCACCAGGCTGGACAGTAACAGAGCCAGAATTCTCACCTGGGTCTGAGTCTGACCTCCTCTAGCTAGAATTATTGCAAACAAACCAATGTGCCTGACAAATATGGGGCACAGTTATATCACTGCCACATAATTAAAAAGGATAATTGCCCCAGGGAGAAGAGCGGCACATGGTGACGAAGTCCCCTGAAGGGTGGCAAATATCTTGTGAGTTCAGGGGAACTAGATGATGACACCAGCAGGTCCCAGCTGGCAAGTGCCTCCTTGCTTCCCTATGAGTTTGCTCTTCCCAACAGTCACACAGGAGTGTCCCTGTCTTTCTACTGTCCTGCCTCCAAGTGTTCTCATCTTAGCCTGTCCTTTTAGATCATTCTCCAGACTTCTAAATAGGTTCTCTTTTCTGTTGATTAAAATAATAATAATAATAAGGCTTTGATTCTAAGCCTGTTACATACAATGATTCTTAACTGGATGGTGATTGGTGATGACTCACTTACCAGCGATGTGGGAGTGTCCTTACATTCCTGCGGGCTTGGAAAGTATTCCCTGAGAGCCTTTCCTTGTGTTGAAGTCCATTCATCTTCCTTGCGTTCCCCAACCTTACACAACATCTGTCCTCCTGTCTGCTTACCTGCAGTGTAATCAAGGATCTCACAGGCATGTTTGATGCTCAGAGAACTCAGGGATGTTTCAATCAGCGACTGTCCCAGAGCTGCCCTGCATCTTAGTCATCGTGTTCCGATGGGTTTCTGCACTTCCTTCATTCATAAGAACTGTTAGTTCAGTGCCTTTTTAGGAAAGGATCACCCAGCAGGAGAGCTGGAGAGTTTTTGGTCTGCATAATAAGTGGGAATCACAAGGAGATGACAAATACAGTTGAGGGGTTGGGCTGTGGGAAGAGTGGAGATTAAAACAGGTAGAAAAGGTGGCTGAATGCTGGGCAGGAAAAAACCCAGTCACAGAGGAAGGCTATCTTGAAAGGAGCTAGCCTTGGAGGAAGGCTTGCGAGGATGATTTCACTCTGCATGGAAAAGATGGTTGCAGTTGTATTTTTTAAAGATGGATGCAATATCTCCCACCTCTCCCCAACCCCATGCTTTTCTATTACCTTATCATTTCTCCATCAAGAGGTGGAGTTCAATTCCCCTCCCCTTGATGTGGGGTGGGCTTTTGTGACTGGTTTGTTTGTTTGTGTGTTTGTTTTTTAAGACAGGGTCTCACTCTGTCACTCAGGCTGGAGTGCAGTGGCACAATCACGGCTTCACTGCAGCCTTGACCTCCCCAAATTCAAGCAATCCTCCCACCTCAGCCTCCTGTATAGCTAGGACTACAGGCACACACCGCCACGCACAGCTAATTTTTGTATATTTTGTAGAGACAGAGTTTTGCCATGTTGCCCAGGCCGGTCTTGAACTCCTGAGCTCAAGCAATCTGCCCACCTCAGTCTCCCAAAGTGCTGGGACTACAGGCGTCAGCCACCACACCCATCCTCTTTGTGATTGTTTCAATTAACAGCATGCCATTGAAGTGATGCTGTGTGACTTCAGAGGCTCAGCTGTAAAAGGGACCCATATTCCACCTTATTCCCTGTGATCCTCACTCCTGAAGTTTTGAGCCCTGTGTAAGCATTTTAACTGTCCTGAGGCCATCAGTCTGTGAGGAGGCCTAAACCAGTCCACATGGAGAGGCCACAGAGG
This sequence comes from Homo sapiens, assembly GCF_000001405.40. Classification (NCBI taxonomy): domain Eukaryota; kingdom Metazoa; phylum Chordata; class Mammalia; order Primates; family Hominidae; genus Homo; species Homo sapiens. The sequence continues at coordinate 45,198,997 of NC_000003.12, read as the reverse complement.
CCCTGAAGCCATATAAAGAAGCAGAGGTGCCCAGCCGGCCACCTGCTGCTTCAACCCTGGCTCTCCAAGCTCCAGCCACTGTCCAAGAGTAACCACACAAATGACTGGAACCAGAACCACCCCAACAAGCCTTTCCCAAACTCCTTATCTACAGAAATCCTGAGAGATTACGAAACTGTAAGGCACTAAATTGTGAGGTGATTTGTTCTGCGGCACTAGCTAGCTAAACAGAAGTTCTGGCCAAGTCTATATTAGGCAAGATAACAAAGTGGAGTCATTGTAAATCATTTGAAGAAAGAAACATTTTGCTTGTCTTTTCTGGATTTTCTATGCCAAAGCATTTTGGATTAAATCAATAGCACTTTCACCAGCCTATGGCCTCAAAATGATGCCCTCCTTCCTTATAACCACATGGTAAAGACCCAAGCCCCATCATCTTGACCACTGGCTATCAGCAACCCTGTGGTTCAACCTGCTACTTCTAGGAGTCACATGGGGTGTCCTCTCAGGCCTGCTGATCCACTGCAGTTTCTGTCCCACCTGTGCATCACTTCCTGCCCCAGCCACCCCTCCTCCTGGCCAGGACATTGCCCACAAGGTCATTTGGTGGAGCTTTCTCACTACCATGCCATCTGGTTCTGGCGCTGAGGCAAGGTGACCAGTCCTGCCCACAACCAGTGCCCCATGGTGCTCCCAGGACCCTAAAGCAGATGTGCTTGGGCCCAGGGTCTCCAAAAATCTCATCTGAGCAGCTTCATTCTCTAACCCTTTTCCTTTCTCTATTATGGTTCAAAGAAGAGATGCCATAGCATCCCTCTGGTGGTCCTTCTGTCTCCTCCAGCCCATCCTCCAATTAAAACTGATCCCTCTTCCCCTCACTGTAGATCAAAAGATCCCATGCAGGCCGGGAGCGGTGGCTCACGCCTGTAATCCCAGCACTTTGGGAAGTCGGGGAGGGAGGATCACTTGAGGTCAGGAGTTAAAGACCAGTCTGGCCAACATGCTGAAACCCTGTCTCTACTAAAAATACAAAAATTAGCTGAGTGTGGTGGCACATGCCTGTAGTGCCAGCTACTCAGGAGGCTGAGGCAGGAGAATTACTTGAACCCAGGAGGCAGAGGTTGCAGTGAGCTGAGATCAGGCCACTGCACTCCAGCCTGGGCAAAAAGACTGAAACTGCATCTCAAAAAATATTTTTAAAAAGATCCCATGCATACAAAGAGAAGCTGGGTTGGGATGGGGGGGATTTTTATACATCAGGGCCCTTGTGCAACCCACCAAAAATACTTCCTAACTGGAATCATCTCAACCAACAGCCTCATCTCCACAGAGTACATTTGACTTCTGAGGAGTCAAAAATTTTTTAAAGGACTATTTAAATTGTATTTCAGAGAAATGGGGGTGAGAGAATTAAGATATAAAACCTGCTGGCAATAAAACTCTTCCACTTATGGGAATCTTTCCTGGTGGATTTTGTGGGAGCATTATTGCATGTTTCATTACAGACTTGAGCAGACACTGGTGCCATTATGGAAACACATCACAACACGGGGTTCTCTGCAAACCAGTTTGCTTTAAAAATGCATTTAAATTATGCTCTGCAGGCTTTATGCCATAGACCTGAAATCAGCTAAGAGCTGGTTATCCCAGAGTCCTGGTCTACATGATTAGTGGGATCCATTAATAGATGGGTATATCTATCAGGTCACTGGGAATCTGAAAGGACAGCTACTGTGGTATGGAACATTTTTGTAGCCATGCAGAACAGAATCTGAGCTGAAATCTGCAGCTGTGTACCTACTTGGAGTTTCTAGACAGGACACTAAAGATGAGGAAATTATTTGTTGAGACCTCATGAAAATTAAAGACATGGGAAAGAAATGAAAAGAAAAGCTATGGCTTTAAAGAGTCTGCAAAAAGGAAAGAGACGTTCAGTGTTAGTGAAAGTCAGTGCAGAAGAAGATGGAATGGAAATTTTGAAGCAGAAGCCACTATTATCACAGACTGCAAATGACATCTCACCAGAGAATCGCCCAAGGTGAGAAGCACCATATTCAAAAGAGCTTCTACTTAACATGGCCACCGTGAAAATACTTTCCCCAACTCCTACCCACCCTGAGGCTTTTCAGAAAATCACCAAAATGTCCTTGACTAACAGCAGTACCTCACTCTTGCCATAGAGATGTCTGACCCACCATCTCTTTCCTCTCCTGCCAGGCAATGGGTGCCCTCCTTCAGCCCATTCCTCCTTTCTTCTGTCTCCACTACTCATGGATCAATTAGCTCCCAGACATATGGCTGCTACCCAACCGCTTGTCCAACAAGATCCCAGCTTTGTTCTGTACCTACCTTCCTCCATGGCAGTTACATGATTTGTAGGGGATGAGCCCAACTTCATCTCCCAAAGAGTGGGTGCTAATTAGTGTAAGCCAATGTTGGTGGCACCATTACCCTCACCTGTGATTGGGTTAGGCAGGAACATATCATACAATTTTGGCCAATGAAATATGAGTGAATGTTTATGGGGAGTTTTGGGAACCATTTTTGTTTTGGTTTGGCTTTTTAATAGAGATGGGGTCTCATCATGTTGCTCAGACTGGCCTCAAACTCCTAGTCTCAAACAATCCATCTTGGCCTCCCAAAGTGCTGGGATTATAGGCATGAGCCACTGGGCCAAGCCTGGGAATCATTTTTTACTGGTAAAAGAGACATACCTCCCCCTTTTATCACTAGACATGGTTGGGTCTGCTGATGATGCTAGAACTGTGGTGGCCATCCTGGGACTAAGGAGAGCCAACCTAATGATAAAAGAGCAAAAACAAGGAAAGAACCCAGGTATTTGGTCCTGTCGTTGAGCTGCCAAACTATCAATGTTGGAGACACCCCGGCTTGGGTATTTATATTGGTTGGTCCACTGTCAGTTGGTATTTCTGTTGCTTGTATCTGAAAATATCCTAACTGATATAACCATTTAGCTTACTCCTTCCTCCATTCTTCCAGCTCTTGCCCAGTTGGAGAAAGCAGCTTAGGGATTCTCTGTCTCTATATTTTTCCTTTCTCTTTTTATTCCTTTTGTGAACCCAAAGGTAACTATCATAATTGCTGATAGGTTTAAGAGACAGCTCAACCTTGCAACTGTATCATAGAAAGAGAAACCCTGAAGTTTTAAAGTTAAATGACACAACATGTTCCAAAGGAATTGTTCTACTTCTCAGGGGTCACAGATCCCTTTGAAAATCTGATAAGAAGGCCGGGTGTGATGGCTCACACCTGTGATCCCAGCACTTTGGGAGGCCAAAACGGGTGGATCTCTTGAGATCAGGAGTTCGAGACCAACCTGGCCAACATGGTGAAACACAGTCTCTACCAAAAATACAAAAATTAGCCAGGCATACTGGTGGGCGCCTGTAGTCCCAGCTACTCAGGAGGCTGAGGCAGGAGAATCATTCAAACCCGGGAGGTAGAGGTTGCAGTGAGCTGAGATCGCACCACTGCACTTTAGCCTGGGTGACAGCGTGAGACTCAGAAGGAAAGAAAGAAAAAAAAGAAGGAAGGAAGGAAGGAAAAGAAAGAGAAGGAAAGGGAGGAAGGGAGGAAGGGAAGAAGGGAAGAAAGGAAGGAAGGAAGGGAAAATCTGGTAAGAGCCAAGAGGTAGCTCATTAGAAAAGTGCACATGCACACCCGAATGTGCCCATATGCTAAAGTTTCCAGAGGGACTTTGGAATCACTAGTGGGAATCTCCACAGCCTAAGGTGTGTTCATGGTGCTGTGTTTTTTATTCAAGAAATGGGATGGAGAAAATTTTCTTCACCAAAAATCAGGAGAAGGCTTTAGAAGAGAGCAGTGGGGCAGGGTGGGTGGGGCATGCTGTTCTCATGGAAGAAGTCATAAAGAGGCTGGACTGTGTTCCACAAATGTTTATGGAATGAAAAGGGGAAGAGAGGAACTCTGGAAAATAACCAAGTGGAAAAACGAAGAAGGGCTGCGGGCACCCGGATGGTAGATGCCCATGGCAGGTGGTGAGCTTTCTGCATAGCTCCTCCAAGTGTCACGGAATTCACCAAACTCACGAAATGTTGAGAAAGGTTAGGTTTCCTATGGAAAACAGTGGTGGGGGCTAAAATTTACATTTGGGTTTGCTGTGAGGCAACACACACAGACATACAGGGTGAAGGCAGAGAAAAACCCAAACAAAAAAGTCTTTTGAGACAGGATCTCACTCTGTTGCCCGGGCTGGAGTGCAGTGGCATGATCATGGCTCACTGCAGCCTTGACCTCCCAGGCTCAAGTAATCCTCCCACCCCGGCCTCCTGAGTAGCTGCAACTACAGGTGCACACCACTACACTTGACTAATTTAATTTTTTTTAATCTTAAAATTTTTTAGTAGAGATGAGGTCTCACTATATTGCCCCAGGCTGGTCTCAAACTCCTGGGCTCAAGCGATCCTGCTGCCTTGGCCTCCCAAAGTAGTAGGACTACAGGCGTGAGCCACCACACCCAGCCCAAAAAAGTTTTTAAAAAGAATTAGGAATTAGAACATGCAGAAACTGTGAGGCAAACTCTGAGTTTACTTAACCCACTACACACTGTGTTTAAGTCAAATTTCCTAAATCTCCATGGGGCAGGAAGACCCCCAAATGACATTCAGATCACACATACACAGCCCTGAGTTAAGCAGCATGCCCAGAATGACACAGTTCCTAAGTGACGAGCTGGGATCCCAAGCCTATTCTGACTCAGATCCATCAAAGGAAAGAAAAATGTTTTAAAGGTTATTTTTCTTAATCACTGGTACTGCCATAATATTGACTTCTATTTTTATTATTATTATTTTGTGTTTCTTTGAGATGGAGTATCACTCTTGTCGCCCAGGCTGGAGTGCAATGGTGCAATCTCGGCTCATCGCAACCTCCACCTCCCAGGTTCAAGCGATTCTCCTGCCTCAGCCTCCTGAGTAGCTGGGACTGTAGACAAGCACCACCACACCCAGCTAATGTTTGTATTTTTAGTAGAGACGGGGTTTCACCACATTGGCCAGGCTGGTCTCAAACTCCTGACCTCAGATGATCCACCTGCCTCATCCTCCCAAAGTGCTGGGATTACAGGTGTGAGCCATTGCAGCCAGCCCCTATTTTTATTATTAAATATAATTTTGCAATAATTCAGCTACATTCATTATTCTTTCACCCATATTAATCAAGAGTCTATTATATGTATAAGGTATTCAAGGTTGGGTTTTGGTTTTCCGATTCTGACATTCCTCTCTTCTACCCCTGGGATTTCTCATCAAAGGGACTGTACTCATAAGGAATGAGAACTAAATGGGAAATAAGGTAGTGCTGCATAAACACAGAGGAAGACCCTGTAACTAGCATGACCATATGCCCTGGTGTCATTGGAACATGCCCAGTTTGTGCCTATTTTCTCAGTGTCCATGTTAATAACTGGACCCCTCTTCACTCTCAAGATGCCTGGTTGGATCATGAGTTATATGGTGTCCCTACTGAGAATCCCAGTGCAGAGTTCTGGTACGAGCTGATGTGGAGCAAGCAGTTCAGATTAGGAAGCCTAAAAGAACCCTTGATTTTCACACACCAACCCGACTCCCCATGAATCTCAGGTACCCGAATCTGAAGCTTCCAACCTTAGGTGGAGAAAGTAGACTAGAAAGAGGCAGGTCTTGCCAGGTTGTGTGCACTACACGGAACAGAAAGTGAAGGAGCAAAGGATGCCTGGGCCTGCCCGGAGAAGACAGGCTTTGCTTATTTATACTTACCACACATGGATGGGAAGGGCAAGGGGAAACTCTCTAGTGTGCCCTCACCTCTGACACTCAGTGACCCAACCCACTGGTAAACTGCCGCCCAATCCATGTCTCGGGATCTGACCACTCATGTTACCAATTCTTCCTCCCCTGGGAGGAGCTAGGTGTCAGGGCAGCCTAAGAAGCCTCCCTTTCCCTGTAACAGGCTCTAACAGTGTATAAAATATACTATCACAATATATAATATATCAGGATACAACAGTAACCTGCTAGGGTGCCTTCAAAATGGAATAAGACAGGTTCATGTGTACTAGGAGCATCTATGGTGTGGCCACAAAGTCTGGAGATGTAGATCATATTTTATTTTTCTATAGATTGAAAAGCTCTTGACGATGTTATGTATGTTGACGTACGTCAGTTTACTTTGCAGACACTGTGTAGTTTATCAGAGGAGCAAAGGTATGCACACAAATGCCCACAATGCAAAGTAGAAAGCAGTGAGAAGCATAAAGGAGACACAGATTGTGCTACAGGGACTTGGAAGAGGAGAGTCCTGACTTGGCCAATCTGGGAAGTCTTCATGGAGGAAGGAAGGGCCAAGCGAGAGTTTAAAGTGAAGGTGGGGCTTCAATGTGTGGAAGTGGAAAAAAAGGGTATTTGCTTCAGAAAGACTTCTTTTGGTAGCAAAGAGAAAAAGAAAACTAACTCAGACTATTTCATAGAAAATAGGTTTCCTATAGGAAATACATGGACTAGAGTGAAAATGAGAGATTTGGCAACTGAAACAATTCCAGGAGCCTGACCTTCCCTTAACAAATTTTTTCCTCCCTTTGCAGGTTTTCTCTACTTTCCTCTCTGCTCCCACTCTGCCATACAGTACGTGTTTGTTTTTTGCTTTGGGCAAACACAGACTATGGACTATGTGCCAGGTACTATTCTAAGGGCTTTAAGCAATTTTAACTCATGTAACCCTCCTAACAACCCTGTGCAGTGGGTATTATTATCATCCCCTATTTTACAAATGAGAAGTGGGTGCAGAAAGGATAAATGACTTAGCCAAGGACATATGGCTTGTTGTGGTGGGGCCAGGATGCAAAACGAGGCAGCTCAGTTCCAGGGCTCTGGTCACACTCAGTGGCTCTGCCACCTCCTGCTTGGTCTCATGACAGCTGAGGCAGCCTGGTCAATAGCCCAGGATGTGGTCTGATGGTAAAACCTCTTCCCAGCAGTAACAGTGATTAGTTGTGCTAATCCGATTTCCTAGCTCTCAAGTGTGGACAAAAAAGGCCAGTGGATGGAGGGAAGAGAGGAGGGCAAGCCCACAGCAAGTCCCCAGCTCTAGAGTGGAGAGTCCTCGCTCCTTCCATCGTGGTCCCACAGGTATTCTACACTGATCTGGCCTTGGTAGACCTAGTTCTGTGGTTTCCTAGGCCTGGATCTTAGGCTTCCCTGCCCTCCTGAGCATGAGGATCTTTGCAATAACTGTGCTCACTCTTAGTTGAGGTAGTTTGAGGGAGTTTATGTTTCTTGGAATCTAGAAAGCCCCACCTCTACTCTCTACTCTGTAGAGCTCAGAAGGACTACTAGTGCTGGCTTGGTTTTTAACTCACTGGGTGAACTGGACAAATCACTTCCGTTTTTTCTCTGCCTGGTTTGCTCTAGCTACACAAATGCAAAGACCCTCGTGTGTGGTTAACTGGAATAAGATATAGGTGGAAGGGGATGCACTGGATCTTACAATGGCTCTGGCATGTAAAAAAATATGGGAGGCAGGCCGGGCGCAGTGGCTCATACCTGTAATCCCAGCACTTTGGGAGGCTGAGGCAGGGGATCACGAGGTCAGGAGATTGAGACCATCCTGGCTAATACGGTGAAACCCCGTCTCTACTAAAAATACAAAAAATTAGCCGGACATGGTGGCGGGCGCCTGTAGTCCCAGCTACTCGGGACGCTGAGGCAGGAGAATGGTGTGAACCCGGGAGGCGGAGCTTGCAGTGAGCCAAGATCACACCACTGCACTCCAGCCTGGGCGACAGAGCGAGACTCTGTCTCAAAAAAAAAAGGGAAGCCAAGCACAGGGGTTCATGCCTGTAATTCTAACACTTTGGGAAGCTGAGACCATAGGATCACTTGAGGCCAGGAGTTCAAGACCACCCTGGGTAACAAAGTGAGACCCCAATTTGTAAATTTTAAAAAAATTAGCCAGGTATAGTAATGTATGCCTGTAGTCCCAGCTATTCAGGAGGCTGAGGTGGGAGGATGGCTTAAGCCCAGGAGTTCAAGGCTGCAATGAGCTACAATCACATCACTGCACTCCATCCTGGATGACAAAGGGAGACTGCATCTCTTAAACAAAAAAAATCAAGGGAGAAAGTATTATTATAAAGACTGTGAAATTGGGTAGCTCTTGCTAACCACCATTCATGCTTTAAAGAGAGAAAATAACAGGCCAATGACAAGTCATCATCAGTTCAAACTGTGAAAGTCAGAGGGCTTCCTTGGCAGTGGTTAAAGGCATAGTGGCTCCTCTCTTATAGCCAAAAGGCAGACCGTGCTGAAGGGCAGCTTTAGGACCCAACTGTAAAAATAGCAGAACTTCAGAGCGTTGATTTCTCAGCCCCATCAAAACCAGAGACGCGAATCAGACCTACCCAAGTGCCATCACCCCATAGTGGGAAAGCTGTCCACTTCTCCCATGAGGGAGACTGACCATGAGACATCAAATGACCTTGTTGCCAGAACTGCCCATCATGAGCTGGGTAATGTCAGACCCACCAGTTGATAAGGTTGGCAGGCCCAGCAGCAATTCTTCAAAGATGGAAGCCGTGGAGGCAGGATCAGGTGTACAAAGGGCAGAGCGCACGAGTGGGCCATGTGATGAGGTGGCGGCCCCACATGGCACCATCACTGTTGCACCGACATCTCTCCCTCCGCCCACCCCTTTGGCCCCACAAGAAGTTCCTATGACCTGCTGACACAGGATGGGAAAAGTCAGAGCTTGGTTCATGCGTGAGTTGGCTTGATATGTGGGTACCAGTTGAAACGGATTGCTGCTGTACCACAGCCCCACATGGGTGACCCTGAAAGGCAGCTTGCAAGGAAATCTTCCTGATGGGCCGGGCTTTGGATGAAGTGCACTGGCCCTCCGCTTTGTGTGGAAAGAGAGGCCTGAAATAAGAATATACACAGATGCACGAGCAGTGAGGAATGGCTGAGCTGGTTGATGAGGGGCCTAAACTAACAAGATTGGGAGATCAGGGACAAGAAGATCTGGAGAAAAGGCAGATGGTGGATCTAGGAGAGTACGCACAAATTGTGAGGATCTCTGTGTTGCATGTTAATGCCCATCAGAGAATATCTGCTGCAGAATAAGCACTAAAGGATGGGCACTGTGGCTCACCCCCATAATCCAAGCACTTTGGGAGGCCGAGGTGGGTGGATCATCTGAGGTCAGGAGTTCGAGACCAGGCTGGCCAACATGGTGAAACCCCATCTCTACTAAAAATACAAAAATTAATCGGGTGTGGTGGCAGGTGCCTATATTCCCAGCTACTCGGAAGGCTGAGGCAGGAGAATCACTTGAACCCGGGAGGCAGAGGTTGCAGTGAGCCTCGATGACATCACTGCACTCCAGCCTGGGCAACAGAGTGAGACTCCGTCTCAGAAAAAAAAAAAAAAAAATAGGCACTAAATAACTAAGTGAACAGGATGACTCCACCACTAGACATCAGTCTTTGTCCTCAAACACTCAGTGTTTGCACAGTGGGCTCATAAATGGAGTAGCCAGGGTGGCAGAGATGGAGTCTATTCAGAGGCCTATAGCATGGCTCACCTCTCACTGAGACTCCTCTAGCTCTTGTTGCTGCTGAGTATCCTACCTGCCAGCAATGGAGATTAACTCTGAGGCTCCAACATGGTATTATCCCTTGAGGAGACCAAACGACTGCTTGGCGGGAAGTTAATTACCCAGGAAGGACAGCGATTAATCTTGTACAGGATTGATACATATTCCAAGGATGTGTCTTCCTTGCCTGCCTGAAAGGTCTCAGCAAGCACAGCAGCCACAAACAGCCCTTGAAAATATCTATTGCAGGAAGCCCAGAAAGGAAGCACCAAGGTGATTTAAGGGACTGTTCTTGGGGTTGTGGGGGAAAGGAAATAAAAGGAAGCTAAGATCTGAGATCCCAGAAGATCTTAATACTGACTCAAGACTCTTTTGAAAGATGTAAACTCCAATAGAGCATATGGATGATTTGTTTGATCCTTTCTGGGGCTTAAGCCAAGACCCTATCAAGCAATTAAGTGGGAGACTGTGCTTATGAACAGCTCTTTTGAAGTAAGGCAGATGTTCTCCTTGCTTCTCAGAATAGTTTAGGCCAAAGCATTTCGTGGGCATAAATTAGCCTAATATCAGTGTCAATGCTCTATTTCAGCTTACTCGTGAAGACCTGGTCTTTGTGCTGTAAGCAATTAAGAAAGACAGAATTCTTAAGTGTATTCCAAGGAAATGTAAAAACAAAGTGTTCAATGCACACTTATGTATATATATTATGATGTTCATAACAAAAGTGTAAAAACATATATGGGAAAGATTGAAACTTACTTTGAGGTAGTGGTTTTCTGGGCAGGCAGGAAGAGAAATGTGTCTATGTGTGTTACTTCTTATTTCTGAAATAAAATGACAGTATCTGAGCAACTGCAGCAATAAGTTAACTTCTGTTAAATCCGAGTAAGTGGTACCTAATTTTCTCTATGTTCAAAATATTTTATAATTTAAATTAAGAAAAAAAAAACCTAAACTTGTAGATGGAAATCATTAGATTAAAGGAGTCTTTCCCAGGGGTGGGTATAGTAAGCCCCTTACAGAGGATGACTTGATGACTTTCTATAGATAATAGATGTTGGGGGGTTGCCCACAGCACCCAGAGTCGTCTTTGCTTCACACAAATCTGACCATATTTGTTCCCTGCTTAAAAGCTTTCCATGGCTCCCCATGTTCTTCAGGATAAGCTGATGCCCTTTTGGCCTGGCAAACACAGTCCTTGAGGATGGTTCTCCAGACCTCGGGAACAGCCCCTCCCACCATGCTCCCACATGCACCACGTGCCCCTAGATCCTGAACTCCCTGGGCTCTGAGCATGCTCTGGCTCGCCTCTGAGATGCACACATACTGCTCTGACTAGGCAGTCTCACCATCAAGGCCAAGATATCTCTATCCTTCAGCTTAGACGTCACTTCCTCCAGGAAGCCTTCCCATCTAGAACTTTGTGGTTGCTTATGTGACCACCAAGCATCCATTCACCCTCCTTCCAGGGATATCCCCCAATTTCACTAGAAAACCACATACTTACCCCAGTTTCAGTCCATTTGCTGAAGCAAGGCTGAGACCAGACCTACTCTAGGGATGCAGTGTGGGGCTGCCCCTGGGCTCCCTTGATACACAGTGATAGCTTCAGGAACTGAGGACAACAAGACTCAAGGCCACTTTTGCTGAGTCAGAAACACCTGCTGAGAGACATGGGAGACTGCTGCAGCCTTCTAGCGATCCCAGGAGAGAGCCCACCTGAGAGTGGAGTGAATACGAAGGGAAGAAAGACAAACAACAGGTCCCGGCAGCATTCCACCCTAGTAAGAGTGCACCCGACGGTGGCCTACCCTGGGATGCTCATGTTATTTAAGCCAATTATTCCCTGCACCATGCCCATGCCCACCTTTTCTGTACACATTTAGTTAGTCTTCCTTACCCAAAAAAGGTTGGGTAAGTACACTTGGATAAGTATATCCACCCTCCTGCCTCCCTGCAGACCCTGGGTTACCCAAGCTCTTTGGGTGGTCCCCTGGGAGTGGTACTTTTTTTCTTTTCTAAATCAAACTAAATGTGACTCTGTGTCCCTTTACCTGGAGGATGTGCAGGAGCAGTCATTGCCACACTTCCTTTGGATTCTACCAAAATTTCAGAGTGTGTGTGGTGCCGAGAAAACAGGGAGAGGGCCCATCTTGGTTCCTGATGGGCACAGGCATCACTGTGGCTCCTTTTGCTACCCGAGACCATTGTCAAGTGCTTCTCCCCAGCCCTAACCTGGCACTGCAGCTCCTGAAGACCAGAGATGCCCATCACAGCAGGTCTGCACAGGGAGCCACCCCATGCTGTTGGGTTCCCCACACTCAGTGCCCAACCTCACAGCCACGCTGGAACCAGCTCCCCATCCCCGACTTGGGCCATGGACACTACCAGACTCATTCCTGGGAAGGAAGAATGGCCCGAGTGAGGCTCCTCACCAGGTGAGCCTTATAGCAAATGTGTAATGGAGGCAGACAGTTGGAGTTTTTTCTTTGGAGGGGGCGGGATGAGGTGAAATCCACATAACATAAAATTTGCCACTTTTAAATGAACAACTCAGTGACAATGAGTTGTGCAACGATCACCTCCATCCACTTCCAAACATTTTCACCACTCCAGAAGAATCCCTTACACATTAAACACTTACCCTACCACCTATCCTCCCCCTAGCCCCTGACAATCACCAACCTCTCTGTCTCTATGGATTTAATCCTATTCCGGATATTTCATTACATTGGAATTGTGCCATGTGTGGCTTTTTGTGTCTGGCTTCTTTCACTTAGCATAATGTTTTTTAGGTTCGTAACGGTTTTTAGGTTTGTAGCATGTGTCAGAACTTCATTCTTGTTTATGTCTAAATAACATTCTATTTTACAGATAGACCACACTTATGATCCATTCAGCCATTGATGGATACAGATGGGGTTTTACTTGACAAAAACAAACAAACAAAAACTGTTTCTAAAGTTTTTTTTAGTGAGCCACCAATGTTTTCATGTCCCATGATTTCATTTAGATGTCCAGTCACACTTCAAAAATCAGATTCTGGCTGGGCAAGGTGACTCACACCTGCAATCCCAGCACTTTGGGAGGCCGAGGTCGGCCAGGACTCCGAGTTCAGGAGTTTGAGACCAGGCTGGCCAACATGGTGAAACCCCGTCTCTACTAAAAATACAAAAATTAGCTAGGCATGGTGGCAGGTGCCTGTAATCCCACCTACTTGGGAGGCTGAGGCAGGAGAATAGCTTGAACCTGGGAGGCAGAGGTTGCAGTGAGCCGAGATCACACCACTGCACTCCAGCCTGGGTGACAGAGCGAGGCTCCATCTCAATAAACAAAGAAATAAATATAAAATAAATCAGCTTCTGCAACCTGGGGCCCAGGGCAATGCTGAGGAGAGATGTGCAGCAGTGACCCCTTGGACAGGACTGGACCCAGTAGCTCTCCCTTTTCCTCCTCCCTGGCTTGTATTCACAGTCCCCTGCCTGGCCCCTCCGGGTACCCTACAGTCCTGGCCAGACCCTTAGAAGAGAAACTCAGGGCAAGGGGGAAAGGGCCTTTTCTTCTCTCCTTGCAAGGTCAAGACATAATTAATAGAGATCTCCATGAAGATCACCCAGCCTCAAAGCCACCAAAGCAGCCTGTGGGTGGGGACACCATCAAGTCAGTAGCCTGTCTTCTTCAAGATAGGGCCTCCCTGAGAGCAGGGACTGACATTGTGGCTAGGCCCGGCCGGAGGTCAGCAGTGCCCTCATCCATCCTTCTTATTGTGTCTTGTCCTCCGTCAATTCATGCGCAGGCTGTGGCTGTACACCAGCTTCCTTCCACACACACACGAAAACACAGCCATACTCAGCATGTCATGATTTCCTTAGGTCTTGCTTGAGTTTGTGGAATGAAACAGAAAGTCCACTTCACAGGGTGAGGGAGTCTTCCATGCCCCACTCCTCCCTTCCTTGGCAGCACCTCTCTTTCAGTTCCCCGCTCCTCTCCACTGATCCCGTCTGGAACAGTCCATGGGCTTGTCTCCTTCCTGCATCAGGCCAAGTATCACATCTACCAAGCAAAGGTGCTTTCTTTCCCCCCATGCTAGTGACTGGGAAAGTAAGAATATGTCCACATTTTTAAGACAAAATTTGCTGAGTGCACTTATTTGAGAGGGAAGAAGGGTTAGAAGCACCTGGAAAGTGGAGTTTGCAGCTCAGGTCATTATTCCAGCTGCAATCTCTCATTCTGAAGTGACCACATTAACCCAGGTCCCAAGAAACCAGGTGAGCCTTGGCAAAGGGACAGGGCTTCCCTAGGAGCTCACTCTTCTCCTGCAGACCCAGACAGGCCCCTCCACGCTTCCATTTATTCTCTTCCCTTATAGGACAAGGACAACATTTAGGAACCCCAGTGAGCATCAGGCATTAGCTAATTAGTGATCTTCACCAGTCAGAGATGTAATACTCAGCAGTAATCACAGACTCAGAGATGCACTCATTGCAGTTCAGTAAGTTTCAGTTTACTTTTTCAATAAGGACAGGAAATTGTCTGCCCTACAAGGGTGGGCAGCGTTTGGAAGCAAGCCCACGCTGTGGAGTTAGGGGGCCTTGAAAGTTCACCAAGTTCTGAAACGGTAACTTTTGAAGAGTGCTCATGTGTCTATGATTTAGTTTCCAAAAATGCACCTAGCAGGGCCCCAAATGGCTCCTTATTGCCCCTGCAGAATATAGTCCCAAGATCCTCATCCTCATCTTCCTGGAAGGCAGAGGGGAGCTGAAAGCAGTGAGGACCACACACTACCTGGTCCCTGGTCTCTGGAGTACTCACATCTGCATCTCCCCAAAAACTCCACAGGAGACAGAATTCTCCCTATGTTACTTGGGAGGACTGGAAGCCTCCAAGGTGGCCAGTGACTTGCCCACAGTCTTCCAGCTGCTATGGGCCAGAATTTGTCCTGTCCCTAATGCCAGCTGGGGGCAACTGGGCCAGGGTTTTGTTTTGCAGGCAATATCCTCCAGCCACCTTTGATCTGGGCATAAAAACCTGTTGGTAGTATCATCACTTTTGTGCCTCATGTTTTGAAGTCTAGTGTTTGAGGGGGGCTCTCTCTCTCTCTTTTAGGTGAATCCCATTTGGGGCCCCTCCAGAAGATGGACTGAGCCTGCTCAGAACTCAGCCTCTGCTTTCTGGCCCCAGCCCCTTAGAACTGGAGCTCTGTTTGGAAGAAAAACTACATGTCCATAGAGCGAACTGGTGCTGGTAATTCCTTAATGAAAACCAGAAATACGATGCAAACACCCAGTGGGTTAACCCATTCTGGGGGTGGCTCTGAGCCAGTACTTAGGGCTGGGTGCATAAAGACCCCCCGGACAGGGCTTCTGCCCCGCCAGGCTTCTATCAGAACGTGCAGCCATCGCAGTGCCAGAGGCAGAGGAGCTTACGCCAGCACACAGGAGAGGAGACAGTGGGATTCAGAGCCCCACTGCCCTCCACCCCAACCCCAGCACCCATTCTACAGGTGAAGTGGCTCAAGTGACCTGCCTATGTCACCTTGCTGAGACTGAAGAGCAGCTGCTTAAAGATGCTGGGAAATAAAAAAGAAGGAAGCCAGATTCTTTCAACCTCAGGCAGATGTCCTCAAAGGCAGATCCAAAACTAAGAACTTGATGGCCTGAGTGACTGGGGTGGCAGATATCCTGATGGCCCTAGATCCAGCCCCTAGTGCAGGGCCTGCACTTCATAGGTCCTTAGTACACGGTTGCTGGTGGAATGTTCAAATGAAAGAGGCCTTGAACTTTTGTGGCTGAGACTCTTCCCAGCCTTCATATTAAGCTCCACTGTCATCTTTTTCTTTCCAGATTCCCCAGCTCCCCTGGGGGCAGCCCTCCGCCCTAAGAGAAACTGAGAAGTGCATGAGTCAGCACATTCATTCTCTGCCTCACCTCGCCTGCCTGCCTGCCTGCCTGCCTGCCTGCCTGCCTGGGATCAGAATTAGCCAACACCCATTCCAAACACACTGGTTACACCATCCACCTCCACCCAGCTCTGCCTGCAAGGGTGGCACCTGTTTTGCCACACCCTCTCTGCAGCTTTAAACCTCCCACGGAAGCACAGAAACAGATTAACCTGGCCCACTGGAAGCACCTCCAACTCTCAGGAGTCAGATAAGTGAGGACTGGTTTTTACGGTGCTTACTTCTGAAACGACTGGAGGCTGCTGTTTACAATAAGAAACAAAGAAACAATCCACTCTCAAGGCCTGGAATGGAAGAACAGTAACAATGTAATGAAGTCCATGCATGTGCCTTTGCTTGGCAGCAGGCAAGAATTCCTTGTGTCAGGAATCCTGATTTAAACCAGGCTGGGTGGGTTAAGCCTGTAATCCCAGCACTCTGGGAGGCCCAGGCGTGAGGGTAGCTTGAGGCCAAGAGTTGGAGACCAGCCTGGTCAACATAGCAAGACCTTGTCTCTACAGAAACTAAAAAAATGAGGCAGGCATGTTGGTGTGTTCCTGTAGTCCCAGCTACCTGGAATGCTGAGGTGGGAAGATCTTTTGAGACCAGGAATTCGAGGTTGCAGGGGGCTATGATCATGCCGCTGCACTCCAGGCTGGGTGACAGAGCAAGACCCCTTCTCAACCAATAAAAAAAAAAAAAAAGAAAGAAAGATAAAGAAAAGAAGTCCTGATTTAGAAAGAATACTATAATTTACACAAAATCTTGTACTGAGCCTCCTAGGAAGCAAGGGGGAAAATGGTTTATGCTGCTCTCTTTATCAGATGTTAAAAAGCATACCATACCTTCTCAGGCACCAAAACTCTTAGCAATTTTTTTCTAACCTAGAGAAGGGCTTCAAAAAATAAGTGTGAGGCCGGGTGCGGTGGCTCGTGCCTGTAATCCCGGCACTTTGGGAGGTCAAGGCGGGCGGATCACCTGAGGTCAGGAGTTGGAGACCAGCCTGGCCAACATGGTGAAACCCTGTCTCTACTAAAAAATACAAAAATTAGCTGGGCGTGGTGGTGCACGCCTGTAATCCTGGCTACTAGGGAGGCTGAAGCACGAGAATTGCTTGAACCCAGGAGGCAGAGATTGCGGTGAGTAGAGATGGCACCACTGCACTCCAGCCTGGGCGACATAATGAGACTCTGTCAAAAAAAAAAAAAAAAGGTGGAGGGAAGAAGGGAAAGCAAACTTACTCCTAGCCTTGATACCTTCACTACTAAACACTAATCAATTATCAGCTGGGGAGAGCATCAAATAAGCATGGGCACTGGCATCCATGGAAAGTTTTACAACATATGCAGAGTTATTTTCCCTGTGATGGTTTCAGAATCACCTGTGAAGCCTGCAAAAATGCAAATTGCTGATCCCATCCCCAGACCCACAGAAATGGAATCTCTCAGGGGATAGACCCTGGAAGCTGCATTTCCTTTGTATTCCCCACGGAATTCTTGGGCATCCTAAAGTTAGAGAACTGTTCCAGAACTTCTTTACGCTTGAAAGGGAAGCTGCATTTCAACTTGGACCCTGGGAGAGTAGCTCCCCTTTCCCTCACTACTGTGACTTTGAGCAGCCAAAGAGGATCCCACTCCCAGGACCACGCCAGCTCTAATGAAACTAGATGTTTGTAAATCAAGCCTGCCCACATTGCAAACGTTCACCCCACCCCGCCCCGCCCCACCCCGCCATCCCCACTGTGTTAGTCCCAGTCCTCTGAGAAACAGAGATTAAGAAAGGATTAAACAGGAAAAGATTTTGTTGGAGGAAATGCATATATGACAGAAAGTAAGAAGGAGCAGACCAGGCTACAGTGTGAGTCTGACCCCAAAGAGGGTCACCAAATTTGTCAAATAGCCAGGATAATCAGGTAAATATGAATTTCAGATAAACAACAAATAATCTTTTTAGTATAAGAATATCCCATGCAATGTTTGAGCCATACTTACACGAATAATTCTTTGTTTATCTAGTATTCAGATTTTCCTGGGCGTCCTGTGTTGCATCTGGCAACCCTGACTCCCAGTGAAGGAGAAAGGCAGGCTGAGTAGGAGCACCCTGGACTGCTGTGCCGTCTAGGGGAGGTTCAGTAAAGTCATCGGGGAATCCTTGAGCCAAAGGTAGGGGAGGAATCCCCCAGCTTCCAGGCTCGGGCCAGCTTTAGTATCCCTGCTGCACTCCGTCTTGACGTCAGCACAAGCCAGGGGATGGATTCTAGAGCCAGGGGGGCCCTGGGCCAGCTGTACTGCCGTAACTGGAGGCCTGCGAGGCAAACCCTCATGCCACCACACCCCAATGCAAAGCCCAGAGTGGCAGAAGGCTCGGCAGAGGCTGCCAGTGGTCACCTGTGTTCTAGCCTCAGCTTGACCTCCTTGAAACTAGGTCAGGAAAAACCACCTCTCCCCCAGTTTTCCCAGCTGGCTCACAGATACCCTAGAGAGATAAATGAGGTGATGAGACTAAGTACTTCTTGGTCCTCAGATCAAAGGTTCTGTATGCTGAGCGCTGGATGAGTCTTTCATGGGGACTGGATCTTCTGGTCAGAGACACTCTGCCTCACCCCTACAGAGACACCTCCAACTCTACTTGGTGGATGTGGCCAATTGAACCTCTTTTCCACAAATGTGAACTTCTGAGACACCAAGTCCCACAGGTCTCAGAGCATCTCTCACCCATCCCTGGAAATGGAACTGAGATGCTTGAAGAAGCCGAGAGGAGATTTGGAGGGCAGAACTGGCCAGGAGTTCCAGGCCTGGGCAAGAGGTGTGCAGCATGAGAGTAGGGGAGCGTCCCCTTGAGTGGCAGAATGACACAGGGGTCCTTAATCAGCAGCACTCCTGAGGCCATCTGCAAGCCGGGGAACAGCTGTATAGACTGTGGGGTTTTAAAACAAACCCTTAATTTGTCTGATACATCTCGCTTTATACAGTGGGACGAATTCCCCTTGCCTTAAGTGTGGGTGTCCTTAGTGACTTGCTTCTAACTAATAAAATGTGCAGAAGAGGTGGTGTGTGATGTCAAGATTGGGACATACAAGGCATTTTGGCTTCCTACTTGCTGTCTCTCTTGGGCTTCTTGCTCTGGGGGAAGCCAGCTGCCAAATCATGGGCATAATCAAGCAGCCCTAGGAACAACACAGTGGCAAGGAACCGAAGCCTCCAGTCATGAGGGGTGTGAGTGATCTGCTTGGTATTCGATCCTCCAGCCCCGGTTGAGCCTTTAGATGACTGCATCCCTGGCTGATAACTTGACTACAACTTCACGAGAGACCCTGAGCCAGAACCACTCGGCTAAGCTGCTTCTGAATTCCTGACCCACTGAAACTGCGGGATAGTAAATGTTTGTTGTTTAATGCCACTACAGTTTGGAGTAATTTGTTATGCATCAATAGATAACAAATACAAGCATTGCAGTTACACATTCAAATCCCAGCTCCACTCACCTGCTCATGTCCTTGGGCAAGGTACCTAACCCCTCTGAGCATCAGTTCCCTCTGGCTGCCCCCCAACAGCAGCCAGAAGACACTGTCTGATCCTCATATCCTGGAGAGAACTCCAACCTGGCCTCAAATACAGCCAACTAGGGTGCCCTGCGGGCAGGGGGCCCTTCCAAGGCCAGCCAGTTATCTTGGGGAGAGAAACTAGGTCATGTTTTCTTCCAAACATCTTCTGTCTTACACCTGATGAAGGCTTTCAAATGTAAACGTCAAGATTTTGTCAACTTTATTCTCTGGCAAAGTCATGAGTCCTGGTCCCAGCCACCTGGGCTTGGCGAAGGACCTTAGAATACAAGTGTGGAAATTCAAGTTCATGCAGATCTCTTCCAACCCCTTTCACAGCTGTGTGGTCCCTCCCCAGCTTCTTTGTGTTTGCTCCTTGGGACCGACCCCTCCAAGACCTGGGCACCACAGCCACTGGGCCCTTGTGGAGAGTCTGGGAGTTTTACATCCCCGCTCCACCCCCAGCAGCCTGTGGCCAATAACTGACTGCTGTCAGGGACAAACACCAGCTCCTGTGCCTTCAGGCAAGACAAACCCAGAGCTCCCCAGGGACCTGGCTGAGGCTGTCCCTTCTGAAACCTTCCCCTGGCCAGGCTTCTCCCCCTTACCTCACTTGCTTTCTCCACTCCCTCCCTTACTGGGCTGTCCTGGGAAGACTCCCTTAATAAATTGCTGGCACCCAGCCAGGCTCTTGCCTATAATCCCAGCATTTTGGAAGGCCAAGGTAAGCAGTTCGCTTGAAGTCAGGAGTTCAAGACCCGCTTGGGCAACATGGTGAAACCCCATCTGTATTTAAAATACAAAGATTAGCCAGGGATGGTGGCACATGCCTGTTATCCCAGCTACTCGGGAAGTGTGGCACAAGAATTGCTTCAACCAAGGAGGTGGAGGCTGCTGAGATGGTGCCAATGCACTGCAGCCTGGGTGACAGAGTGAGACCCTGTCTCAAAAAAAAAAAATTGCTGTCACCCAAATTCTTGACCTAGGTTCTGGGGGAATCTGTCCTGAGACTGGGGGAGCACACCGGTTAGTACCTCCAGGGTGTTATGCCAAGAGTTATCATTATAGGACACGTGATATTGAGTGGGGCTGTGCCCGCTGCCTTTAGAGCCAGCTGTCAAAAAAGAGTATTGTGTGTGCCAAGTTACAATTGGAAAAACTGAGAAATTGTACCTTCAGTAGGTGGTTAAGAGATCAGTCCAAGCCTCACAGGAGAGGAAAGTGGGGGAGCTGGGGTCCTGCCTCAGATTATTACTCCAGAGCCACGCTCCTGGTACACAGTGCACCTCACGGCTTCCCGGATCCAGGCAGGTTAGAAGCTGTTTGCGCTTGTTTGTTTTTTTAACCCAGAAACATAAACCCACTTCTCTGATTACCACTGTGACCACAGACATTCCACAGAAGAGGCAGCCCTCCATGCCAGGACCTCCCGGGCAGATGCTGGAGGCAGTGGCGCCGCCTGCTCCCTTGGCAGTTGGGCCTGGTGGTAAGAGGTGACTGGTGGTGATGCTGGAACCTGGACACTGTTCCCCAAAGGCAGGGCCAAGAAGAGTGCTTTCAAATGACGCCACAAGCTCCAGCTCGCACACTCCCTGGAGGGTGTTCTCACTAGAGGCAGTGCCCCTGCTGTCAGCTGTGTGGCCTCTCTCACGTTTTGTTCTCCAGTGACTCTGAACACACAGGGCAGCTTCACCCCTTTGGTCTGTCCTCAGGCTGGCTCCCTTGTCTGCAGTGACTTCTCCACGCTTCGTCTTGTAAACATTTCCTAGATCATTTTTCATGTGGATGGCAGTGAGGCGTAGTGCTTAAGGGCTTGGGATCAGACCCTGGAATCCTGCGTCTGGGGCTCTATTTCAGGCTCTGCTGCCAAACAAATGTGTGAATGTGGGCAAGGTATTCAACTTCTCCTTGTTGTTCTTGTATGTAAAATGGAGCCAGAGACACCTTGGAAGGCTGCTAGGAGGACTAAATAAGATAAATTAGATGTTAAGCACTTAGCAGACAGCCTGAAACATAAAGGACAGTGACCTATCTATCTATCTATCTATCTATTCTCATAAAATTCTATGGGTCAGGCACTGTTTTGAGGTCTGGAGACACTGGGGTAGATATGATGTAGACAGGGCACCTGAGACACAGGGAAAGCTCTTTTTTTTTTTTTTTTTTTTTTTGAGACGGAGTCTTGCTCTGTCTCCCAGGCTGGAGTGCAGTAATCTCGGCTCACTGCAAGCTCTGCCTCCCTGGTTCACGCCATTCTCCTGCCTCAACCTCCCCAGTAGCTGGGACTACAGATGCCCGCTGCCACACCTGGCTGATTTTTTGTATTTTTAGTAGAGACGGGGTTTCACCGTGTTAGCCAAGATGGTCTTGATCTCCTGACCTCGTGATCTGCCTGCCTCAGCCTCCCAAAGTGCTGGAAGGGAAAGCTCTTAATGTTTTATGTATATATGTATTTTTGAGACAGGGTCTCACTCTGTCACCCAGGCTGGAGTGCAGTGGCACAATCACAGCTCACTGCAGCCTTGACCTCCCAAGATCAAATGATCCTCCCACCTCAGCCTCCCAAGTAGTTAGGGCTACAGGGCATGCCATCTTGCCTGGCTAATTTTTATTATTTTTTTGTAGAGACAGCATCTCACTATGTTGCCCAGGCTGGTTTCAGACTCCTAGGCTCAAGCAGTCCTCAGCCTCCCAAAGTGCTGGAATTACAGGCATGAGCCACTGCACCTGGCCCTTAATATTTTATTTTTAACTGATAATGATTAACTTGTTTGTACCTTACGTAGAGTGGTAGCACGTGGCTCGCAAGGCAACATAGTAGTGCCTGGAGTTAAGAACTCAGACTGCTTCTAGCTGAGAACTTCACAGGGAATGTTAGGTTCAAATCCCAGCTCCTCCCTTTCCAGCTGAGTAACCTTGGAACGAATCTCCAATTTACTTCCCAAGGCTACTGGAAAGACCAAAAGGTAGTTTGAACAGGATAAAGCAAGTGCCATACAATCAGCAGATGTTAGTGATGGACAGGGGCTTCCTGGAGATGAAAAAGGTGCGAAGAACTGGCTTTGGTGGAATGTCAAGCCCAGGCAGGCCAGAGGAAGAGCTGCATTTGGAGGTAAGGGGCCTTCCCAGTGAGCTGGAAAATTAAGTCCTGGAGGACCCAGCTTTGACAGTCCTGCATAAAGCTGATTTGGGGCTTGGTCAAAGCTCCATCAATCCTGAAGGCAAGAGGCCCTATGGAGGAATAGAGTGAAGAATTCTTGATAAAATAAAGCGTGCATTCAGGAAAAGCTGTATCTGGAACTATGCCAAACACTTACATATTTTATAGCAGCTCATTTACAATTACAACTCTGCAAAGCAGGAGTCATTATACCCATTTTATAGATGAGAAAACTGAAGCTCAGAGGCATTGTAACCTGCCCAGGGATGCACACAATCCATTTATCTGGCAGTGGCAGGATTCCAGCCCAGAGAAGTTGGTTCTAAAGCCCAGGATCTCCCCCTAGGGTGCATTCCCCCTCCCTGGCAGAGCTTCCAGGTAACTTCTGAGCAATATTCATTTTTCTCCGCTGCAGTCTAGACCAGCAGGAAGGATTGTCATAAAGTCTTGGAGTTGAGGTCTCCAGCTACTAGTGTGCTGAGTTTTCCTTCCTAGCTTGAGCCCTGCCTCAGTTGTGCAGTATTTACTGTCTGTTAAGCATCAGTGCAGAGCTGCTCATCCCAGCTCATGGGTATGAAATTTTCACTTCATAGAATCATGTACGCCTTTTTGAACACTCCAACACCTAGCACGGTGTCCAGTACAACGTAGATGTTCAATCAATGGTTGTTGAATGAATAAGCAAAAAATATCAACTGTCACTTATTGCATATTACAAATCTTCCTCTCCTGTATTATTATTACTATTATTATTTTACAGAGTCTTGCTCTGTTGCCCAGGCTGGAGTGCAGAGGCACAATCTCAGCTCACTGCAACCTCCGTCTCCCAGGTTCAAGTGATTCTTCTGCCTCAGCCTCCCAAGTAGCTGAGATTACAGGTGTGCACCACCACACCCACCTACTTTTTATATTTTTAGTAGAGACAGGGTTTCTCTAGATTGGCCAGGCTGATCTCGAACTCCTGACCTCAGATGATATGCCTGCCTCGGCCTCCCAAAGTGCTGGGATTATAAGCATGAACCACCGTGCCCGGCCATCTCCTGTATTATCTTATTTGACCTTAACAACAACCTCTGAGGTAATAAATGGATTCCTAGCCCAGCTCACAGAGGGTCTACATGGTTCATCTATGAAGAGGATTGGTGGTCATTCCTCTAATCCCCTAATGGAGATATTTGGAAGCAAAACCCCATTATTAGTTCCTTGGCTGTAGGGTGGGAGCTACCATAGTAGAAAGGGCCAAATGGACCCCCTACCGACCATATCACATCCCTGGAGGACTGGCAATGACTAGTTCCACTATTAAACATTCTAAAAGATGGAGAGGTGGTGGTCCCTCACAAAAGACAGGTCCTGGAAGATGACAGTGAACTACTGCAAACTTAACCAAGTCGTAGCCTCAGTGGCTGTTGCCAAATGTAGTATCTTTGCTACAGCAGATTAATAAGGCCTCACATACACAGTATGCAGCCATAA
Source organism: Homo sapiens (assembly GCF_000001405.40). Classification (NCBI taxonomy): domain Eukaryota; kingdom Metazoa; phylum Chordata; class Mammalia; order Primates; family Hominidae; genus Homo; species Homo sapiens. Next base: position 45,175,273 of record NC_000003.12, on the reverse strand, counting down.
TCTGGCAAATGCATTTTCCTTTTTTTTTTTTTTTACATTTTTATAAGAAAAGGGGATCAGAAACAAGTCACATCCCCTTGGGATAGGCAGCAGTGCACATTGCTGACCTTGCCCAAGGGCTGTGTTAACTCCCCTGTCCTCTGTTGTAATGTGGGGACCTATCTCATGTCGACAGACCTCAGAGCATCCTTGATCCACTGCACTGAGGAGATCATGTCATTGGAAGAGAGGATCAAGAAGTGACTAGCATGTCAGAGATGTCAATAAGACATGCACATTCCAGGGGATGGGAGAGAATTCCTATGGGGACTCAGGCACCCACCAGATCGGGCAAGTGTTTAGGAGCCCGGGGGTCCAAGGCATTCCAGAACACCCCTCCTAAGTAACGAGCACATTATGGCTTCTTGTACCTCTCCCTAAGAAGGAAGTATAATGCCTGGTCAGCTTCTTCAGACTCGAAGGCTGCATATGACACACTTGTGAATACTGCTTGGAACCAGGTACTGATGGGCAGGCCCAGAGCCAGCTTGAGCGGGTCCCTGAGCAGGAAAGAGCCGTGCAGCAGGTCCAGGCTGCAGTACAAGGGGCCCAGCCACTTGGGTTTATGGACCAGCAGACCCTCTGGTATTAGAGGTATCTGTGGTGGGAAAAGATGTTGTTTGCAGTTTGTAACAAGTCTCAATAGAAGGATCAATGTAGCTGACTAGGATTCTGCAGGAAGGCCATGCCATCTGCAGTGGAGAATTACATACTTTCTGAAAAACAGGACCTAGGAAGTTCCTGAGCCCTGGCCATGGGACTTAAAGTGACCACACAGCTAAAGGAAGTAAGAACATGCCACCCCAAAGTATTCCACTCTGGCATGTCGACTCCTTTGAGTGAAAGGCACTTGAAAAACAGCAAGTGCAAGAATATCACTCCAGGCTCCATGCTGTTTCTTAAAAGCAGATGAAGTTCCCCTACGAAAGATGCCCTCCCCATACTAGAAGGAAAGTAACAGTGTTATCATCAAGGATGAGAAGCTGAGACTGAGAGAATTCTGAACAAAGCTAGTGAAAATCACTTATCTTCTTTTAGCCTCCCCACATAGTTCAGCTGCTTTTTTACAACTTTTTATTCTTTGCTCAATTCAGTTCATAAGCGTTCAACTCTAACTGTGGCTTCAGGCCTTCATTTCCTTATGAAGACTCCTGTGCCACATAAAACTTGTATGAAATAAATTTGTATGCTTTTCTCCTACTGTTCCATCTTAAATCAACTTAATTCTCAGGCTCAGCCAAAACACTCTAAGGGAGTAGAGGTGAAATATTTCCTCCCTTACACAGCCAAGGCTGCCATCATGTGCTGGGTTCTTTCACATCTACCAAAGCAGAAGGTCAGACTCAGCAGGAAGCCATCATAAGATGGAAGTGGCACCTCCAAGATTAGGTCCAAGCAGGGCCAGAGGGCACAAGTCACCTGTACAAGCAGATGGACCAGACCTCATGTCATCTGCACACTCTGGCACCAGGACCACCCCTCCTTCCTTCAGGCCACACCAATGACCATGAGTTGGGGGCTTGGGTGGAAGGCTGCATTTGGTTCACAAATAACTCAGCCTAATTTGTGGGTGAGGGCCAAAAATCGACCACAACTCCATCCAGGGGCAGCCCTGAAAAGCAGCAGGGAAAGAAAACCCTCCCCATAGAAAGAGAAGTGGTCTTAAATTAGAATTTACGCAGGTGTGCAGGCAGCAGAAAATGGCTGCGCTAGTTCCTCAGGGGCCCAGAAGAGAAAAATTGGAAGAAAGAGACTAAGGAGGGCTGGGAAAGAGGCACCTGGATGGACCCTCGGGAAGGGGCACAGCGTGACCTGCAAGACAAGAGGATGGGCCCACAGGAATGGGCACCAAATCGTATTGCACAGCAATGTCCACCACAGAGCACCCACTACAGGAAAGGCACTGAACAGCCACATGGTCAGAGTGACTTTCCCAGCCTCCATCACTGGCCACATGGGTACATGAACAGAGTAGTTACCGCAGAACAGTGCATGCTACCACTAGCTGGGTTCTTTCACACGCATCAAGGCAGAACGGATGGAGGATTGCGCATGGGCTGGACACCATAGCCTTCCACTCTCCAAGGTGATGCAGCAACTGCCACTATCCAGTGTCTAACCTGACAGCCCCAGAGACCAACACTGAGGCCGAAATGGCAACAACCCTTAGGGAGCCGAGCCAGCCTTTCAGTGACTAGTTCAACATTTGAACCCTTCCACCTTGGAAGGAGCAGCAATTCACTCTGGGTGGAATTGACCCATACTGTGGGCATGGATTCACCTATTATGCCCACAGACCTTGGCCAGCACCTGCAGAATATGTGGTCTACCAATACAGGATCCCATGTAGCATTGAGACAAAGAGACCTACTTTGCAAAGGCAAGTGACCATGAGGTCCCTGGTGATACCACGTCCTCATCCTCTAGAGGCCAGCCGGAGGTGGAATGGTCACTGAAGGTCCAGGCAGCCAAAGCACCAGCTGGAGAGGGCGCTATGTATCCTGACACTCTAAGTCAACAGGCATTGTATGGTACTGTGCCCCTACCCCCTGAGAGGAGTGGTTCACCTGGAAATCAAGGGGTGGAAGCCTGAGTCGCCCCACTTACCATCACTTCCAGGACAAGATCTCTTAACCAGTTTCAATGTCCCATTCCCACAGCTCTGTGGTTTAGAGATCTTGGTTCCCAGAAGAGGATACACTTCTACCAGTGACACTCTGAGGATTCCATCAAACTCCTAGCTATGGCTGCTTTCCAGTCACTTTGGGCTCTTTGTGCAGAGAGACCAGCAGGGAGAAGAGCCACCATCCCATCGTGGGTAACGGGACCCTGGTCATCAGGAGAAAGCAGGGTTGCTGATTACACAATGGGGGCAGGCAAGAATATGTTTGGCACTCGGGTGGTCCACTGGGGCATCCCTTGGTTGTCCTGACCCCAATTTATTTTTTTATTTTTATTTTTATTTATTTATTTAGAGATGGAGTTTCACTCTGTTGCCCAGTCTAGAGTGCAGTGGTGCAGTCTTGGCTCGCTGTAACCTCTGCCTCCCAGGTTCAAGCGATTCTCCTGCCTCAGCCTACCGAGTAGCTGGGATTACAGGTGCCCACCACCACACCTGACTAATTTTTGTATTTTTGTAGAGATGGGGTTTCACCATATTGCCCAGGCTGGTCTCAAACTTCTGACCTCAGGTGATCCACCCACCTCAGCCTCTCAAAGTTCTGGGATTACAGATATGAGCCACCACGCCCTGCCTAAGGTTTTGTTTTTCTATAACTCAACCCAGCTTCCACTGAAGCCCCATTCTGCTGCAGTGGTAGATGTCTCCCTTGGAGCAGAGTCCAAGTTTGGGAGCATCATTTGCACCAAGGCCTTTCAAGAACCCTCCAGAAGTTCCATCCTCAACACACTGACCCTTTCTAGCTTCTAGCCCTCAGAGAAAACCCCACACTCCCCAAGGCCCTCCCTAAACCCTTTCTCTCAGCCCCAAATCTTTTCAGTCAAAAGTTGTGAAGGGGAGAGAGGGGCAAATGTGGCCCAGGGGATTCATTTGCAGCCTAAATTTTTAAATTAGTTATCAACCTTTACAAATTAAGGAATTTCACATGAAATTTTGTATTTTTATGCTTTTCTAAAGAGATCAGTCTATCCTTCAATTTCCTCTGGTGGCACTGGCTGTCGCGAGAGGGAGCCACCTCCTCTTGCTTTAGTTTTTCCAGTGGTCCAGATCTCTCCACTCTGCCTTGCTGCCTGGAGCCAGGGGCTTTGGCTTTGCTGCCCTGAGCTCCCTTATGGGTGCAGGGTTGTGGCTTTGGGAATACAGGTTTGTTAGTCACTTCTTTTTGCTGAGGCAAAGGTTGGGGAGTGAGTGACGGTGATGAGAGGGAAATGCTAAGAAAGCTCTTTGAGCTGGGTGGTGAAGACTGGATAGGAGTGAGAAAGTAAGGCGAAGGCCGGGCACGGTGGCTCACACCTGTAATCCCAGCACTTTGGGAGGCCAAGACGGGTGGATCACTTGAGGCCAGGAGTTTGAAACCAGCCTGGCCAACAGGGCAAAACCCCATCTCTACCAAAAAATTAAAAAATATGCCAGGCGTGATGGTGCATGCCTGTAATCCCAGCTGCTCGGGAGGCTGAGGCGTGAGAATCCCTTCAAACCAAGAGGCAGAAGTTGCAGTGAGCAGAGATCACATCACTGCACTCCAGCCTGGGTGTCATAGTGAGACTCTGTCTCAAAAAACAAAAAACAAAACAAAACAAAAAAACAGAAAGTAGGGAGAAGCAGAGAGGGCGTCCCAGGCAGAGGAAACCACCTGAGCAAAGGCCTGGGGGTACCCCTGCTGGGAGACCGTGAGGGTACCTGTCTGATTAAACGATGGGTTTGACATTATGCTGCAGTGGGGGAAAGGCTGGGTAGGGAAACTGGGGACAGAATGTAGACAGTAAACTTGACCTAGTCAACTCACAAGCTTGTGGGCAGCTGGAGGCAGAAAATGATTGACTTCTCCAAACATTTTGTGTTTCTGAGTGACTTAATGGGAAGGAAGTGGGTTCATTCCAATCTATCTTCTGCACCCAGATCTGTACCAATCCAGAAGGCAACTTGACCCAACCAGCAATTTTGCCTAATATTCTGTTCAGGGCTCTATGTTAGGTACAAAGAAGAGGCGTACAACAAAGGCCAACAGTGGGGGTTGAAGACCTGTCTGCAACATTCCTCCTAGGAAATGGTAGAGTCTCATTCCCCTTCCCTTGACTATGAGTCCCTTTTAGTGACTCGATTCTAACCAATGAAACACAGGGGAGTGACATTGTGTGACTTCTGAGGCTAGGTCATAAGAGAAAATACAGCTTCCTCCTGTCTGATGTGTTCTCTCTCTCTTCCTTTCTCTCTCTTGGAGCCCAGCCACCATGCTGTGAAGAAGCCCAGGCCATAAAGGGAGGAACACTCGTGGGTGTTCCAGCCAGCAGTGCCAGCTAAGGTCCCAGCTGGCAGCCAGCACCAGTCACCAGCCATTAGTGAGCAAGCCTCGGAAGATTCCTGCCCCAGCCTTCTGGCTGCCCTAGCTGATACCACAGAGGCAAGCAAAATAAAGCCCCTAGGTTTTGGAATGTTTATTATGCAGCATGAAGTAACTGGAGCACAAATACACAGAGCCAGGCTCTAACCCAGCCCGGGACAACTGGGAACCAAGCACGGTATATGGAACATCCTAAACATTCCTCAGCTGACAGGTGTATATTCCGCTGTTTTCAGATGGAACAAAATCAGTTCTGAGCTGTGGCACCGAGCTGTAGACCCACATATAAACGATGTGCCATCCAGGTGGGGGAAATGAAGGAAGGCCTCAGAGGGGAAGCCGTTTTGACCACACTGTGGAGGATGAGGAAGACAATTTCAAGAGAAAAGGGCAATGCAAATCACAGACACTGTGAGCTGGACACTGTGGCCTCAGGGCGCTCTGGTCAATCCCTGCATCCTCTGTTAAAGATTGGCAGTACTGACCCCTGCACTCAGGCTTCCTATGTCCTACTGGGCATGTCCCCTCTTCAGGTCACCTAGAGGCTGCCCTCAGCTCTCCTCTCCCTGACCTTTAGGGTAGGAGGGATTTGACAGAATTTGATGTTCGTCCACCAGAGGTGGTCTGTTGACTGTTGAGTGATTTCCACAGAACTGTGTATTTTGCATTCCTTATCTTTCCATTCCCCACCTAGACCCCTGCAAGGCCCCGCAATTTCTTTTCACCCACTCACTGCTTCGTTAGTGCTGGAGTTAGTCAGATCTCATCAGTCCCTCCTCGATGGCTCCTTCCCTCTTGTTCCACTGCTGACAAAGGGGCTTGCTCTCCACCAGCCTTCCCTGTTGGACTCTGTGCTTTGGAACCAAGTAATTGTTCCATTACTCATTACGTTTTACAGTTATAAATGCAAGACAAGTCCATTACAGAAAATGCTGAATCAAGAAAAGAAACTACACACAATCTCATCACCCTGCCCCGCCATCAATAACCATTCATCTCGTCTTCTTTGAGGATTTTTTTTTCAACACCTATAGCGTTTTTAAAATCCTGTTATAGCCGGGCACGGTGGCTCACACCTGTAATCCCAGCACTTTGGGAGGCCGAGGCAGGCAGATCACCTGAGGTCAGGAGTTCGAGACCAGCCTGGCCAACATGGCAAAACCCCATCTCTACTAAAAATACAAAAACCAGACATGGTGGCTTACCCCTCTAATCCCAGCTACTCGGGAGGCTGAGACAGGAGAATTACTTGAACCCAGGAGGCAGAGGTTGCAGTGAGCCTACATGGCGCCACTGCACTCCAGCTTGGGTGACAGAGCAAGGCTCCATCTCAAAAAAATAAAAAATAAAAATAAATAAAAATAAACAAACCCTCTTATCATACTGCACATTCAATTGTGAATGCTGAGTTTTGTCTTTGGTGTCACAGTGCATGCTTTTTGTCATCATTTTCTTTCCTAATGAATACGTAGTGGTGTCAAGTGGCTGAACCTCGTTTTCTTTAACTATTTTTACAGTGTTTGGCATCTACGTGGTTTCCAGTTTTTCCCTGCAGTAAACATCTCCCTGCCTAGGGCTTTTTCTGAAAGCTGAACTACTTCCTCAGGACAGATTCCTAAGAGAAATGACTGGGTCAGAAGTTGTGGGTATATTAATGGCTCTGGATATAGACCACTTGTCAAATTATCTCAGCGACTTGTTTCTTTGAACTGTGATCTTGTAGTTAATGCTGTTGTTGTTCTGGAAGTATTAGATGACCACTGGAGAAAATTTGGAAACGTTGAGAGAAGTGAATAAAAATCAATCTCATTTCACCCATAAAATGATAATCATTATCAGTAACATGTTGGTGTCTTCCTCTCCAGTCTATTTTTCTTCATGTAAGTTTTAGGGTTTTTTTTTTTGTTTCAGTGCCTATATGAATTAGCATAATTATCATGGCACTCTAAATAAATTAGACTTCATAATTTTTCTTGAACATAACAGCTAAGCATTTTCCACTTTATTGCAAACTTCAAACAGTTTAAGATATTTTCCACTGAGTAGATGTATCCTCATTTACTTTCCCATTATCCTATTTGGGGACACTTACACTGATTCCAAATTTTTGCTCTTAAAAACATTTGCCAGGAATAAATCTTCAAGTTCTGACTTAAAAAGCAGTTTGTAAGTTGGGTAAACAGAAAAATGATGAAAACTTACAATAGAAGAGTTGACTAATTGGTCTTGATTGTGGAAAAGGCTAATTTCTAAGCTCCTTCCTAGATTCATGAATGGAATTTAAATAACTAAGCTTTTTTTTTGTTCGTTTACAATCAAAGCAAACCCAATGAAGATTACTGATTGGGAGCCCAGACACCTGGTTTTCTGGTGGTTTTTCCCTCGGACAAGTCACAGGCCTGGCCTCTTGTGACTTAGTCAAATGCACAGTCAGACTAAACGGTGGCGGCACCGGCGCTGCAGGGCTCCCGGCTGTTTCCTTTTACCAACCCACACCGTTGTCAAGGGCGGCGCCTTCGTTAAGCATTCCTCAGTCACCGCGGTGAAGTTGCCATTTGCTTCCTGCCTGACTCTGACTCACACAGCAGCCTGGGGCACAAGTCCTACCATCTGTGGGCCTGGGCCGGCTGGCGGCACAAAGAGGAGCAGAAAGTGTGCCTCGATGCGCAGGACATGAAAAACAAGTGATGCCGCTTCCTGTGTGCAGACATGGAAAGATAAGGAAGAGGCTTATGATGTTGGAAAAGAAAACAACAGCGGCAACAGAAACCAAACCTGAGGGCAAGACAAACAGTATATGCTATCGTTTGTATAAAAATAAAATAGAGAGCCAGATATGCACATACCACCCCCGGTCCCCCCAAAATAAAGAGCTCAATGGCAGTGAAGGGCTATATAGTCACCACTGGCAACTGCAGAATGGATGCTTATTGTTCCTCAGAAAATTACTGTATTTCCTGCGTGACTCAGAGTTCTGTTCACTGCATTGGTCGGTTGAAAAGTGACATAGGCTTGGGTGGAAGGAGTGAAGCCAGTTCCCCAAACACTTCCTTGGTACCCAGGCTGACCTGTGGTGGAGACATCCTCCCCCAACACCTGTGCCCATTCCAATGGCAGACAGGCAGTCAGATGCAGGCACACTGAGAAATGCAATTAGGAGAGAGAAGGAAGGAGAGGGAGAGAAGGGAGACAAGGGGTGCAGCTAGAGAGGGAACAGAGTGAGAAAAAGAAAGAAACTTTGGCCATCTTTTGAACAACCATGACAATCTTGAGGAGTTTTGGTGGTGCTTCATTTAGGATGAGCTTTTAATGGTCCTATTCTCTAAAGGCAGCCTCCTTCTCAGGATGTCCTTACCCTGAGCAGCTCAGAAAATCAAGGGCTGCTGCAGCCTGGCAGCCTTTTGCTGGGGACTGGTCCTGCCTGGAATGGGTCTTGAGACCCTGGGTTGGCCTGACCTCCAGTCCTAGCCCTGTTCTTCCAGTACAGTAACAAGTGACCTTGGCCCATGATCATGGCTGGCCACCGCCCAGCCTCTGGGAAGGCCTCAGCCCAGGAGCCCCCATCTGCTCACCCACTGAAATGGGCCTCTCCCGCTCCCCAGTGAGGCCTTGGAGCAGAGCCACTGAGAACCCTGAGGCCCTAGGAGAGAAGAGAAGAATTAACAGGGTCAGTTGTTTCCAGATGTCTCTTACTTATGTCAGGATTAATCTTTTTACTACAGAGCCATTAAACTGGACAGAACACATGGAGAAAATGCATATAAAGCAGATGTCCTGGATAACAAGGAGAGGAGGTAAGAACCACGAGGAGAACATGGAGTGGACAGAAAGCACTGCCCAAGGATGACACACATGACAGGAGGAAGCAGGGACCCTGAAGGCCAGCCAGGCTCCTGAGGCTTCAACTCTACCGCTTCAGAATCTTCTGCCAGCAACTTGACACTAGTTCCCTGTATTAGTCTGTTCTCATACTGCTATAAAGACATACCTGAGACTGGGTAATTTATAAAGAAAAGAGGTTTAATTAGCTCATGGTTCTGCAGGCTGTACAGGCTTCTTCTTGTGGGGAGGCCTCAGGAAACTTACAATCATGGTGGAAGGTGAAGGGGAAGCAAGCACATTTTACATGGCTGGCAGGAGAAAGAGAAAAAAAGAAAGTGCTACACACTTTTAAACAACCAGATCCCCAGATAACGCTAGCACAAGGCAGCGCTAGGGGGATGGTGCTAAACCATTAGAAACCGCCCCAGTGATCCAATCACCTCCCACCAGGCCCCTCCTCCAACACTGGGAATTACAATTTGACATGAGATTTTGGTGGGGAAACAATTCCAAGCCATATTATTGCCCACTCAAAAGGCTGGGCTGCCTGCAGGGCACTCCCTTCCTTGCTTCCTCCTTCCCATCTTCCGACTGGGGTCAGTAAAACTGAGTAGCAAGCCAAGGCTGGCCTGACCACAGACCCTGATTTGCTATGGGAAATTTCTCTTCTGATCACCTACCTACTGCTTCCTGCCACCGTTAGGGACTGAGCTAGTCAGTGTCTGCAAGTCTTTTTTTGTTCCTGAAAAGTGACTCAGGATACAGGAAACAGAGATAAAAATATTGTGTTAGGCCGGGCGCGGTGGCTCGTGCCTGTATTCCCAGCAATTTGGGAGGCTGAGGCGGGTGGATCACCTGAGGTCAGGAGTTAGAGACCAGCCTGGCCAACCTGGTGAAACCCCCCCATACTAAAAATACAAAACTTAGCCAGGCATGGTGGTAAGCGCCTATAATTCTAGCTACTCAGGAGGCTGAGGCACGAGAATAGCTTGAACCCGGGAAGCGGAGGTTGCCGTCAGCCAAGATCACACCACTGCACTCTGGCCTGGGTGACAGAGCAAGACTCTGTCTCAAAAAAAAAAAAAAAAAATGTGTTCATAATAATAGCAAGTGCTTCCAAGCACTCACTGAGTGCCAGGCACTATGCTCCATTATTTGGTCCTATTTGGTCCTTATAATGACCCTATCAGGTAGATGCAGTTATATATCTCCAGTTTATATGTAAGGAAACAGGCTCATAGAGGGTAAAGATCAAACAGTAGGCTAGATTTGAAGGCAGGTGGTCTTCGACTGTGTACCCTTAGAACAGTAACACATCTCATTACTAACACAGCTGATTGGAGGACATGGCTTAGATCGGTCGCCAGTGGGGCTTGCTGATACATCACTCTTGAATGAGACTATCTTAGCCACTCACGCTTGGCAGCACCAGAAGCTGTGGGGAGTGGAGCCCTGAAGCGCATTTCACAGAGGAGCAGAGGACACCTGCACCCCAAAGAGAGAAAAGCCACCAACCTCTGAGCAGAGCATGCTGCAGCACCCAAAGTGTCTGGGGGCAAGGGTGATGCTCCAGCACTGTGGGATCTCACCCTTGCCTGCATGTTAGTAACCTGAGAAGTTTTCAGTTACTTCCAATGCCCAGCCTCCCTGTTGTCCTCCCCTTCCCCAGTGAAATCCCATCCCTGGGTCCCATATGGACCCAGGCATCCATATTTTTGAAACTCCAGGTAATTCCAATAGGTGGCTAAGGTTGAGAACTACTTCTGGGAAGGAATGTCCTTATGGGACAGTAGGTCCAAGGGAATGGTTTTTTCTTTTTTACATTAATATTGGGATGTGGGAGTGGGATGAATAACAGCTGTAAGACCCTGTCAGTCTCTCACACTTCGGTGTGGATTAATTTTGGTCTTGATTCCCCTCATGACGGGTGAGATCCAGGCACCAAAGCAATGTGAGTGTTTATAGCAGAGAAGGGAAGGGTGTGTATGGCTCAAGAGGGCCAGCCCCAGAGAGGACCAGCTCTGGTGGGAGATACAGTGGGCCAGGGAACAGAGGCCTTAGAGAGAGAACTTGAAGATGGACAAACATCATGTGCTTCCTGGCTTGCTCCAGAGTTGGCCCCAACTGGCTGTGAGTTTCTGCAGCTCAGAGTCAGCGTCTTAGAATAGGCCAGCGTGGTCTCGGGTGACAGTCACCCAGCATCTGTTGCAAACTTTTCACAGCGCAGGAGATGATTCTCCCCACCCCAAGTACCTCTTTGGACAAATAGCTCTTCCTTGAACTAAGCTAAAAGTCCTCTTCCTGTGACATCCAACCCATGCCCAGAGTTCTGCTCTGTAGAGATACAAACAAGAATTCCAGTCCTGGCTCAAGAGAATGGCCCTTCAGACACTGGAACCCATCCCCACCTCTCTCAGAGCCTGCTCTTTCCTAATTGCCTTCATGCTGCCTAAATCACCTGTTTCAGGCTTTCAAAGGAATCTTTACGGCTTCTCCAAGGATGGCCATGATGCTGCCATGTACAGGTGAAGTCTGTGTCCTCTGGCCCCGATTGTAGGGTTCTGCCTGTACCCTGCAAGTATTCTCTTGAATCTTCAGTACAATACTGCAAAACAGACACTCTGATGAACATTTTATAGATAAGGGAACTGAAACTCAGAGCTGCAAAGTAACTTGTGCAAAGTCACAAAGCAGGTCGTTGGCAGATTCAGACCCAGGCCTACCCGATGCCAAGACTCACATCCATCTTAGTAAACCTCCCCTGTCAGTCCCTGCTGGGGAACAGCACACCGCAGCAAGTGCTCTGAGCATCACACGAGCAGTGGAGCCTCCCCTGGCCTGGAGACCCTTCTTGACTTCTAAGCAAAGATGAGACTGGTTTGGCCTACCCCATCCGACCCCAGGAGTCCCAAACAGACAAATGCTCCCAGAAAAAACTACCCCTGTCACTGATGAAGTTCACCCCATCTCTCTCATAGCCCTTAGAGGTGGTATGAGTTTTCCTCCCAAACACTTTCTTGTTTATGCTATTTTCTTTCTTGGCACTTTTCTTGGGACTAGCCTTGGACCCTTCAAATATATTTTATTACTTGAAAAATTCAGGCCAGGCGCAGTAGCTTACGCCTGTAATTCCAGCACTTTGGGAGGCCGAGGCGGGCAGATCACCTGAGGTCAGGAGTTCGAGACAAGCCTGGCCAACATAGCAAAAGCCCGTCTCTACTAAAAATACAAAAATTAGCCAGGTGTGGCCATGCATGCCTGTAATCCCAGCTATTTGGGAGGCTAAGGCTGGAGAATCGCTTGAGCCCAGGAGGCGGAGGTGACAGTGAGCTGAGATCAAGATCACACCACTGCACTCCAGCCTGGGGGACAGAGCAAGACTCTGTCTCCAAACAAAACAAAACAAAACAAAACAAAACAAAAAAATTCAAACGACAGCCCAAAAAAAGAAAAAACAAAGCAGTAGAGGAGCCAAGGAAGAAATATCCCCTTTGCTCTCTGAAGTTTTGCAAAAAAGTGAACTCACAGCAGGTGGATTAACAAGAGAAAAAGCATAGAAATGTATTAGGGTGCAAGGTGGAGGTTGGGAATCACAGAGTGATTACCCAGACCCCACAATGGGATGCAGAAGTGTATAGATTCTGCATCCCATTGCAGAATCTGTATAGAATCTGTATAGTGTATAGATTCTGCATCTTGAGATTATAGAAAGAATGGTGGCTCTAGTTGCATCAATGCAAATTTTCTCTACGGATGCAAATCTCCACCACAAACGACAGCTTTGTAGGGCTACTTCTGTTTTCAGACCCTCTGAACAGCCATCTCAAAATATGTCAAAGAAGTATATTGTGGGGTGAAATATTTTGATTTCCCTCAGTAGCCTATAAAGTGATGAAAATGTTCTGGAATTAGATAGTGGTCATTGATGAACAACCTTGTGAACATACTAAAAATCACTGAGTCGTACACTTCAAAAGAGCGGACTTCGTGGCATGTGAATTCAATCTCAAAAGAGCTGTCAGCTTTATTTTTTAAAACAGCCCATTAAAGCACATCTTCTTAATGGAGTGGAGTGAATTTGGAAAGTTCTGGAAAGAATGAATATAAGACTTGTGCCAATCCCTTAAATACTGTTAGACCATGGACAGGTCCGGTTTGCATAAATGGACTATAACTTTCACCCATTACTAAAGGTATGTTAAGGTCATTGTCTAAAGCAGAGGAGGCCAGGCAGCAAGCTCTGTGAATGTGGGCTTCTCACTACGCTGAAGAATACCTCGGAAGAAGGCCATGCAGTAGGGAGAGAGAGATGAGGCTTCAGGAGCTGACAGCTGGGTTTCTTAATACAGAGTACTCTTATCACTGGCTCAAAAGAATATCCACAGGTGAACCATGAATACCCTATCCATCTCAAATACCATCGACGTACCTTATACCGCTGTTGCAAGTACCTCTAGGGAAGAAAAAAACACACACTGTGTCCTTTTTTTTTTTTTTTCTCTGTTGCCCAGGCTGGAGTGCAATGGCATGATTTCAGCTCACTCCAACCTCCACCTCCCAGGTTCAAGAGATTCTCCTGCCTCAGCCTCCCTAGTAGCTGGGATTACAGGTGTACGCCACCAGGCCCAGTTACTTTTTATATTTTTAGTAGAGATGAGGTTTCACCATGTTGGCCAGGCTGGTCTCGAACTCCTGACCTCAAGTGATCACCCCGCCTTGGCCTCCCAAAGTGCTGGGATTACAGGCATGAGCCACTGCACCTGGCCACTGTGTTCTTTTCTGAACAGCTATAACATGCATCCAAATTTCAGAAATGTTCAAATGTGAGAGGAAGAAAGTGTCCCTGAATCAATACAATGTGGCAAAAGGCTTCAAG